>NC_000020.11:42981385-43284415 GCF_000001405.40 Homo sapiens | reverse complement strand
GGGTTCAAGTGATTCTCATGCCTCAGTTTCCCAAGTAGCTGGGATTACAGGTGTTTGCCACCATGCCTGGCTAATTCTTGTGCTTTTAGTAGAGACGGGGTTTCATCGTGTTGTCCAGGCTGATCTCAAACCCCTGGCCTCAAATGATCTCCCTGCCTCGGCCTCCCAAAGTGCTGGGATTACAGGTGTGAGCCACTCCAGGCAGCGGTGTCTTACTTCTTAAGTGTGACTGAACATAAGTTGGAGACTGAGTCAGCAAACTTTGAAAGAGTTGTGTATTTTTAATTTTTAATAATTTGAGAAATTAAGAAACTGAAAGTGTATTTCTTGCTCTAATCATTAGGATACATTTTATGTTTAAGAGCTAACCTGGTTTAGTAATTTTTTTCTGGGGGACATTTTAAGGGCAAAAGAGATGGGAGCCACAGGAAAGGTTTAGTACCATTGGCCAAAGAAGTCAAGATGCTGGGGACTTGTTTGATGTGGAAGAGAGGACAGCATCTCAGGTGGAGAAGAGGTGCTCCTGATAGATGGTAGTGAGTCATATCTGGGTACTGCATGCTGTAGAGAATCCCATATACAGCAAGGAGAGGCCCTTGCCTGAAAACTGATGATGAATACAGACAATGCTCCAATCCCTGTGGAAAATGATTGCACTCAGCTCCTTAAATTCTGTGTTTTTCCATATTTATATATGCTGTTACTCAGTGAATACCTGATTAAGGAATGCAGCTGCCAAATGAATACATTTGTTGCTCATCAAATGGCACCATAAAGCCAGCAATGATGGGGCTTATTAAAAACCTTCTTTCACTCTGTGAAAAATCCCCTACATGTCCCAGCCAGTCTCAATATCACAGCTAATGAAATGGGTAACCAATACACAAAGAGATGTATTCAAGAGCAAATTAACTGCCTCAGGAATATGCATCATAAAGATTGTAGCCTGGAAAATAAATAGACAGTGTATTGGGCAAATTGGCCTCATATTTAAGTGTTGATGGGTTGGAAATATTGCTATGGCTTCTTGATAGAAGCAGGCAGTCTGGGATTCTGGAAGGCAGACATTAGCACTGAAAAATCAGGCTGGGGAGCTTCCAATTTGCTAGAATTGGGAAAGGGGTGAGAAGGAGTGAACAAACTTTCATGGAGCCAAACTGAAGTACCAGGCCTGGTGCTGGCCCTTTATGTACGTTGCTGCCTAGTCTTTACATACGCTCAAGAAAGCAGAACCCTATATTTTTGGCCTCATCTGCCTGTGACAACATAATGAGATTATTACCCAAAGATATTTCATTTTCTATGTATATCCAAATGTTAGCACATGAACTTTCATCAGTTTCATTTTTTCTTTCTTTCTTTCTTTCTTTCTTTTTCTTTCTTTCTTTCTTTCTTTTCTTTCTTTCTTTCTTTCTTTCTTTCTTTCTTTCTTTCTTTCTTTCTTTCTTTCTCTTTTTCTTTCCTTCCTTCTTTCCTTCTTTCTTTCCTTTTCTTTTCTTTGTTTCTTTTTGAGACGGAGTTTTGCTATTATACCCCAGGTTGGAGTGCAGTGGTGTAATCTTGGCTCACTGCAACCTCCACCTCACGGGTTTAAGCGATTCTTGTGCCTCAGCCTCCGGAGTGGCTGGGATTACAGGCATACCCCGCCATGCCCCGCTAATTTTTGTATTTTTAGTAGAGACAGCGTTTGGCCATGTTGGCCAGGGTGGTCTCGAACTCCTAACCTCAAGTGATCTGCCCACCTCAGCCTCCCAAAGTGCTGGGATTACAGGTGTGAGCCACTGCACCTGGCCTCATCAGTTTCTTTAAAGAGTTAATCCCTCATAAAGCACCCCCAGACATTTCTGAGCTGCCTTGAACCCTTGCTCATGATCTTCCCACAAAAGAAAAAGGTATCCTCTTTGTTTCTTCTGCTCCAGATTCTCTTCCTGCTGTGTCACTGCCTACTTTGCCTTTGTTCTTCTCTGGTCACCTTCTGGACCAGAGGGAAACAGCAACCTACAGGCTAATGGCCATTCCCAGCACTGTGGCCCCTGCTCTAAGACCCAAGGTTAGGTCTTAGTGCTCTTTCCTTCCCTCCTCATCCCAGTCTTCAGACACAGGAAAACACAGACACATACAGCCTGGTGACAGGGCAGTTGTGTGGGCGTAGAGTCTGGTGGATTTGGACCATGTGAACTCAGATAAATCACCTGACTCTTCCAAGTCCCTGTTGCCACCCCCATCCCCTGAGAGTGAAGCTGATATTGTCTCCCTCCAAGGCATGTTGAGAGGAACTGATGAAATAACATCAGTTTTTCCTGAGTTCTGATCTACTCCATGATTTTTTCAGGCCTGCCTTCTTTCTAAAAGCAGCATCACAGGAGTTCATTGAAAGGAAGGTCATCATGGCTGTGGGCCTGGCCTCTCTGCAAAGGGGCTGATTAATCTGATTTAATGTGCAGCAAGTCCCCAAAGAGACGGCAATCAGCAGCCCCAGGTGCTAAAGCACATAGTCCCTGCCATTGCTCAGGCAGCATTCATTAGCCTGATTATTGTTATGATTACTTTTTAAAGGAAAGCTAGTGAATTGTTTAGATTTCTTCCCTGACCCATTCCAGGCTAATTGGCAGTACATTTCCATTTCAGTTAAACGAACTTAAAAGAGTTGCGCTTCCCAGGTGGTTACTGGTGCGTGTCTCAGATTGGGCATCCCTACAAGCAGACCTTAAGACAAGGGTGGGAATGCAAGTGGTTGACTGGGGAGGTTATTGGAGAGAGGGACAGTAGGAGAGAGGGGAAGTGGGATGGGGAAGGGAAAGTATAGAGTACTTTACCGAGAAGCTTACCGATATTGGCAACTGGGGAACTTCTGGTGGACATCATAAAACACACATCATGATTTTCCTCCTTGAGGGGTGAGCTGGGGTATTTATCCACCAACTCTGGTTAGTCATTGGTTGAGAGCTGTTTCTGGGGACATTCACTCTCCAATGCTTCTAGCCTGCATGCAGGAGACACTCAGGGGAGAGTGGCAGGTGCTCATAGTAGGAAACTATCTCCTTGCGCGGGAATGTTGAGTGCCCAGGCGATGTGGGTCAGGCACCAATGGTATCTGTACGAACTTTTAAAAATATGAGTTTCACAGCGCTTAATACATTTACAAGGATGTGTTTCTTCATTTGTGTTTCTCTTTAGACTGTGAGCTCTCTGAGGGCAGGGTCATGTCTTATTTTCATCATTGCTGTCCAGCACAAACCTGGCCCAGAACAACCACTCAGCAAACAACTGTTGAGTGTATAGATGAATGATTGAGGGGATAAATGATCAAGGACTTGAGCATAAATAGGACAGGGATTACAAACTCAAATGCTCAGAAAGGCCAGAGAGTGATTTAAATGAATAACATGGACCAAAAAGAAAAATAGGAAGGTGGGGGTTGTGGGGACCTGGAGGACACATATCTTGTCTCTGGGAACAGCGCCTACTCAGCTCTGGGTGAGCGTCGCCTTGTGGGAATCAGACTCAGGGTAGCTGGGCCTCCTGAGATTTTTTTTTTTTTAAAAGAAAAGCCCACAGCTTTATATTTTTATGTGAAATTTTTTGATTTTTAAACATGACTTAAAATAAGGACCTGCATTAAAAACAAGAAACATGTTTAAACATTCCTTATTTAAGTCAATTTTGAAAACAAACAGATTCCTCAAAACACATCTGGGTGATGTAACTCATTGCCAGGCGTACGTGGTCACCTGGTTACACAGAGCGAGAGACAGCACGGAATACTTCCAGAGGAGGTATGGGCTTCTCAGGTTCCCAAAGGTCCCTAAGGGATGTTTCCTTGAATGCTCATGGGTGATCAGCATAGAGAATAGTCTGGTAGGTTCATGCAGTTCCTTAGCTAGGAGACTTCGGTTCTAGTGCTGTTAGACTTGGGGAAAGCTCCTCTATTCCCACATCTGTAAAGTAGGTATGTTAAGGCCTGATCTCTTTTGTGATGAGAATTAACACATTGATGAGTGAGGCAGTCCTTTATAAACCCTAAGTCCAAGCTGGGTTGGTGCCCTTCCCAGAAATCTCTGTGCTCTGGGAGAAAGCTATTTTCTTGGCTTAGGGTTCTTCTAGGTTCTCCCTGCCTCTGTGCCTGAAACTCTCTGGGTCTGCTGTGGTTGTCAGGCTCCCAGCTGATGGCCTTTGTCAAAATCTGCCTGTGTGTGCCAGGTGCCTGGCAGCTAGTTGGGCAGTGTGGTCAGCTGTGACTTCAGCTCCACCTCTGAGATGATACCTTCTGGACCGTTCAGCCTGGGTTCATAGACTGGTGTTCATCAGTCAGAGAGTCAAAAATAAAATCAATTTCTGCTTTTGAAGAGCTCACATCCCAGAGGAGACAGGACCCGACACCACCACCACCACACACTGCTAGGGGTCAGTGGCATTCCTTTATTTACCAAGCCCCATTCCTTTTCCTCATGGGCATGCAGCTAGACTACATTTCCCAGACTTGTTTGCAATGAGATGAGATTGTGTGACTGAGTTCTGACCTGTGAAATGTGGGCAGAAGCAATTAGACCAATTCCCAATGTGGACCATAAAAATCACCCATGCAATTCTCAACATTCTATCTCTTTCATCATCTGATGTCAAAATGGAGAGAACTTCAAGTATTTAGGGGAGGGTGGAACCACAAGATGGAAAGGGCTTGGGTCCCTGAATGACTGTATGGAGTAGAAATGTCCACTTCCCCAACCGACCTGTGTTGTACTGTGATATGAGAAACAAACTTCCTTGTGTTATGCCACTGAGACTTTGGGTGTTGTCTATCATATCAGTTAGCCTACTCTGACCACTAGAGAGAAGTGTTGTACAGAATGCCTTGGGAACCCCTGGGTATCCTTAGTGGAAGGCTGTCTGTTGGATGATGGACTATACTCTGAGTTCATTGAGGAAGATGGTAGGCTCTCTCTCAGGGCAAGAGAAACACAGAGCTGGGGAGCTGGGTAGATTTACTTCCACATATACTTGATTAATCACAGTTACATGAATGTTGTGATGCTCCTTGAGATGAATAGAAAGAACTTCAGGCAGAAATAAGGGTCCCAAATTGTAGATAAGAGTTGCATTTTGCGTCCTCCGGGAACCCCTACTGTGATGCATCTCAGTGGTGCAGGGGTTGACTCTGCTTCTTCGGAGATAGCTAAAGACCATGAGTTGCTTTTGCCAAATTGTTTTACTTCGAGAGTCATTTTTCTTGCTCACTATTTAAACAATTGATAGTAGGAGTGAAATTCATAAGGCAGGCAAGATCACTGAGGTTGCAGCTATATCAGCAATTTCTGTCCTGCCCCTGGGGGCCTGGGACAGAGAGTAGTTATTCTCCACCTGGTACATTGGTGCGTATGTGCTGCAGAGGGAAAGGGGAAGTAGTTAAGTAGTTCAGTCCCATATCATCTGGGGCAAATGTGTCCAAGAAGTCAACCTCTTTGCTGGATGTTTATTTCATCAACACATAGGGAAACACAGAGGAGAATTCAGAGAATATGGTTCTGCTTTCCCCAAGGACCAGATTAAAAGGTTCAGAAACCAATTCTAGTGAACTCTTACAAAATGGATGCTGTCAGAGCCTTCCAAATGGGCAGGGGCTGGAAAACGAGGTGTCCGAATTGAGGCAGCTTCTAACGGTAGGAAGCAGGAACAGTGTGGGATGGGATAGACCCTCCTTCCCCCCAATATTTTTGTGGTTTCCTTGTCCCTTTGCTCCAGATTTAAATTTCAGGAAGGGAAGCCAGTTACACAGAGCATGAGATGGCACAGAATACTGCCACAGAACTAGATGCACAGGCTCCTAGGATGCCTAGGATGAGAAAAGATGGCCTTTGCCACTCTCTTGGGAGTCGTTATGCAACACCTTGCCACCCCTCCAGTTGCAACACCTTCCCCACCCCTCCATGACTGTTTTGGACACTCTGGCAACTAACTGGGGAAAAACAGCTGCAGTGCCCTCCCAAGTGATGCTGCAAGCCTGGGAGACTCAGAGGTAAATTTTCCAGACCTAGAATCACTCAGTAGGTCCAAGCCTCAAAGCTGCTGAGGTCTAATCCTGAGGTGGGGATTGATTAAGCCCTATTTGCTTCTTTCTTCCCCCAACAGGGCAAACAGTGCATCATTTAAGGTTTTCTTTTTTTTTTTTTTCCCCTTAATTGCAGAGAGTGACAGCTCCTGGGCTAGGTGCTCCAGGGTCTCTTAAAATTGAAAAGTAATTCCAAGGCAATTTTGTGCCTGGATGTGCGAGAGTGATCTGGGTAGTAATTGCTTCTGCCCCTAATGGGAAAAGGAGGTACAGATGTTCCTTCACTTATGATGGGCTTACTTCTCAACAAACCCATTGTAAGTTGAAAATAGTGTAAGTCAAAAATGCATTTAAAATGCATAACTTACCGAACATCTCAGCTTAGCCTAGCTTACTTCAAACGTGCTGAGAACACTTACGTTAGCTGACATTTGGGCAATATCATCTAACAGAAAACCCATTTTATAATAAAGTGTTGAATATCTCACATATTTATTGAATACTGTACTGAACGTGAAAAACAGCATGGTTGTACGGGTAGTTAAAGTACAGTTTCTACTGAATGCACATTGCTTTCACACCATGGTAAAGTAAAAAAATTGTAAGTCGAACCATCATCATTCAGGGACCATCTGTAGTTGTAGAAACATGGGTGACCAGATGGCTCTGAGAAGAGGCCTCACTTCTGGGATCTCCAGGGAATTTGGGATAACAACCTCAGAAGAGCAGTGTTAACCAAACTCTCTGAACAAAATGGCACTGGATTATCCTGTTCAATAAATCAAAATCGAATTCTCAAGATCTTCATGTTTACCAGGGCCTTCTAATGCTTCACTGTTTGGTCTTTTGAGCTTGCCATCAGGAGGCAGGCACCTCCGTGTAAACAGACTAATTTCTGAACATGGGTTAGAGTGGATCGTTCAGAGCAGAGAAAAATCAAACCAGAGCATAGATCACCTTGGGAAGGGGAAAGAGAAGGCTTTAAAAGGGCAGCCTTGGTGTTGTTTTACACTTTCTTTAAATGTTCATTAGTGTGACACCCAGTGGTTTCCTTATTCCTCAAGGGTGGGATGGAGGCAAACACAAGTAAGTTTTGAACCCTGCTTTCAAAGCAACTACAAACTAGGGATAATGATAGTAGGTAATAATCACAGGGTGCTGTATGGTTTGCAAGGCACTTTTTATGAATGTTGTAGCACTATTGATCACAGGTTTAAGTCATTCAGTATTTTTTTCTGTTGAGTGTCAAAAGTATATGAGGATATTGAAGCTCAGAGAGATGAAGTAAATGTCTATGTTAACAGAACTTGTCAGTGAAAAGATTAAACTTGAACTTAGATCCTTTGTTTAAGCGTCTTGCCTGTCTAGCCAAGGAAGAAGACATGTATACCAGTGATATGAGGAACTGCAGGAATATTAGAGAAGAGGAAAGGAGGAGGATGCTTGATGTGGTTTGGTTGTGTCTCTACCCAAATATCATCTTGAATTGTAGCTCCCAGGATTCCCACATGTTGTGGGAGGGACCTGGTGGGAGATGATTGAATCATGGGGGCAGTTTCTTCCATACTTTTCTTGTGGTAGTGAATAAGTCTCACGAGATCTGATGGGTTTATGAGGAAAAACTCCTTTCCTGGGTTCTCATTCTCTCTTCCCTGCCACCACGTAAGACGTGCCTTTTACCTTCCGCCATGATTGTGAGGTCTCCCAAGCCACATGAAACTGTGGGTCCATTAAACCTCTTTTTTTTTTTTTTTTGTTATAAATTACCCAGTCTCGGGTATGTCTTTATCAGCAGCGTGAAAACGGACTAATACAATGCTAAGTGTGAACAACCACCGAGCATGGAGAATAAGGTGAGGTGCTGGGGTGAAGGGGTCACTCCTTCATCTCCCTGCCTCCTTCCTCCAATCTGTTCTCCATCCTGTTGCAGAGGTGACCTTTCCACAATTCTGATGGAGTCACTTCCAAGCTTAACACCCTCCATTGGCTTCTCAGTCTTCCCATGCCTCCATGGTAAAGTTGTGATGGACACTGAAGATTTACATGTACTGTTGTGTGGTTTTGTCCAGCAGTGTTTCCCCAGTGACAGCATGGAGGAGGAAGATGGAAGCCCATCCAAGATTGGGTTATTGCCAATAGGTGTGATGGAGATATGGAGGGGTGAGGCATTTTAGTAATGATAGATCACAGGATCCAAATGAGAAAGGGAGGAAAGGAAGAGAGGCAGGGCTTGTGGATGGGAGCAAGAGGAAAGGTGGATAGTCTGGAGGTCCTGATAAGATTGAAGAATGGCTGCAATGGGTTGCTTGGGCATGCAGGCTGGAAGGAGAGGAGGTTGCAGGGACATCTTGGATTCTTTATTCCTTGACTTGCTCATCACCAACCTCAACCTCAGGCAGTTATATAACCAGCCTGGGACTCAGTTTCCTCATTTGTACTCATAGGGCTCTAGGGAGATTTAAGTTAGATGACATATGCAAGCCACTCAGACAATGCTTGGCACATAGCAAATAAAACACTGCTAGTTGTTCTATTAGTTTTAAAGCTCATCTTCTGGGTTAGGAAACTGAGGTTCAGGAAGTAGAATGACTTGCTCAAGGTTAAGCCTAATGCAGCTAGTCTAAAGGTTTCTCTCTTAAATACGATACTTGTTTAAACCCCATAACCATGGTGGGATGCATGGATTAATGACTTTAGAGGAAGTGGTTCCAGATGATGTTGAAATGTGGGAAGTGACTGTCTCAGTTGGTGACTGGTAGAATAATGTGCCCCACTCTCCAAAAGATGCCATGTTCCAACCCTGAAACCTGCAAATATATTGCTCTGTAGAGATCAGGGAGTGGAGTAGGGGGTGGGGGAGAGTGAGTGAGTGAGAGAGAGAAGGAGAGAGAGAGAAAAAGAGAGAAAGTGTGTGTGTTTTGAAGATGCTACACTGCTGGCTCTAACGATGGAGGAAGGGGCTGTGACCCAAGGAATGTAGGCAGCCTCCAGAAACTGGAAACAGCAAGGAAGCAGATGCTCTCCCTAGAAGGAACACAGCCATGCTGACTCACTTTGGACTTCTGACCTCCAGAAGTGTAAGATAATACATTTGTTTCCTTGTTAGCCACTGATTCGTGGTAATTTGTTACAGAAGCAATTGGAAGCTAACAAAGTGACTAAGAGAATAGAGAAGAAAGCATTTGGATAACTCTTCACATCTTGGATTCTTTATTCTTTGACTTACTCATTACCAACTCCAACTGTAGTTTCTAGAGCTGGGCTTGTGTTTCTCCAGCCAGCTCATTCCTTTACCATTCACAGCAATTATTTAAAGCTTTTCTCACTCTTATTAGACCTCTTACCTCCTCTTCTCACCTGGCTATCAGCAGTTGACCTGTCTTCTGCAGTCACTAACGATGAAGTCATTCAGCTGGGACTGAAGACTTCATTGAATAAGAGATAGCTTCCAGGAGACTTCACTGAATAAGGGATAGCTTCCAGGAGGCTACAAAAAAGATGGAGGAGGAAGGTATGACTTGCCTGAGTCTCAAAGATGCAGGAATTTTTGAAGACAGAGGGAGTGCACTGGTCTTTTTGGGAATCTCAAGCAATAAAAAATCATGGTTTAGCTGCTCTACATGGGAAAATGCAAAAGATTATTATTTTTAGATCTTTGAGAAGGTGACAAAGAACAGGAAAAGGAGGAAGATGAAGCAGAGGAGGAGGAGAGAGGAGACTTCAAGATGGCAGAAAGCTGGGGACCACTTGCAGGTGATGGGGTAGCTGAAAGGGCATTTAAGAGCGGTATGCCTGTGTGCAGTTTTATGTCATTTGCTATTTTGTCATATGTGTCTCCTGGCCATGGCCCCTCAAGATCCTCGGCAAAATGTTTCATGGTCTTGCTTCTATCAGTTGAAATTTTGGAAATCAAAAATGAGATTGGTTTTACCTGTAGATCAATTTGGAGTGGAACAAAGATGACATATACAGAGGTGGGAATCCAGAGAATGAGATAATTATACATTCATCCATCCATTCATCCATCCACCCACCCACACCGTCCACCCATCCACCCATCCACACACCCACCCCTTTATCCATCCATCCATCCGTCCATCCAGCCATCCATCCGTCTGTCCATCCATCCGTCCATCCATCCATCCATCCATCCATCCATCCATCTGTTCGTCCATCCATCCATCTATCCATCCATCCACCCCCCCACTCATCTTTCCATCCATCCATTCATTCATCCACCCACCCACCCGCCCACCCACAGCCATCCATTCCCTATGTATCCACCATTCATCACCCATGCATCCATTCATTTCTCTTTCTCCCTCCCTCTTCTTCCAACCCTCCACCATCCGCCCATTCACCCACTCACTAATTTATTCATTAAACAAATACTCATTTAGCATTTATCATATACCTGGTTCTCTTCTGAGTCCTGGAGATACTGCAATAAACAAGACAGACAGTCACCCTTCTCTCAGGAGCTCCTAATCAGTAAAAAAGGCAAGCCATAATAAAGAAACTGAATAGATGCCTAAGATAATTTCAGATTGTGATAAACACCACGAAGACAATAAAACAGGGTGATGTTGTAGGGCGGTGGCTCTCAAAGTGATTCCTGGACCAATATCATCAGCACAATCTTGGATCATGTTAGAAATGTAAATTCTCAGGACTCACCCCAGGCCTATTAAATTAGAAACTGTGGGGGACGGAGCTCAGCAATCTGTATTTTAAGCCATGCAGGTGGAAGTGACCGTGCCCAGGGTTGACACCCATTGTTATGGGGATTGACAGCATGGTTACCTGAAGGAGGGTGGTCAGGGAAGACTGTTGAGAGGGGGTGACATTTGAGTTGAGATCTCAGTGACAAGAGAAATCCAGCCATGTAAGCCTAGGGAAATGAGTTCTGGGCAGAGGGAATATCAAATGAAAAGGTCCTCAGGTAGGAACAAGGCTGGGGGCTTTGAGGAACTAAGAAAAAGATCATTGTGGCTGGAGTGTGGTGTACAATCATGCAAATTTACTATGAAAGACAGCACTAGGAACATTCTTGTTACTTTTTGGATATTCCTTCTCTTTATATGAAGATGTGTAAGCTTTTCCCATTTGCATTGAAAGCTATATATTATAATTCTTTTTGAGGTAAAAAAATTAAATCATACAAATGAAATGCACATACAAAATTTCCTTATAAATGGATTTCTTGGCCTCTGACGAAGCTGCATGTTGTGTTGGAAGATCACTGTGGGCTGGGAGTCAAAGGGTTTGGGATCTAATCCCATCACTGGCCAGTCGCTGCTCCTCTCTGAAACTCAGTTTCCCCATCTATCAGGTCAGGAAGGGGATGGGGTGGGAAGAATCAGCTTATCTGTCCCCTGAATCAGGGGACTGCTGCCATCTCCTAGCAGGGCAGCCTAGTTCCTTCTCAGCTGCCCCTGGCTGCTTGGAGTCTTCTCTCACCTCCTTTCCTCTTCTTCATTCGACCTTGGTCAGGCGTGCCTGAGGCGGGGCAGGAGGAAGGAGGCAAATGGAGTCCTTTTGGAATGACTGTTTGTGTCAAATGATGTTTTGGGAATCTACTTTGAATATACAGTAATGCTGGGAGCTAAAGTCTGTGCTGCTAATGGCAGATTTCTTTATAGTTATTGTCCTGCTGCTGAGCCCAACAATTTTATTTCTTACAAATAGACGTCTTAGAAAGAAACAAAAAGAGTCAATAGAGCTGCAAAGTCATGAACACGCCTTTGGATTTGATTCTGCAGGATTGGGAAAGAAGAGAGGAAACCAAACCTGGACATTTTCCAGGGAGGCAGTGAAGTGCAATGGGAAGACCTTGGAGTGAGTCCTTTAACTGAGTGCATTATCAGGCCTCTCTGAGCCTCTGTTTCCTCATCTGCAAAATGGGGATGATACTTGAACTGTATTAAATAAGATGACATGTGCCAAGTGTCTGGCACACAGTAGGTGCTCAATAAACATTAGTGCTTGTCTTCCACCCCTCCCTGGGACTGGGAAAGTGACACTCCTCCCTAGTCGGCCAGCAAGCCCCTCTCTGCCTACAACTCTGTGGGCTTGTTTTGCTTGTGTAGTAATTAGGGCACTGGCAGCCTAGGAGAGAGTCCAAACCCGCAGCATTATCTTTTCCCCAAGCTGCTTCAGTTGACAGAGGGTTGGGTGGTGGATGACAGCTTGTTTATCCAGGGAGGCTGCAAAATATTCTGTCATGCAAACACACAGAGCAGCTCATTCATCTTGTCTTTTGCTTCTGCCCCGCATAGCTGAGAGGGACACCCACTGCTTGCTCCTCTGACTGCTTTTCTCTCCTGGGGCCCACGGGGCTGATACAGCCCCATGCTCAGCATGCTGCCCTCAGCAAGAGCACCCCTACGATCGATCCAGGGCTGCACTGACTGTCCCAGGCCTCTCTCCCCAGCTGGGACTGCTCCCCAGAGCTTGCTGTTGGACACTACCATATGGGTGTCCCACCAACCCCACTTGCTCAGCATGTCCAACATGGAAGCCACCTCCCTTCCCACATGCACCCTTTCTATTTTCTGTGTCTCAGCTGTCAGCAGCGCAACTGCCCTTTCCCCAGCCTGAAACCTGCGAGCCCCTCACGTGCCTCTCGCTCTTTCCCACCCCACATCCCATGCCACGGGACCTGTCAATCTTCTCTCTCAAATCTCTTTCTCAACTGTCCTTCTGCTAAGTCCCAGCCACCAGCTCTCTGGGGAAAACTCTCCTCCCTTCTGCCACCAATGTCTCCCCTTCCTTCTGCAGGACAGCAGCCGGGGGATGGTTCTAGAACACCCGATGAACTCTGTCAGCCCCTGTCCTTGGCCTGTGGTCCTGAGGAGAAGTGGAGGGAGGGACTAATGATCATCCCCAGAGGCTTGTGGTGCAGGAATTCAGCTCGGGGTTTTAGGAAAAGCAGACAAAAACAAAACCATTATCGTTGGCTTTCAACTCTGGCACTACCACATACCAGCTGTGTGATTTCTGACAGGCCTTAAAACCTCTATGGAGCCCAATTTCTTCATTTCTGAAAAAAGAACAGTAGTTCCTACCTCCGAAAGTTGTCATGAAGCTTAGCTGAAGCTATGCCTGTGGCAGGTGCTGCGAGCTTGGCATGCGCTGGGTTCTTCTTGTCCTTCACTTGGACAGCATGTTGTGGTTTTCAGAACCTCTTCTTAGAGAATTCTCTCTTTCCGTTCCTTCCTTCCCTCCTCTCTCTCTCTCTTTCTTTCCTCCTTCTCCCCCTATCTCTCTCCTTCCTTCTTTCCTTACTTTTTCCTTTTTTTTTTGAGATGGAATCTTGCTCTGTTGCCCAGGCTGGAGTACAGTGGTGGGATCTCAGCTCACTGCAACTTCCGCCTCCCGGGTTCAAGCGATTCTCATACCTCAGCCTCCCAAGTAGCTGGAATTACAGGAACCCACCACCACACCTGGCTAATTTTTTTGTATTTTTAGTAGAGACGGGGTTTCACCATTTTGGCCAGGCTGGTCTAGAACTCCTGACCTGAACTGATCTGCCTGCCTCAGCCTCCCAAAGTGCTGGGATTACAGGCATGAGCCACTGTGCCCGGTCTCCTTTCCTTTCTCTCCTTTCTTCCTTCTCTGCCTCTCCTTCCCTCTCTCCCTTCTTCCTTCCTTTTTCTCTTTCTCTCCTACTTTTTTCCCCTCCCTCACTCTTTCCCTCTATTCTCTCCTCTCATACTCCTTCTTTTCTCTCCCTCTTTCTCTCTTTCTTCCCACAGATATTTATTGTGTGCCTACTATGAGCTGGGCACAGTGGTAGGCTTGGGAGCACAGTAGAGAGCAAGGCAGACTTTGTCCTATCTGCCCTGGAGTTTACATTTTTTGTGGGGGAAAGGAGAGACAGACAAAAAGCGAGTAACAAATAATACAGTGTCAGGGAGTGTAAGTGTCATGATGAAACAAAGCAAGATAAGACAGAGGTGATGGAGACTGGGAAGTCCCTGTGTGGAGCTTAGTGATTAGTGGGAAAGGGAGTCAATAAACAAGCCAAAGAATAATTAAAATCATTTACAGAGTGCTGTGAAGGAAGTGAGCACAGCTCTGTGAAACCACAGACAGGTTGGGAGAATTAAATATTAAAGGCATATGGAAAGTGCTTTGTGTGATGGTAAGTGACGGACACTCAATGACCCACTCCTTCCCCGAATAGCTCTCTTTCCTGTATTTTTAATTTCTTCTCTCCTGGGTCCTCCCCCACAGCATTTGCACACGTCCGAGTCTCTCTCTGCTTAGGACACCCCAAAGTCTCTCTGCTTAGAACACCCTCTGCCCCAAATCCCACACCTTCCCATCTATGATCCCACTGTATCCCACTCACAGAGAACTTTTCTCAACAGTTGCCTACACTTCCTATCTCCACTCCCACTTCCTCAACCCCTTCTCCTACTCATTTCAGTTTGGCTGCTGCCCCAAGAAGGGTCTCAGAAACTGCTCTCTCTAAAGTCAGCAATGGGCTCCACAGTCATTGAATGACTTGAGTTCTCATGCCCTCAGGCTCTTGACCACATTCAATATTGCTATTGCTCTAATTTTCTGTAGACCACCTCTTGAAGTTTGTTTTCCTGCATCTCTCCAGTGATTCCCTTCTCGGGCTCCCTTGCTGACTTCCCTTCCTCTGTTGGCCGCTGACATGTTGGGTGTCTCATGTCCATTCCAGGTTCCCCTCTCTTCTCTCCCTCTACTTTATCCTTGGCAATGACTGAAGACTCCCTCATCTATAACCTAGGCCCAGTTGGCTCATGCAAACTCCTGGTTCATGTTGTCAATTCATTCCTGGACACCCTCACTTGGTAGTCCCACATCCCACAGTCATCTGAACTCCACGGGTCCAGATCAGAATTCACCATCATCTTCTGCCACCAATCCTGTTCTAATCTTCCCACCCAGTGAATCTCACAGCCATCCTGTCCTCTCTTATCCGTCCTGCAGGCAGCAGTCAGACAGATCCTTCTACAATGCAGATATGGCAGTGTCCTCACCTGTTTAGCATCCTTCAAGGTTCTTCATTGCCCACAGGATAAAAACCAGATGACTTCCATTGTGTCCAGGCCCTGTGGGCTTAGTCACTTCCTATCTTCTGCCCTCCCCTCTCGTCTGTCCCCTCGCTTTGTGTCCAGTCACACTGGGCTTAATCTAGGCCTTTGGGCCTGCCATCCTCTCTCTCTCGCCTGCGACCTTCTTCAACACCCTTCCTTCTGGCTGCTACTCTCTTCTCATTCTCTTTGCGGTTGGCCAAGCTGAGGGGACATGGCAGATGAGTCACTCCAACTCCTCCATTTGTAGGTGAATACCCTGAAGTCCAGAGAGGGAGAACAACCTGTCAGAGGTCACCCAGCAAGTCCAGGAGAACAACCTCACTGTCCTCCCGCCTTCTGCAGTGATGGGAAGGAAACTTGGCATTGGCTCAGATCCCTTCTCATAGATTCTGGCTCTTTCTGCTGCTGAAATCAGAAAGATGAATATGTGGTAAATTTTGCCAGGAAGGGTTGGAAATAATGCAGTCTCCTTTGTCTGTGTCTTGGGTTTCTGAGGTTGAGGTCCTGATGATGCCCTGACTCCTGACTTCTGCTGCCTTCTAGACCCTTCCAATTCTGCCCCAGCATCCCCCCCACCCATTTCTAATACAGGCCCTCACTTGCAGATACTCCTGTCTGTTTTCTGTCACCTGAAATAGCTTGAGCCTCTCAGTGGCTGTTAGTACCACCTGGTTGGGAATGGGTATGCTAATATTTGAGACTGGGGGTGCTTAGATAAGGTGTCAAGTCCTGATATCCTAAGTTGATGTAGGGTTGATGCCAGGCTGGGGTTGGGTCAATGAGCCTTTGGCCAAAGGTTGGGCCATAAACTAGGCCATAATCGAGGCCCTGATCCTGGCCACAGATAGATGTGTAATCCTGGATGTAGACTGTGTTGGCCTTGGTTCTGGTAATAACAGCTCTGACCCTCATCCCAGACTGGGCCTTGACCCTGGCCCAGACTGAGCCCTAATCCTGGTCTCAGATCGATCTCTGATCCTGGTCCCACTCTGCATTCTGATCCTAGTTCCAGAATGAACCCTGACCTTGGCCCCACACTGAGCCTTGACCATGGATGAGCCCTACCCAGCTCACAGATTAGACTTGCAGCTGTGGGTGGTGGTGAGAATGTGGATGACTCAGGGCAACCTGTCCCCACAGAGGACAGGCAGGAATGGCTTTTCTGGGAAAGCCAGCCCAAAGCCAGCCTCTGGTGATGTTGCACTGGTAGATTTTGGGGGCCACAAACTACAGAAGGGCCAGGCTCATTGGGTTGTGACAGGGTCAGGTCTGGCCCAGCTTCCCAGCCAGTTTAGGTCCCAAATAATGGAGAGATCCTTCCTGCTGATACCCATCAAGCTGAGATTGAGAGCATTTCAATGAGAAGGTGCTTTAATGACTCTTCAAGGATTTGGAGCCTAATGAAGCACACATCAGAGGATGATTTAATCTTTCCCTCATAAAACCTGCACAACAAGGAGATCAACTTCAGAATCCAAATTCATCCTGACATAAAAATGGGAGTGAAGGCAGTGCCAGATCAATGATATTTGTCTGGGGCTAATTGCTGTGGTCTTGGGAGGGGGTTTAGGAGAAGGTAAGCGGTGGGTGGGCGTGGCAGAGGGCATCCTGGGACATGCTGGGCTGTCCCTGTGAGGCAGCTCCTGGAAGGAGCTGACAGTAAGCATCTTGGAGGGTAAGGTAGAATAAGGAAAGTGTGGGGCAGTAGAAGGGCCTGCTTGGCTGTGGCTGGCCTGTCCCCTGCAGGGTGGGCCTTTTCTCTCCATGTTGACAAGTGATTAGCAGACATCCCATGTCTACTTGCCTAAGAGTGAGCCCTGAAGTGCCAGGAAACTCCTGCTTCCAAGCCATGATTGTAACAGTTAGAGCTTATGAGAGCTGCTATGGAGAAAACCAAATGGAGGCTGCAATAGAGATGACTCAGGTGTGTGCAGAATGGACCACCATCCTTGGGACAGGCTCTTCAGCTTTCTGGGGTTGGAAGTGGGTGCTCTGATCACCGGCTCCTCAGGGCTCCTCTTCCTCCCATCCACACCTTGCTACTGGCTGAGGTCTCATACGTCTCCAGGCCCAGCCCACTGGGAAAGCAACATCATAGGCTTTTCTCAAAAGCCAGATCTTTCCCACATCCTCTGTCACAAAGATATTTTTTCTTCTGTACAAACTCATTGATGACATTGTGGGAGAAATCATGGGTTTTGACTTGAATAAATAGAGCCCAGCCACTCATTTCAAAAGGAAACATTTTCTAATAATTAGATAGCAAAAAACTGAAAATGATGAGAAGCAAACTGAATCAAGGCCTGGTTGGTGCATAAAATAATCATTTATACTAAATTTATATCAGTAGTGTACTGTGCAGCTAGGGAATGTATAAGATAAAGTAATGGGACCCGCCTCCCATTTTTTCTTTCTATTTAAAGAAGACAGCATTCCTAAATAAGACACAAAAGCCTTAAAGGAAAAAAAAAAATAAAAGATTTTGCTAGAGGAAAAAAATTAAAGTGTTAAAAAACTCCTATATAGTGAAACATGCAACCAAAGATAAAAGAAAGCAAAAATGGGGACAAAATACTTGCAGCACCTATAACAAGGAGTGGGCTGGGTGCGGCAGCTCACGCCTGTAATCTCAGCACTTTGGGAGGACGAGGTAGGTGGATCACCTGAGATCAGGAGTTTGAGACCAGCCTGGCCAACATGGTGAAACCCTGTCTCTACTGAAAATACAAAAAATTAGCTGAGCACGGTGGCGGGTGCCTGTAATCCCAGCTACTTGGGAGCCTGAGGCAGGAGAATTGCTTGAACCCGGGAGGCAGAAGTTGCGGTGAGCATTGCAGTGAGGTTGAGATCGCGCCATTGCACTCCAGCTTGGGTGACAAGAGCAAGACTCTGTCTCAAAAAATAAACAACCAAACAAACAAAACAAAAACGAAACAGCAACAAAAAACCAAGGCATGAACCCACCGAATCTATGAAGGGTTTCTGCAGATCTATAACAAAGATGGAGTAAAAAAGTAAGCAAAGGTGTGGTCATGTAACTTCTAGAGGAAACCCTGGATTCCAGTGGTGGCCATGGAGGTGCACTGCCCAGACCTCTCTTCAAAAGAAACTCCTGTGGGGGAAGAGCTGACTGATGGCCTCAAGCTAGAGCATCTTTGGATCCACTGTGAGGGTCACGCCAGGCTGTGCCTCCCCTAGGTTTTCCCCTCGTGGGGAAGCAGGACCTTGTGGGAATTCCACAGTGGTCTTGTCAAGGCTTTCTCAGAACTGTGCTCTGGTCTGAGGATTTACCTACTCAATCCTGTCTCTTCCCTCTTCCTTGCACAAACGTCAGACCTGCTTCTTGATCTGGAGCTCTCCTGGCATCCTCCTGTTCTCTCTCTCTTTGCCTTCCAGAGGCATTTCTCCCCAGTAAAGCTCTTGTTTGTATAATTCCATCTTGGCATCTGCTTCTCGGAGGAGCTGAATTGACCACAACTACAGATTCAAGTAAAAAGCCTTACTCATAATCAAGGACATATAAATTGAAATGTAATAGTCTTCCACAAACATTTTAAAGAGGTCATTAATATCTTGTTTTGGGAAGGGGCACAAAATGAATCTCTCTCACACACGGTGCTGATGTCAAGATTATAAAATACACATATTCACTGAATCAGCATTTCACTTCCAGAAATCTGTTTTTTTAAGGATATTTTCATATATGTACAAATATATATATATGTTCATTGTGGTACCATTTATATTAATAATAAACTTGAAAATAACCTAAATGTGCATTCATAAGGAACAGTCACATCAATTATGGAACATCCACACAATATAATTTGCAGCTGTTTCAAAGAATAAGGTCAAGCTATGTGACATGAAAAGATGTTTGCGATGTCAAGCTAAGTGAAAACAAAAGGCAAAGATGAAGAATATATTGTATAATACCCTTTGGGTAGAAAAACCCTTTATTAAATACGTTTATATGCATACAGATTGATGAATAAGTGCAAACAGCTGGAAAGGTAGACACTCAATTGCTAACGTTATTTGTTGTTAGAAGAGTGAGATCAGGGATAGCTATTAAAGGGACCCTTCAGTCTTTACTCTGTTTCCTTCTTTATTGTGTAGATGTTTCACAGTGAGCATGGATGATTATTTTTATGTTTTTTTTTTTTTTGTTGTTGTTTTTTTTTTTGAGACGGAGTCTCGCTCTTTCACCCAGGCCAGACTGCAGTGGCGCAATCTTGGCTCACTGCAAGCTCCGCCTCCCTGGTTCACGCCATTCTCCTGCCTCAGCCTCCCGAGTAGCTGGGACTACAGGTGCCTGCCACTGTGCCTGGCTAATTTTGTGTATTTTTAGCAGAGACGGGGTTTCACTGTGTTAGCCAGGATGGTCTCGATCTCCTGACCTTGTGATCCTCCCGCCTTGGCCTCCCAAAGTGCTGGGATTACAGGCGTGAGCCACCGCGCCTGGCCTTGGATTATTATTTTTAATTAACATAAGCAATACACAGGAAGAAAGTAAAGACCCCAGAGCGTAACCACCAAAATGAGTATTGGCCACTTTTGGGGGTTGTGTCCATATTCCAATCAGTCTCTTCGGTGTTTGGACTGTCCACTGGGAATGGCCTTCAGTGGCAGTTAATGGCATAAGAAAATTGCTCTCATTCTTGTCTTTATCCTTACAAAAATTGATTTTACAAAAATTTTAACAGGAAGTGGCATCGCACACCTTGATTCTTGCCTGATTCTTCACACCTGACTCTGAATGTCTTTTTAACTATTTTCAAAAATTCACTTCCCTACCTCCCCATCAGCCTGAAGGCTAAACATGCTATCTATCACTGATTGTGGGGACACACCCTAGCTCCCTGACCTCAGTTTCCCCATCTATGTTGGAAGAGAGGTTGGATTAAATGGCCTTGGTGTCTGGCTAATATTTTAGGATTCCAAGGCCACTGGTACAGATTGCTGTTCTTGGCATGCTCCAGACAGCTGGGATTTCAGAGAAACCCACTCCTGAGCCTCAGCCTCACCTTCAACCAGCTCTTTCCACCTCCCCTCACATCCCCCAGGCTCCACTGTGAGCCTCCCAGCTCGGTGAACAGGCCCCGTGTCTTTGCCTTCTCTCCATCATGTGCTCAAAGCCTGCTCAGGCTTTCAGGTCTCATACTGATACTTTTATGACTTTCTCTGATTAACTAGTTTGGATTTCCATTGCATTTTCCCTGTAGATCACCTGATGGTTAGAAACCAAGGCTATCCCTTTGTTCTGATTCCAGTATAATTAAGCATCTCACACAGTATATTAGGGGAAAAAGACAGTGAAATGATAAAAATAGACATTCCTAAACCCCAAGACAAACCTAACATATCAGAGTCTCCCAAATCACAAATCCTTGTATGTTTCCCTTAAACCTGGACTCCCTGAGAAAGACAATTTTATCTCTGATTCTTGCTATGATGATCTCTGAAGACAGATCAGGACCTTGTGATTATGACCGTCACAGGAGAGAGTTGCTGTTTTCATGCCACGATTAATATACACCTGGTGAACTTGATAATTTTGCAATTGTTTTCTTGGAAATAATTGCTGTGTTTGCATTTGGTGAACCAGTGCTTCTGAAGTCTGGTTCCCTTGCACTCTGCAAGTAAAATTTTCTTTTCTAAATATTTCTGTTTCTGGGGCTTCCTTTGACAGATGGGATGACTTAATACATGAATTTGTGTTGTGTTCTTGCATTCCATATTCTAAGGTGAAGAGGTTTTTGTCTTTCCTTGCTGAGGGAGGCTTGTGTTGTAAGATTAAAAGCACAAGTTGCCTGAATAGGGATCTCTTCCCTGGTTTTGTTTATCTCAAAACCTAGGCTTAGTGCCAGAGTGTGGATGTTTATGTGTGTGTGTCGGGGAGGGGGTAATGCAAAGTGGGGAGGGAGGGAGGGAAAGACCATTGATGGGGAGAAAGTAGAATCAAACAGAGAGAGAAAGAGAGAGGGAGAGAGCGAGATCATGAAGACCAAACTTGCAGTTTGGTTTTGAGGAGAAGGGAATTTCTGGAAACAGCAGGAAACCAGAGCAGATGACTATTAAGGGGTTTTAAGGGGGTTGGACCCCAGGCATTGGGGCTTCCGGTCTGGGCATTGACTGCACATCTGAGCCCAACCTCACGGAGGCAACATTGGTATCAGCCAACAGGATGCCGAGAGGGCTTGGACAACAGCTCTAACAAAGGCAACAGTGTGGACCTACACTCATTGGACATACCCAAAGCTGGGTGTATGTGTAAGACCCTTGAGACCTTCACAGGATCCTGTGGGGCAAGAAGGGAACCCCAAATATGAATTTCCTGCCAGGTCAGTAAGCTGAGACTTGGGATAGGTTTATAGCAAATGCAATTATTGTGACATGTCTTGCCTTTCTGAGATTAAGGCATAAAATTGACACCCGCTATCATTTTTCCAGTATTTAGCACCCTCTATCTGGTATTGTCTCCATGACCTACACCCTGTCCTCCCCAACTTCCTGCTTTCCTCATATCCCACCGCCTGATCAATAACCTTTTGTTTGCCTTTTGTGTACTGAGGATAGGACCCACCTTCTAATCATCTACTATGGGGTCTTAGTACCTAGTTTGTGCTCGTCGGTTGAAATCGACTACGTTGCACTGAACTGTATCCCACCCTACCATGCTAGCACCATACTTTGTGTCTGGTTGGTATTCAACAAATGTTTGCAGAGTGGAGAAAGGCATGTGGAGTATTCCAAGGTGACCACTTTAGAGGAGACAAGATGAACCTGAACGTGTAAGTTCAGGCATGTTTGTTCAGAAGCACGTTAGTGACCTGGTTTAATCACAGGAGACTGGCAAGGAAGGAGCCTGTGCATCTGTGAAATGAGCCATTTTCTGCCAACCCTTGCACGGGCACTGGTGTTGCTTGATCAATTAACCCCACGCCCTTGTCCTCCATCTGTGCTTGGATGAGGACGCGTGGCTCTGCGGTGAGTGCAGGAGGTAATATCTGTCCTCCGAATGGGCAGCATGTGCATGGGTAATTGATGTGTTCCCGAGTTCCAGGGAGAGAGATCCGAAATCAGTCGTGCTGCTCCGAGCTTGCAGTGGCCGGCCTTGGCTGTGACTATGGGGGTATCAGCTGGCCTCTCCTATGAACACTGGCTGGCCAGATGGATGGGGCCTGCCAATGGCTGCAAGGAGGGCTTGTCCTCTATCCTTGCAACGGGTCTCCCCACTGGCAAGAAATGAGTTCTGATTTGTGCCCAGGGCCACCCGGACACCTGTTGAGTGGTAAATACAAGCTGTTTTAAAAGATAATGTCTGGGTAGTGTGAGTATGCTGGTGTCCATCTGAATTACTTTTTAAACTTGTTTTCAAAGTAAGGGAGGCTATTGGCTCCTTGAGTCTGCCGTACACTATTGGGCAGCTGGTTAGAGTGTGGGCTGTGGAATTACACTGCCTGGGTACAAACCTTGCTCGTCCACTTGTCAAACTATGAGTTCCTGGGCTCACTGTGGCTCTCTGAGACTCAGTTTCTCTATCCGTAAAGTGGGGATGATATTAATACTTAACTCATAGACCTTCGTGGAGTGTTAACTAAGGGTGATGTTTAGCTTGGTGCTAGATGTCCTGTTACAGAGGATCTTCCCACTAGAACATGGGATGTGTTGAATAGATGATTCTGGAGCTATTTGGTCCCTGGTTGTTTAGTATTTGTCTCTTTTGCTAGACTAACAGCTCCATGAGGCTCTGGCCATGGCTGTCTTGTTACTGCTGGACTCTGAGAACCTGATTCAGGGAGGGTACTCAATAAATATCTGTGTTAGTGAGAAAATAAGGCAGGTGACGTGGGCATAAGCAAGAGGCCCAGGCAGGGCTGGGGCAGCTCTGGGGGTTTTTAGTGGTAGGAATTAGGCTAAGGTGTCCAGCTACAGCTATGCTGTCAGTCCTGGGAGGGAGCTGGAGCGAAACCCTGGGAAAAGGTTAGAGGGGCAGTTATATATACATGTGTAGAGGGGTGATCTTGGGCAGCTTTCTCGCCTCTAGCACACTGAGTCAGGCATGTGGGCGGCAGACCCAGGCCAGCTCAGCATGAGAAGCTGTTTGGCTGGGCCAAGGTGTTCACATGACTGGACACCACTGTGGGCAGCTGGACAGATCTGTGGCAGGCAGGACATAGCAGCCATAGGATGCTATGATGATACCAACTAAGATGACCAGCGAGGGCTTCTGGGAACTTGTGCTAGCTTTGGGATCATACAAACATGGATACAGATCCCATTCTCACTTTTGCTCTAGGAAAATTATTTAACTTCTCTAAAGTTTGGTCTCCTCATCTGTAAAAAGGGATCCTCTCTGCTCTCTCCTTTTCGGGGATCATTGAAAAGGAAGTAACTTATTTTTTTTTTGTTCCATTTGAAAGAAACAAAGTACTTTGCTGACATCTTTATTTAGGAGTGGTGAGTGATTGACCCATGAATTCACTGTGGGAATTCAGTGATTATTTTTGAATACGTGGAGTTTTTAGGTTCCTGCAGCTTCCTCGACTTGAAAGTAAAGCTGGCACCAGCTTCTGACAGTCCCTGTAATTACCTCGCACTGAATTGAGCTGAGGTTTGCCTTTGTGCCTGAGGTTGGCGTGGGCTTCGCTGCCCTCACCCTCCACACCCACATTTGAATGTAGTTGCTAATTATGATTTATGGTGCTGTCTGGTTGAAGCTGGCTGGCTTGCTTGAGGTTGGGTGGTACAGGCACTCCCTTTCTTTGTCAAACAGTGTCGAGGAGATCCAAAGGTGGCCTGGTACCCCAAGATGGAGAAGCCCAGCATGTTATTATTAAAAATAAAGTCTAGAGATATGCACCAGTGCTTGGCTACTGACAGCCTATAATTCCTGTGGCAGTGGCGAGATATATTTTGTTTTTAGAGTTTTGTTAAGAAGTGACTATTGGCCGGGTGCGGTGGCTCATGCCTGTAATCCCAGCACTTTGGGAGACCGGGGTGGGCAGATCATGAGGTCAGGAGATTGAGACCATCCTGGGCAACATGGTGAAACCCCGTCTCTACTGAAATACAAAAAATTAGCCGAGCATGGTGGTGTGCACCTGTAGTCCCAGCTGCTCGGGAGGCTGAGGCAGGGGAATTGCTTGAACCCAGGAAGTGCAGGTTGTGGTGAACGGAGATAGCACCACTGCACTCCAGCCTGGTGACAGAGCGAGACTCTATCTCAAAAAAAAAAAAAAAAAAAAAAGACTATCAGTGAGGGACTGTGTACACTGAGACTATGGATTAAGGCTACCTTTTCTACGCTGTGGGGAGGGAGGAGGGAGTCCAGACAGGTCCTAGTGGGGCTATGTGTGTATGGATATTGTTACCCTTCCAAGACCAATAGGATATTTCAATATTACTTAACCCCCAACTTCCAAGAGGTTCTATCCATCCATCTTTCTATTGAACCATCCATCCATCCATCCATCCATCCATCCATCCATCCATCCATCCATTTATTCAATTGATCCTTCCATGATTCCAGCAAGTATTTATCAAACACCTTTTCTAAGACTCTAGAGATAACACCAACCTCAGCAGCAGCAGTAAAAGCATATAAGAAATGGAGAGTCTAGTACAGTTACCATGGGCGAGGCTCTGGGCTAAGCACCTTACGTACTTCATTTGATCTTCACAACTCTTTGAGTTAGGGATTATTATCATCCTCATTTTACAGCTGAGGAAATAAAGGCTCATGGAGTGTGTTAGGCCATTCTTGCATTCCTATAAAGAAATAACTGAGGTTGGGTAATTTATATAGAAGAGAGGTTTAATTGGCTCACAGTTCTGCAGGCTTTATAGGAAAGCATGATGCTGGCATCTCCTCGGCTTTTGGGGAGGCCTCAGAAAGCTTACAGTCATGTTGGAGGGCAAAGGGGAAGCAGGCACATCATATGGCAAGAGTGGGAACAATAGAGGGGCAGGTGCCACACACTTTTAAACAACCAGATCTCACAAGAACTCACTACCCTGAGAATAGCACCAAGCCAGGAGGGATCCACCTCAGTGTTAGTCAGGGTTCTCTAGAGGGACAGAACTAATAGGATTGATGTATATATGAAGGGGAGTTTGTTAATGAGTATTGACTCACACCATCACAAGGTGAAATCCCACTATAGGCCGTCTGTAAGCTGAAGAGCAAGGAAGCCAGTCCGAGTCCTAAAACCTCAAAAGTAGGTTTTAGCCACAGGGCTGAAGGCCTGAGAGCCCCTGGCAAGTCACTGGTTCAAGTGACAAGTTCAAGAGTCCAAAAGCTGAAGAACTTGGAGTTTGATGTTTGAAGGCAGGAAGCATCCAGCACGGGAGAAAGATGAAGACCAGAAGACTCAGCCAGTCAAATCCTTCCAAATTCTGCCTGCTTTTTTTTAGCTGCACTGGCAGCTGATTAGATGGTGTCCACCCAGATTGAGGGTGGGTCTGGCTCTCCCAGTCCACCGATTCTGACGTTAATCTCCTTTGGCAATACCCTCACAAACACACCCAGGAACAATACTTTGCATCCTTTAATCCGATCAAGTTGATACTCAGTATTAACCATCATAGCCTCCATGACCCAAATACCTCCTACCAGGCCCCACCTCCATTGGGGATTACAATACAACATTAAAATTGGGAGGACAAATAGCCACACTATATCTGGAGGTTAAATGATTCACCTAACGTTTCAACCTAATAAGTGGCAGATCCAGGAATTGAATTCAGCCAAGTGGATTCCAGAGCCCAGGCTCTTGTCCATCAAACTACATGGCTTCCAGGCATCTCTCTTTGGTTTGGTCCACCTCCCATGAGCTAGCATGTGGCTGAGTCCATAGATGTTGTCTAGGTTCTTCACTGAAATCTCCATCTGTATTTTGGGCTCCTGTTTTTTTTTTTTTTTTTTTTTTTTGAGATGCAGTCTTGCTCTGTCACCAGGCTGGAGTGCAGAGGCATGATCTTAGCTCACTGCAACCACCGCCTCCTGGGTTTGAGTGATTCTCCTTCCTCAGCCTCCCGAGTACCTGGGACTACAGGTGCATGCCACCATGCCCAGCTAATTTTTGTATTTTTTTTTTTTTTGTATTTTTTTTTTTTTGAGACGGAGTCTCGCTCTGTCGCCCAGGCTGGAGTGCAGTGGCGGGATCTCGGCTCACTGCAAGCTCCGCCTCCCGGGTTCACGCCATTCTCCTGCCTCAGCCTCCCAAGTAGCTGGGACTACAGGCGCCCGCCACTACGCCCGGCTAATTTTTTTTTTGTATTTTTAGTAGAGACGGGGTTTCACCATGTTAGTCAGGATGGTCTCGATCTCCTGACCTCGTGATCCGCCCGCCTCGGCCTCCCAAAGTGCTGGGATTACAGGCATGAGCCACCGTGCCCGGCCTTGGCTCCTTTTTAATTAATTTGATGAGCTTCAGAGAGTGGAGTTCTGTGAACATTTTCTCATTCTACGAGAATAGTATTAGTAATAATAGTAACAAAGTAACAACTAACATGTATTGAGTTCTTATCCATAAACTCTCATTTGAGTGCTTCAACCATAGTAACAACTTGAATCCTCACACCAACCCTAAAATGTTTCTTCATCTAATCCTCATGATTATTCTTATTTTAGAGATGAGGAAACTGAGGTATAGGGAGGCTAAGGCAATTTGCCATCTTCTTACAGGAAGTCTCCCTGTAATACTTGGGAATGCACTTGACTGCAAATAACAGGAACTCTAACAATAGCTTAAAGAATTACAAACAAACAAACACCAACTTCATGTAACAAGAAGTCCAGAGGCGGGGAATCCGTGGCTGGTGTGGCAGTCAAAGATGCCATCAAGAACTCAGGTGGGGTTTCCATTCTTCTAGTCTTAGTGTAGCAGAGCTTGTTACCTATGGTTGCAAGATGTTGCTCCATTTCCAGTTTATCATTGCATTTTCAGGCAGAAAGAAGGAGGAGATAGGAAAGCAAAACCTTCCCCAGAAATGTTCAGTAGATTTCTACTATATTTCATCGACCAGAACTGCAAGAGTTCTCTCCACCGTGAGCTGTGGGAGAGGCTGGGGAATCGAGTCCCCTCAACCTTTTCTCCTTCCAGCCTCACGGTGGAGGAAGGTAAGAAAGAAAAGTTGGAAATGGGTATTGGGTGAATGAACCAACAGTGTCTACCACCTTTCCTGTCATCTACGTTTTCTTGGTTGGTTGTTGGGTCTCTTTATTCTTTATTTTGATCTGCAACTTTTCCCCTAGATTTTTTTTTTTCTGATTTTTGAAGACATTGATGTTTGGAAGAGTCCAGGCTAGTTGTCCTATAGAATATTTCACATTGTTCCTTCTGCATTATTTAAACTTTTAAAATTGAGATATAACCCACATACCATAAAATTCACTGTTTAAAAACTGTACAATTTGGGGCCGGGTGTGGTGGCTCATGCCTGTAATCCCAGCACTTTGGGAGGCTGAGGTGGGTGGATCACTTGAGGTCAGGAGTTGGAGACTAACCTGGCCAACATGGTGAAACCCCATCTTTACTAAAAATACAAAAGTTAGCTGGGCATGGTGGCGCGTGCCTGTAGTCTCAGCTACTCGGGAAGCTGAGGCAGGAGGTTTGCCTGAGCCTGGGAGGCACCACTGCACTCCAGCCTGGGCAACAGGAGAGAAACCCTGTCTCAAAAAAAAAAAAAAAGAAAAAAATGTACATTTCGGAAAAACAATATGGAAGTTCCTCAAAAAATGGAATTACAATCAGAAACTACAAGCAGGAACTACAAGTGTGTACCACTGTGCTCAGAAAAATATTTCTGATAAATTTAGTGTAGCCTAAATTTACAGTGTTTATAAAGTCTACAGTAGTATATGGTAATGTCCTAGGCCTTCTCATTCACTCACAAGTCACTCACTGGCTAACCCAGAGTACCTTCCAGGCCTACAGGCTCCATTCATGGTGAGTGTCCTACATAGATGTGCTATTTTAAAAAATCTTTTCTACTGTATTTTTACTGTATCTGTTCTAGGATTAGGTATGTTTAGATATACAAATACTTACCATGGCATACAATCGCCTATAGTATTCAGTACAGTGACATGCCATGCAGGTTTGTAGCCCAGGAGCAATCGGCCATACATAGCATAGGTGCGTAGGAGGCTATGACATCTAGGTTTGTGTAAGCACATGCTATGATGTTTACACAAGGACGAAATTGCCTAACAATGCATTTTTCAGAATGTGTTCTTGTTGTTAAGTGACACGTGACTGCATACGCAAATGCGCACATCCTACTGGTTCTGTTTCTATGGAGAACCCTGACTAACACAGGGAGGATGACAAAGTTCTGAAGATGGATGGTGGTGATGGTTGTACAGAAGTGTGAAGGTACTGAGTGCTGCAGAACTGTATGGTGAGAAATGGTTAAAATGGTAACTTTTATGTGTATGTAGCCGTAATAAAAAAATGCACAATCCGGCAGCTTTCAGTATATTCACAAGCTTGTGCAACCATCACCACTCTAATTTCAGAACATTTTTATTGCTCCAAAAAGAAACGCTGTACCTGTTAGCAGTCACTTCTCATTCTCCTCTCCCCGACCCTCTGAAAAGACACAAAAGACCATACATTGTATAATTCCATCTTATAAAATGTACAGAATAGGCGAACCCTGTCATTCATTTTTAAAGGAGATAGTCATGAGGATGTGCATTTTTTATGTTTCTTCTTGGTGAGGGAGATGGGGGGTGCAAGGAGTCATCCCCATTCTTTCCTCAAATTCCCATTATAATCAGCAGAATTTGCCTGGAGAAGCTGTGGTGATCAAATGTGAGAATCAAATCAACGGGATGAAGAATGGTGAACTTCTTCACCTGCTCAAGTTGGTCAGGACTCTGTAGCAAGTCAGGAATGGCTGAAAGAACTGAGGTTGCTGAGCCAGATGACAAGAAGATTCCAGAGGGAAAATTCAAAGGACTGTTGCTGACATGGAAGGGAAACAGGGTATCATGAACAAAATGGGGATTTTGGAAGTTCACAGACTTGGATTTAAATTCTTTTCTTTTTTCAACTTTTATTTTAAGTTCAGGGGTGCATGTGCAGGATGTGCAGGTTTGTTACAGAGGTAAATGTGTGCCACATACTTCTGTGGTTTGCTGCACAGATCATCCTATCAGTTAGATATTAAGACCAGCATCCACTAGCTATTCTTCCTGGATTTAAATTTTTACTAGTGTCCTATCTTGAGCATATTAATCTCTCTGGGTGTCCGTTTCCTCCTTGGTAAGATGGATGTAATTACAGAATTGTAGGGTTATTAAAAGAATTAAATGAGATCATTATAAACGATATTTTGTTCCTCCCTCTACGTGAGTGCAAAGGGCAAAGCTATAACTATTTGTTCATTTACAACATATTTATTGAATCTGTTGAAATCTATGCCTCTGCTAGGCATAAGGACAGTCATATAGAAGAAGACAAGGAGGGAGCCATCTATTTGAGGAGGCAAATACGCGATCGAGTGGCTGTGACACAAGGTGAGATGTGCTGCTTTGTTGGAAACATCACAAGGCACTAGGAGGCCATGAGAAAGCTGTGGGTGACTCTGGAAGTCTTAGGGAAGTTCTCTTGCAAGGGTCCATTCAAGCCAGGTCTTTAAGGGTGAGTAAGAGTCCTTCAAAGGAGAAGGGAAGCACAAGCATTATTGTGGGAAAGAACAGCATGGTCAAAGGCAAGGAGGAGTGAAAAGCACAGTGCTTGTAGGGAATTGTAGGAAAGAAGTTTGAAAAGGTTGGCTGTGGTGTAAACTTGGGGAATTAGTGGTGGACAGTGAGGTTGGGACGTGGGTCAGACTAGATGTGGAAGAAACTCAACTAGTAGGCTCTGAAGCGTGGCCATCTCCCCTCTTGAAAGTCTTGTAAGTCTTGTATCACCCTTCTGCCAGAATGATATCTGGCAAAACTGTGGAGACCGTAATGAAGGAAGAGGCAGCACTGGAGGCAGGGAGGCCATATAGAAGAGGCCACTTCATAGTTCAGGGGAAGATAATGAGATTGGGCTAGTGATGGAAATATTTAGGGAACCAGACAAAGGGAACTTGGAGAAGGCTCAGAGAAGTAGTTTTGAGGGACAGGGAAGTGTTGAGGATGGCTTGTATAAGAACCTACAGGCTGATAGTGACAGAGAAGGGTCCCTTTTTTTCTGAGTGGTGTAGTGGGGTCAGAGAGACCTGAACTAAATCCCAGTACTGGTACTGCCTGTGTGATTTTGGGCAAGCCTCTGCCCCTCTGTGAGTGCATTTTCCTCATCTCTAAGGCAAGAATGATATACCTACTCCACCGTGTGAAGACTAAACTAGATTTTTCATGAAGACTCATGCAAAATCCTGCTCATCTTACTGCATCTGTGCAACACTTAGCCTTCAGGAATATTTCCTGAGCACTGTTCTAGGGGTTGCGAATATGTCAGAGACCAAAGAAGATAGGAATATCTCAGAGAGTTTAAAAATTGAATTAATTGTCAACTTTTAAAAACCCGGTTTTTAAAGCTTTGAGAAAAGGTTTCAGAAAAAAGTCTGAGTTTCAGGGTTTTGTTTTTTTTTTAATGGGAAGATCTGGGTCATTTAAAAATGGGCTTCTCTGAGTCACGGTTTTTATGGGGAATAATGGGCTGGGGGGGGCAAGTAGTGGCTCTTCCTTTCAGTCACACCCTCCAGTTTCCACAGTCCCCACTGCTCCCCATTGTTAAACCTGCTTGCCTCACTCATTTGTATCACCTATGGGCATTTTAGTTTGTGACATCTGGTTTGGTCCAAGTCTTGGTACACAGTAGGTGGCTGGGTTTCAGAGGCTGGAAGCATGAAGTCCACATGGGATAGTGTTAAAATAATCTAAGAGCTTGGACTTGGGTTGAGGCTCTAGGGATGTAAAGGGACGGATAAATATGAGAGAGACACTAATCATAAAAAGTCATCACCTGGAGACCAGTAGGACTGCGGTATAACAGGATGAGTCCATAGTCATCATCTAAGCTTTCTAGTCTGAATAGGGAGAGTGATGGAGTGGGGATAGGGAAAACACAGACATTGAAAGGTAAGGAAACTGGAAGGGTTGGAGGCCACATTGCATTGGGACCTAATCCTAAGCCCCCCATCCCCACCCTCACCTCCAAGAAAATCTCCCAAAGGCTGCCTTAGCTTTGTTCATTTCCTAGAGCTGTGCAGACATGCTCCGTAGGATTCTTTTGGGTACTCCTCAGATGTCCCTGACCTATGCAAATATGCGGTCACCAGGAGCAATGCCAGGAATCCAAGACTTTTCCATTTCTTTGGTTGTTGTATTGCAACTGCAGACAGAGCAGTGTTTTTTTGCATTTCTTCTGTGCGATGTTCACCTGGGCAGATGCCAAGGGGCTCAGGCATGGCCCGGGGGCTGAGCTTTGGTGCCTGTCCATGTCACTACTTTCTGCAGGTTTTTCTGCCAGCACTTACTCACCATCCTTGGGATGTGATCCATTTCTTACAGTTGAGGGACTTTTCCTTCTGTTATTTCTTCCATTATTGCTTCTCTTCCATCTGTCCCGTTCATTCCTTCTAGAATTCCAAATGGGGGTTTATTGAGCCTCCAGGATCCATTTTCCATTTATTCTCTCTTGTCTCATTGTTTTCATCTTTTCATCCTTTTCCTCTGAGTTAGGGGAAATTACTCATGCTGATCTTCCCAAGTGACTCCTTTGGGTTTTGACAGTATCCAATCCATTGTTTGGCCTTCACTCATTTAGATATTTTGATGATCACATTTGCTTTTCCTGCCAAAAGTGTTTTCTGATTTCAGAGCATTTCTTTCATAGAGGCAATGTTTGCTTTGTTTTGTTTAGTCTTGTCTTGTGTTTATGTTTTATTCTGAAATAATTTTAGTTTTACAGAAAAGGTGCAAAGATACTATAGAGAGTTTCCATACACCCTTCACCCAGCTTCCCCTGATGCTAAACATCTTGCAATGTGTTTTTGGATCTTTCTGAATGTATTTAGGAAGATTTTCTACAGTTTTCTCAAATGTATATACAGGAAAATATTTGTAGAGACTTTGCAGAATTGGGCTGTTGTTTTTACCATCAAGTATTTTCTTATAGTAGGTGATTTTTCTTTATTTTATTATTCTTTGAGAGATTTGTGTTTGCCCAAGGGTGAGATGTGTTCTGTCAAATATAAGGGTCTCTGTTCAAATGTTCCACAAAGGAAGAGATGAAGTCTAGTTACTTGTGTGTGTGTGTGTGTGTTTGTGTATGTGCAGTGGAGGCATTTAAAGGGATGCCCCTAACCTGGGTGAATCGTCTCCTATGTTCAAATTACTTTGACATTAGCTAAGACAATGGCCCTCATCCCTAAAGGGCTACATTGCCCATCCTATGGCCCCACTATGGCAATGGCTCCACTTCATTTGGCCCACCACCCGTACCTTCAGAAGATTCGGGGTTAGCTCCCTGCTTAATTTGGGTTTTCCCAGAAGCAGATCCTGACATGAAAATTTAAGTGTAAATAGTTTATTTATTTATTTATTTAGTATTTATTTATTTATTTTTGAGACGGAGTCTCACTCTGTCGCCCAGGCTGGAGTGCAGTGGCGCAATCTCGGCTCATTGCAAGCTCCACCTCCCGGGTTTACGCCATCCTCCTGCCTCAGCCTCCCAAGTAGCTGGGACTACAAGCGCCCACCACCGCGCCCAGCTAATTTTTTGTATTTTTAGTAGAGATGGGGTTTCACCATGGTCTCGATCTCCTGACCTCGTGATCCGCCTGCCTCAGCCTCCCAAAGTGCTGGGATTACAGGCGTGAGCCACCGCGCCCGGCCTAAGTAGTTTATTTGAGAGGAGATATTATGACACATTTGTCATGGGAGTGAGGAAGTGGGACAGAGAAGGAAAGACCGCCAATACAAAGTGCACAATCAAGCAAGTTACCAGCATGCACAACTGCAACGCAGTCCCACCAGGGAGCTCTGGGAACCAGTGTGCAGCATGCTCCTCAAAATCATTCCACCTCAGAGGTGAGGAAGCTGAGGTATTTACACACCCAGCTTCCAGGGCCTTGATACTTCTGCTTTGCCTCACACAAATGGAGCTGGTGCTGGTGGTCAGAGAGAGCCCTTGGGGAAAACTTTGCAGGTGCTAGAGGTTGGGAGTCAGGCTGGCATGGAAATCAATAAATGCTGAGGTGGCACAGGCAGGGCCCTGACAGTAGCTGTGCACTGTGCTTCTTCTAGGCCTGTTGTACCCACACCCATAAGAGGATAAGATTTACCCCTTGCCAAACATCTCACATCTCATCTTTATCTATAGCCACTGACACTGTCAATTTTATCTTATTTGGTTGGTGGGGTGGTATAGGAACTCTGGTTCTACCAGCAATCTATCCTGCCTACTTTCTAGATGGGGTTTTCCCTTCACTTATTTCTAGTTATGGGTGGGCCTATATTTTCCTGAACGTAGTGCCACCTACATTATGTCTGGTAGACATGCCACAATGATTCTGGCTTGTTGGGAGCAGTCATCCTTTTTGTCTACCATGTAGATAGATAGATTCTTTCCTTTTACTAAATCTCTATATTTCTTTGTTCATTTCTATTGGCAGATCAGAGGAAAAGGATTTAAATATGTAGACTCAAATTGGCATCTCAAAATGGAAGTATGACTTATTCCCAAAAGGTATTTTCAATGCATTATCTTGGAAGCATTTGAACGTGTGTGTATTTAATTTAATAATAGGTATAAAACATAGCAGTAAGAAGCAACTGCATTATTCACTTGGTTCAAAGGCCATTTTTGTTTCCCCAACATTAACTTCCTGCACTTAAACTGACAAACCCTAGATAAATGCAATAATTTCTTCACATTTCACCGTGATCAGCTCTTTACTTTTAACAGCAACAGTTGTATTTCTCATTAACTTGTCCACTGCTGATCCTTGGAGTGTTTGAATCTCAAAAAAATTGTAAGAAACTGTCATAGCTACTGTAAGAGACTGAAGAAGTGAAGAAATAAGCTATTGTAGCTTTCTCCTGGAGATAAGGATGCTGCTTGGGTCTTGAGCCAAAATTCATTATGTCTTCTTCCTCTGCTGGTGGTGCTAGGTCTCACATATGCTATTTGTAGTTTCTGCTGCTTGGGCATGTGATGGGCGGGGTAGGGAAGGCTTTAGCGGGAAGCTTAAGAGAAGACTCGTGGCTATGGAAAGTCTGGAGTGCAAAGAAGGTAGCCAGGATTTAAACTGAAGAGTTATGGAATGACTTCAGTGACCATAGCATCACTGGCTGATCTGAGCTAAGAGCAAGATATCCAGTGCTAGTCTAGTTTCCTACCAGAGAGGAAAGGTTCACCTTCTCGAATGCTACAGACAGTGGCTGGTTGTTTGCCAAGCCCATTTCCTCTTCATTTTTGGAAGAGGAGCTAAGTGTTGTTTTCCAGACTCTTGCAGACAGGTGTGGCCATGTAGCTCATTCTAGCCAATGAAATGTGGGCAGAGTGATTGGTGCCACTTCCAGGCCCGGCCCATAAGACCTCTAGGCTCATGCCACTGACACTATTCAGAGGACCGTGGAGGTCCTGGGGCCACATGGCACAGACAGCTTCTAGCCACAAGAGAAAAGGGGCCTGGGTCCCTCAGTCGCCACTTGGAAGAGAGCCATCTGAGAACGCAAAACACCTCTTTTATCTTTGCGTAAAGAGAAATACATTTCTATTGGATTGGAATTATTATGTACAAATATTTTACAACAGTGAATAATAACTAATATATCCAGAGTCCCGAGGCAGACCCAAGATCACCATCTAAGAAGCCTGCCCTCTAACCTCCAACTCAGAGTCCACTTCTGGAGAAATCCAAACTGGGACAGTGGGCGCGAGGAGTAGTCTGAGAAAGCAGCTGTTAAGGTAGCTTTGGAGGCAGACCACCTACCTCCTGGCTGGCAGTGAGGACCCCATCCCTGGAGGTATGTGAAGCACAGATGGCCTCTGCTGTAGGGCAGCAGTATAAGTGTGAAAGCTGGGATGATATTCTGGTGGAAGGAAAAGCACTAGGAAGGTATCAGACATTTGACCTGTAAACTCAGAGAAATTGGATGGCTGTTGCTCAGCTCAGCTGACACACTGAAAAAAGATAAGGAAGGACTGAATGCTCATTAGTCAATTAAATGCATAGTATGGCTGGGCATGGTGGCTCACACCTGTAGTCCCAGGGCTTGAGAGACTGAGGCTGGAGGACAACTTAAGGCAAGGGGTTTGGGACCAGCCTGGGTGACATAGCAAGACCCTTGTCTCTACAAAAAAAAGATTAGCTGGGTTTGGTGGCACACACCTGTAGTCCCAGCTACTTAGAAGGCTGAGGTGGGAGGATCACTAGAGCCCAGGAGGTTGAGGCTGCAGTGAGCCGTGATTGCACTGCTCCACCCCAGCTGGGCAACAAAGTGAGTTTCCTATTTCCCTCTTGCCCCTCAAAACAGTGTAGTGTGAAAGCCAGAGGTCCTCCTTGGTAACTAGGAAGGGAAATCTCATCTCCTACAGCTTGAGAGCAGGGAAAGCTGAGGCCCGGACCCAGGCTTCATCAGGAGAGTAGCAGAAGTTTGATTTTCATCTTAGTCCTGCCTTGCTATGCCATGATGAGGACCCTGGTTGGGAAAGGATGAGACCATGACACATGAGACAGGGACATCTGGGTAGATGCACCCCAACATCTTGCATCCTGAGATTCCCCTAAACCTGCTGAGTCTGCAAAGTAACCACTGCCCCGCTTGCCTGAAGATAGTGCAGAAATCTGTCTCCTCCAAGGCCTTATGTTCCCCTTGGAATCTGCCCCCAAGTCCCCTCCTGCTCATAGGCTACAACTAGGGCTAAGTCTCAACATAACCCAGTTTACCATGTCTCACAAGGAAGGAAAGAGAATATGCCCCAAAGGAGATGCAGGGCCTTGTCTGCATGTACTTGGAGGAGTCAGGCGAGGGCATGTGGGACTGAGATCTGAGAGTGCTGGGCAGAAAGAGATGTGGTGTTGGATAACTGAGTTTTTCAGTTGGAAGCATTCTCCCGGGGCATGAGATTTCACACCCTGGTGAGGCTTTGGGAAATGTACAGACATGCTATTAGGAGAAACATAGTAATCATCTATCCATGCAGCCACCATCCAAGTACCCTTCCATCCATGCATCAACTATGCATTTATCCCTGTATCCGTCCATCTGTGCATCCATTCATGCTAAGTACACCAATTGGTAAGTACTGTGTACAAGACTCTGTGCTAGGAAGAAAAGCCACATGGACTGTAGTGGTTGCTCTGATATGCCACCCAGATCTCCATGCAGGGCTGAAGGACTTATTCCCCGGGCTGCCGGGGGTGCTGCTGGCTGTCAGCCCTTAATTGATGGCCCTCTGCAGAACTGCATCAACTGAGGAGAGTCACTTCTCTCAAGGCCGTGTCTCCTTCCCAGGGAAGCACATATTGACATGTGTATATGGAAGCCTGGTCTCCTTCCTCAACCCAGGACATCTCCAAGTTGTGCCCGAGGGAGTCAGCAGGAGCTTTTATTGAGACTGCATCACAGTCCAACTCCTCTCTCTTCCCAATCCTGCCTCCTTCCACAGAGAGTGATCCCAGGAGCACTTGCTGTTCTCTGCCTCAGGTCTGCTTCCTGGAAAACCCAAACTGCTATGACCTCTTAGGGAGGTCTCTCAGTGCAGACTAACATAATGCCTCTGGGCAAGTCCGCTGCAGCCAGCTCTTCCTCCAGTGCTGGAACAGGTCACTGGGTCAAGAGTCTTGTATGAAGAAACATGAATCCTCCAACCCTGGAATCCAAATCAATGCAGAGATCTCTTTGCAATGAAGAGCCTCCATTTTGAAAGGCTCAAACGGACAGAGACCAACCAAGGGAATGGCAGATTCATACCCACAGCTTATGCCTACCCTGGAACCTGTGCTCATTGAGCGGATAATTGACAGAGCTTGTATGAAGTCACGCTGAATCTGATCACAGACGTAGTAATCATCTGTCCATGCAGCCACCATGTACCCATCCATCCACGTACCCATCCATCCATGCATCAACCATGCATTTATCCATGTGTCCGTCCATCCATGCATCCGTTCATGCTAAGCACACTAATTGGTAAGTACTGCGTACAAAACTTGTGCGAGGCACAGGGGGTTATGAGATGAATAGGAGTCAGTCTGTTCTCAATGACATCTAGTCTAGGAGAAAAGACAGACCCTTCCACAGGTCCAGAACAATACGATAAGGGTAACTCAGGGAACCTCAGGAGCCTGAAAGACAGAGGGACCATACTGCCTGTGTCTTCCCAGAGGAAGGAATGGCTGATCCTGGACTTGAAGGGAGAGTCAGAGTTCTGTGGGTGGGAAATGGGAGGCCAGTGGTGTTTCCATCAGAAGAAATGGCACCTTCAAAGCCAGAAAGAGAGATGGACCCCCTGGTATGAGATTAGGACATTGTGAGGCAAAGAGGGTAAGACAGACTGGGACGGAGGGTAGGAGAGGGCCATGCTGGGCTGTTTGGACTTTATCCTGTGCATGATTGGGGCCAGAGATGACCTTGCAGGGGGATAGGACAAAGGAGTTAAACACGAGAAGAAGAATGGACAATGAGAAGTTAGGGGTATGCTGGGGGCCCAGGTATGGGGCCACTGCACAAGTTAAGATATAGAGGGGCTGGAAAGGGAGAGAGGGCACTGGAGATGTTCAGGAAGTAGGACTGGCAGCCCCTGGTTATGCCAGCAGCAGAAAGTGAGAGAGATGGTTGAGGCCAGTCCTTTTAGGGATTCTCTCTGGGAGTTTGAGGACATGATGATGCCAGAAATTGAGAGGGGGAAAAAACTAGAACCATGTTCATTTGAAGAAGAAAGTAAAGGTCTAACTTCTCTGGAAAGACTCCAGCTTGCTCCTTTTAAGAGGGGAGTGCGGAATTCCTTACCAAAGACCTCAGCATGCTCTGAACTGTTGATAGGAGATAGGCCCTCTCACCTCCCTCATCCTGAGGACCGTACTTGCATTTATATTGTCCAACATAAAATCAGACAGTTTGGGCATTCAAGTCACACCGTGGCTCGACTGCCATGTCACACTTTGTCCATCTGATACCTGCACAGTTTTTGAACTGAGTGTGGGATTCATATTTTTCCTTCCTGAACTCCATTGTTCAGTTTGGCCCACCACCCCGACCTGGTGGGATCATTTCTGAAACCCAATTCTGTCATTCAACGTGTGTCAGAGAAAATTAATTCTAACTGTTTAAGGTGAATCTAAGAATTTTGAGCAATTCTTTAGCCCTTTTAAAAATGGTTTGACTGCTCAAGGTGTGAGTAGATGGGTAGTACAATGGGAGTATTAAGAACCATATCTTTAATCTCTTGTTTTGAAAACCTGAGGCTGGATTTGTGTGAGAGAGAGTGTGTGTGTGTTTGTGTATGACCTGGAACCAAAGTTGATGAGAGAGAGTAAGATGCCTACCCCGCAACCAGTTTTAACTCATCATTTATCTTAAGTTCTAAGCAAAGATTCAGGTCAGTTTTTCTCTTCCAACCCCATTCTGTTATCTCAGCCTCAGTGGGGTCTGAGCCCAGTTCATCTTAGCAAACAATCACTAATGTCTCTAACTTGGGGGCTTCTGTGCTTGGCCCTGGGCAGCAAAGATGAATCTCCCACTCCTGCCCTCTCTGAGCTCCCAGGCTTGTGGGAGAGGTAGTTTATGACTCCCAGAGTTCTCCTTGCCTCTGATCCTTGCTGTATTATGGGAACCAAGCCCCTAGAGGCAGCAAGGGGTCCAGGAAAAATTTGGACAGACCAGGCTTGGAATTCTGACTCTGCCACCAACTTCCTGTGTGGCTCTTGTTTTTTGAGCCTGTTTCTTCAGCAATAAAGTGGGAATAAGAATCTGTGTTTCATATATGCATGAGGATTAAATAAAATACTAAACAAGCGCTCGCCTGGGATTTGATGTGTCAAGAAGATGGGGATGGGGAAGGGGACAGGCCTGCCAGGGTTCTGTCAAAAGATGGATTCCAGGAGCTCCTGGGGAGATCTTTTCTAGATCCACAAGTCTGGTTTGAGGATGGCAGATCAAACCAGAAAGGAGCTTCTGAGCCAGATGCAGTGTCTGTCTCCAAGCAGACCTCCAGCCCCGCTTGTGGGCCATTCCTAAGCTCTCTAGAAAGGTAGCCATACTAAGACCACCGAGAAACCTCCACAGGCTGGAGCACGAGGAATCCGCAGCTTTCATGCCAACAGCTCCTGCAGGAGAAGAGGTGACACTCTTGGGGCAGACATCAGTCCTCTTGCCAATGTCAGCTGCTCCACAAAGCCAGGTGGCAGCCATGGAAGCTCTTGGCAGGTGCAGGGGACAGGGCTGCAGCAAGCCTGGTGCCAGGAGAAGGAATTGGCAGATAGCACAGGTCAGCAAAAAACCCTCTGGGGACACTCAGAAATGTTCAGGACTTTGAGATATGCTGAGGGGGTGGACGGGGAGTCAGGGCAAGAAATGAGACTTGAGATTGTTCTTGTGATTTTTTTTTTTTGAGATGGAGTCTCACTGTGTCACCCAGGCTGGAGTGCAGTGGCGCAATCTCCGCTCACTGCAACCTCAACCTCCTGGGTTCAAGCAGTTCTCTACCTCAGCCCCCCAAGTAGCTGGGATTACAGGCATCTGCCACCACGCCCAGCTAATTTTTGTATTTTTAGTAGAGACAGGGTTTCACCATCTCGGCAAGGCTGGTCTTGAACTCCTGACCTCGTGATCCACCCGCCTTGGCCTCCCAAAGTGCTGGGATTACAGGCGTGAGCCACCGCACCCAGTTGTAATTTTTTTGTGTGTGGCAAAATATGCATAACATAAAATGTACCATTTTAACCATTTTCGGTGTGCAATTCCGTGGCATTAAGTACATTCACGATGTTGTACAACCGTCACCACTGTCTAGTTCCAAAACATTTTCATTGCCCCACACAGAAACCTCATTGACAGTGATTCCCCATTCCTCCCTCCCTCAGCCCCTGGCAACTACTAATCTGCCTTCTGTCTGCATGGATTTGTCTATTCTGGACATTTCATATTAATGGGATCATACAATATGTGCTTTTTGTGTCTGGCTTAGCATAATGTTTTCGAGGTTCATCGTGTTGTAGCATGCATTAGTATTCCATTCCTTTTTAATCTCATGCTGCACAGAGCCTGCTACCCCAGACACACAGATAAAAACTTATCCCACCCTTTTCCCTCCTTCACAAATTTACTTCCACCTGTTGAAGCCCCAGGGTCCTCTCCAAGTGGAGGAAAGTGCGGCTGGGTTGCGCCCAGGAGTGGTGATGTTTTGTTTCACTTGGAGGATGTGTGAGATTCTGGGCTCTGGGCTGGCACTAACCCTGAGCACTGCCAGGGGGCAGCATGTTCCTGTGAGCCTGCATGCCCGCCCTCAGAGGAGCCAATATTTATGAAGCTGTTGGGCTTTGAGTACATTTACCGCCTTTCCATCATGCATGTTTCAGACGTTGTGCTCCAGCCAAACAAATTGTCCAGGCTTAATTTCTGAGAAATCATTGTCAAGAATTGCTGAACCTTTAATTCTAAAGCACATATTTATACGGGGCTTCAAAACTCACATCTCTGCACACGATTACAAATGGAAGGGAGAGGAAGTTTAATCAGGAATGAGATTAGGTTTGAGCAGGGAGGGCAGTGGGGTGGCAGTGGGGATGGTGGTGGACCTGGAGTGAGAAGGCGAGTATTTGGCGAACCTGATTCAGGGGCAGCCTCCAATGAGCAGGGGCTAAGGGTCGAGACTCCCTTTGGTCTTGGACTGATGGACAAACTGGTTTGAAAAAATAATGTGTGAGAGGAGCAGAGCTTGGGATTCATGGGATGCCCAGAGTTTTGGGGGGAAGTGGCTCATTTAGCATTTGTTGTTTGGCCTCTGCCTCCTGGAGATGCTTGCCTGCCTGCAACCATCTGCCCTCGCTGCCCAGTGGGTGTCCCCTGCTCTATCCAGGTGTCTGCCCTCTGCTTAGGTTGAAGGGAGCAGGTAAGGTCACACTGGCAAAAGGCAGTTGGAGTCCCCACCCCAGATAAAAGAAGGCAGGGAGATTCTTGCTAATCGAGGCCATCTCGCCCCCTGCTCCCCTCCCCACTGTGCTAGCTCAGTGTCAGGAGGCCTGTGCATAAACTGCCTTCCCTGGGAGGTATTGGGTATGGCACAGTAAAGACAGAGCTACTCTGCCCCAGCTTCAGGATGGAGTGGATATAGGAAGAGGAGGAAGCCTTGGGCTTAGAGGCAACAGAGCTTCTAGCTAGACTTGCTGTGTGGCTGTGGCAAGTCTTGCTCCCTGTCTGGGCCTAAAGTTTCTCATCTATTAAGTGCGTATTCTGGACCCCTTCAGATTCAGAAGCAAACATGACTGAGCAGCTTTTATATGCCAGACACTTTGCTAAGATCTCTCACATCCACAATGTTTTAACTCTCAAAACCGACCCCCAGGGAGGCATTATGATCCCCATTTTACAGATGAGAAAGAAAGCAGGGGTCTTAGCAAAGGATGGCACAGGGATGACAGGAACTGTGGATCCTCACATGCCCTTCTGAGGTCATGAGGCAGTTTGCCCCTGACCCCTGGGTCCCCTGCCTGGTGCTCTCCAAGTGGGCACTACGTGGGGGGCTCTCAGTGTGCATCCTGCTCTGGGGCCACCGTGAAGCAAATTCTGGTCCTGGGGACTTGTGGCCACCTTGACTTTAAAAGGTTCATCTTAGAAAGATAATCTTTATTACAAAAGTCAGCCTTATTCACAGTGCTCCATACAAAATTATCAAACTTTTAAAGGGAAGAAAGATAAATCCACATTATATTATTTGACACAGAGGGCAGTATAGCTTTATGAACATAGTATGTCTTTTGGATTCAGAGGGTCCTCTATTCACATCTCAGCTCTATCATTTACTGATGGCATGCCCTTGGGCAGGTTATCCAACTTCTCTATGCTTGGGATACTTCCTCTGTAAAATGAGGATGATAATAATGATTTATTGGCTTGACAGGAATTTGGCAAGATAATATCAATAAATAGCAGCTTTAATGCATGTACACAAATTGGATGAAAAGCCTGAGGTTTAAACCCAATGTCAACTGAAATTCACAGTACACATTAACACCCAAGTCACTTGTAACAGCCTATCTTGGAGAGACAAGGACTGAAAATGCTGGGGATGGGTGGGTCTGGAGTTTGGCGTATGTGTAATTCATTCTGGGCATTTAAAGGCATTGGCCGTAGGAATGAAGAGTAGTCTCCCTTATTCTGCTCAGCAACCTTCAGCTTTATTTATTAAACCCTGCTTTATGTTTAATCTTTCTTTTTGTGGCGACACAGCAAAACACCATAATTTTCTAATACCATACAGTGCCAACATCTTGGAGGATTTTAGGACAGATCCTAATAGCCAGCAATCTCTGCATTATAACAGTCAGATGCAAGAATCCTTGAAAGGCACACAACTCTCTAAAGCCGAGGACTGAAGCGGTTTTTCTCTAAACATTTATTACAAATACAAGTATTATTTGTATTCAGCACAGACCAAAGAGAGGCTAAGCAGTTGGTCCTTTTTATTGCAGTTGAAATCTGGCCCGATCTGGAAACTCTTTTTAGAAGCACACACTGAATAAAGTTACCAAGATGTGTGTGAGGAGGTGTGACAGTTTCTGTTTGTAGCTTGGAGGTGTTGGGTGTGGGGGTGTGTCTGCCTGCATAGGCTAGGCACATGACTGTCCAGGGAGCCAGCAGGCTGCAGGCTTACCTCACTCTGGGCTGATGATGAAGGTGAGATTGAGAATAAAGGACACTGCAGGAATGTTTATTTTTCACTAAATATGAGGTCTCCAAGGTCAAGCCCAAATGTCAGAAAGCCGATTTCAACCAGCTTAAGTAAAAAAGAGAATTTGTGTGCTCTAGGGGTTAGGAAGTCCATGGCCTGACTTCAGGCATGGCTTGATCCAGGGGTATTTCAGGTTGGATTCACTACAAGCAGAACTTGTGATGGGGATTCTTGTGCAAGTGATTTATTGAGGAGGTGCTTTCAGCAGTAACTGCAAGGAAGTGACTTTTTATGCCAGACAGGGGAGGAGAAGAAGCTGATGAAGAATGTGTTTTCAGCTGGAGTCCAGCTTCAGCCTGGTCCCATTGGGATCTCCGGAGTAGGAATAACATCACAGTGCTGTCTCACTGCAAAGCAAGAGGATTCGCCTTTTGTACTCCCGTGTTTATCAGGCATTGGCTGGGAGCTCCCTCTGGCATGGGGAGCATAACCTTTTCAGAATTTCTGGGAAAAGTGGCTCTCTTTGGCTGAGGCAAGTCTTTAAACAAGGGTACAACTATAAGCTGTTAGCAGTTCCCAGTTGACACTTACAGATGGGTGCACTGGCCTTGTAGAGGTAGTCTGGGTGAGGTACCAACATTGTCTACACAAGGTGCTCAAGCAGTGAATCAGGAATTTATCTCTTGCCTCTTTTCTGAGGTCTACTTTTTTTTTTTTTTTTTGAGATGGAGTTTCACTCTGTCACTCAGGCTGAAGTACAATGGTGCCATCTCAGCTCACTGCAACCTCTGCCTCCCGGGTTCATGTGATTCTCCCATGAGGTCTACTTTTAAATTCCATTCTCAAATACAGATTATTACTGAAGAACCTAAGTTTAAATTTTTCATGCATCTTAGGAAAAAAAGAGATCTGATATTTCCTGGTGTCAAAATATTAAGTTTCCTAGATCAGTCCCAAACAATTTCATGCTTACTCCTCTGGTGGGGAAGGAAGTAGGTTTAACCCTAATTAAACCTCATGGGTTAGGTTCCCCACATGGGTTTATGTTTCCAGAAGAAGAAGGAGGGATGCTGAATAGGCAAAAACCAGCAGTTACCCCCTGCCAGGCTCTGAACTTTATGTCAGAAGGGCATTCTGAATGGAGGGAACAGCATATGCTTGGCTGTAGGGTGCTAGGTAGTGCCATACATTTGGGAGAGCAGAAAGTGGAGAAAGTATATGGAGTAGTTGGGAGAAAGTAGATGGAGAAGACTGAACAGTTGGCAAGGGCAGTGCACAGAGAGCTTCCTGGTCTAATAGAGGAGCACAACTTCATCCTGGAAATTGTAGGTTGGTTTGAGGTTCTTCTGATTGTATAGCATGCTCTTTGATATAATTTGGCTGTGTCCCCACCCAAATCTCATCTTGAATTCCCATGTGTTGTGGGAGGGATCTGGTGGGAGGTAATTGAATTATGGGGGTAGGTCTTTCCCGCACTGTTCCTGTGATAGTGAATGAATGAGTCTTATGAGATTTGATGGTTTGGGAAGGGGAAACCCATTTCCCTTGATTCTCATCCCCTCTTTGCCTGCTGCCATCCACGTAAGATGTGACTTGCTCCTCCTTTCCTTCCACCATTATTGTGAGTTTTCCCCAGTCATATGGAACTGTAAGTCCAATTAAACCTCTTTTTTTTTGTAAATTGCCCAGTCTCAGGTATGTCTTTATCAGCAGCGTGAAAATGGACTAATACACTCTTCCTCTTACACCATTCTTCTCCCAAGTTTCTGGTATCAAGCCACCAGTACAGCTAGAGACTGTTTGGGGCCCAAACCCAGCCAGTAGCAACCTCAAAGGGAACAAATACAGTAGCAGGGTTGCTGAGCAGTGGCCACATGAATTGGGGGGTAGGTGGACATTAATTATAACACTGGAGTCTTAGCGCATTTTGATGTTGACCAAGGCTGGGCAGTCAGTCCCAAATGGACTTGGATAAGAGTCACCTCTGTCTTAAGGGGAATCTACTATTCTATTCAGGAAAACTGAGGCAGGAAACCAGGTGTGAGGGTGAAGCCAGCACACAACAGGGAACAATAGATTACAGCTCTCTTTGGGGGAACAAGTGGTATTCCAACCCCTGTCTCCATGGGGAGCTAAAGTTGCCAAGAGTCAGGAAGGAAGATATATTAATTCAAGTTATGCTTGCTGCTATAACAAATAACTCTCATCATTTTAGTAAACTAACACAAGTATTTTCTCTTTATGGGTACCCAGTTTACTTTCATCTTGTGGCTCTACCATTCCCTAGGGTCTGAATCCAGGCAGAAGCTGAGCGAGAATGTGGAGAAAGCACATCAACTCTGTTTTGCCCAGGTGAGAAGCCTATCACTCTGTTCATATTCCATTGGTGAGAACAGGTCACATGACCTCACTTAGCTGCAAGGTTAGCTGGGAAATGTAGTTCCTGGTTGGGCTGTGTTTCTCAGAGACAACTCTATACCACAGTGGGGGGAACGTGCATTTTTGATAAGTAGCAGGCATCTCTGCCAGAGGAGCCCAGCCAGTTCCCCAATAGGGGGAGGCCTCAGTGAGCCCAACTGGAGAGTGGGAGCGTATCTTTGCTCTACCCACAAGAAATATCCTTGATACAACTCAGTGCCTGAAATGGTCTGAATGGCTTTGGGCTATTTCCAACCCAGCAGCCTGTGGACATGCACAGAGAAGATAAGGACTCAGTGAAACACGGAGCCTGGCAGAAGACATGGGAAAAATAAACAAATGCACGAAGTGACAATTTCCTGCCAGTGGGACCTGGGTTCTGGGGAAAGCTTCTGAGTACACAGGGTTTGAGATTAATCTCGTTTCCCTCCTGCAGCCTCTGCGTGTGCTCAGGCTGTGTTTGATCAGCTCAGTTTCTGTTTGGAGTCAAGGACCTTCTCCCACCCGTTTATTCCTGGCCTTCTCCTGGATCTGCAGTGAATTTGCGTGTAAGGCTGAATTCATAGCCTGAGGACATTCTCTCAGCAGCTCCTTGTAATGATCTAAATATAGACACCTCACCTCCCTGCAGAGCAGGGAGGAAGAAAGAGACTGCTTTGCAGACACCTTGCTGTGGCATCCTTTGTCTAAGGCCAGAGGATGGGGTTCAAGTCTTGGCCTCTCAATTTACTCTCTGTGTAACCTTGACAAGTCACAAGACCGTTAGTACTGTTTCTTCACCTGTAAAATGGGAACAGTTGCTCTGTTGCCATAATGAAAACAGATCATGAGTCCAAAAGAGTTTTGTAAACTGTAAAGTGCTGTACCAATGTTAGTGATAGTAGGCAGGATCTGTTGGGGGATTTAAAGCACAGGCTCTGGAGCCAGAGTGTCTGAATTTGCACAGGCTGTTGTGAGATTGAGTGAGCTAATGTATGTAAAGAGCTTAGCACACTGTCTGGCCTATCGTTCCTGCTCAGTAGACACTGGTGGCTATTACTGCTGCACGCATGCATGCCTCTGGTTTTCCATATGCTGTGTCTCTGTCCCTTCTGTTTCATCCAGCTGCAGTGGCTTTTCCCCATCTCCATGGGTGGGGTTCCTACTCATCCTTGGAGTCTCAGCAACAGGCCCACTCCTCTGGGAATCCTGCCCAGGGTGGCAGGTTGTACAAATACGGGGAGTGCTGTTCACATAGAAAATGTGAATGGCTCCTCCTGCAGTTGTGCCACATGGCAGAACAGCCTGGTATCACCGTGAGAAATCATCCTCCAGAGTCTGAAGTTCCTGTAAGTCATCTCTGTACTAAGACACTTGGGTGAATGCCTCATTTCTCTTACTGGCAGAGAGTTCTCCATGGGCAGGGAAGGTTAGCTTGGGTTATGCTTGCTGCTGTAACAAACAAGTGCCCCTCATGATGTGATGCCTTGCACCACCTCGGGGCTCTGCACCACCAGCCAGAAGGCTCTCAACAGATGCATGCCCTCAGTCTTAGACTCCTCAGCCTCCACAGCTATAAGAAATAAGTTCTATTTCTTCATAAATCACCCAATTTCAGGTATTCTGATATAAGTAATAGAAAATGGATGAATATACTCAGGCTGTGCTCTCAGGGGAACCCAAACATGTCACCTGCGTTCTCCAAATGAGGGGACTGAGATTCTGAGGGTTTATTTATCCAGGGCCACACGGCTGGTGAGAAGCTGAGCCAGGATCCAAATCCAGGGGTGTCTGATTTAATTCTGGGCTCTTTCCACCACTCTGCAAGACTATCCCACAAAAATAGTAAGCAAGCACGGAAATGTTGGGAGTAGGGTGCTAATGCTAGGGGTAAAAACTGAAATTGCTGTTCTGAAATTGCTTTCGCTTCCTTCCACAGATTCACAGATACATATGTCGAAAATAAGAGAAAAAAAGAGAGAAGGAGGGGGAGAAGGAGGGATAAGAGGGAAAGAAAAGGAGAGAAGGAGAGAGAAGGAGGGAGAGGATGAGGAGGAAAGACTCACAGAGAGCAAGAGATCACAATAGAAGCAGAAAGAGGCAGTGGAAGATGTTGTTCATTTATCCAAACCTCCCCTCATCACTCCTACTCTTTATTTTTTGAAGCAAATAAAATTAAATGCAAGTAAACCCAGCACTTCCTTTAGTTGGCCTGTCCCCACTTCCTGTCATATGAACATTTGTTTTTAGAGATGCTGTTTCCAGGCTACTTTTGGGGGGTGGCATGTGCCAGAGTTGGGGGACAGAGAATAGAAATGTACCTTCTGTGAGCTAGGTATGTGTACAAGCATTGCCTCTTAAAAATACTTTTTTTATTATAAAAATAAAAAACACAGAAGATGAAGATAATAGTACAATTAATGCCCCTCGACCCATCACTTGGCTTCACAATTACTGAGCAGAGAAAACCCTGCCTAGCATAACTCAACCATCACAACAAGCTTATCCGAGGGGTTCTATTATTACCCTATTTGGCAGAGGAGGAAACTGAGGTTCAGGGAGGACAAGCAACTTACCTTGAGTTCTCCGGGCATCTCTGGAGTCCATGCTCCTAACTACCAGGCTGCCCGAGGCTGGCTCTTCACACCTGGATACACTGTGCTATCACATCCCTGGGAGGGCTGCTGGTTGTTTCTGGACACCAGATCATATGTGAGATATTTGTGCCTTTGATCAAAATATAATCTAGGCATTGAGCAATGATACTTAAAGCATGATTCATTGATTGGTAATTTTAGCATCTCCTGGGACAAATACAGAATCTCAGGCCCCAGCTCAGACCTCCTGAGTCAGCATTTATGGGGGCGAGCCCGGACATCTGTATTTTGACAAGCCTTCCAGATGATTCTGATGCAAAGCCTAGACTCCAAGACTTTGCTTCCTTCCAGAGTGCCCTGTGGATTCCTGCTCTGCCTGCCATCCTGGGAATGGCTTCTCTCTCTTCCCTTCCCACTCTCAGTGACATACTTCATGTCTGTTTGCAAAGCCCACACCCCGTGTCCTGGGGACCACGCGAACCCTCTGGAACATTATCTTTATGACCTCGCAGTAGCTGAGCTGTGTCTGGTAAGTAGTCCTCACCCCAGTGCTCCCAGTAGATTCTGCCCTGTGCAATGCAGGCTTCTTTAGGCTGGGACTATTGACAGTCTTGAAAATCAGGCCTCCAGGCGGGTCCCCCACACTTCCATGTCACACGACTGTGATTTACATATGCAGGTGTGAGGGGCAGCACCTGTTAGAAATATACACCCGGCAAGTTTTCCTTTTGCACCATAAAAATGGATAAATCTGCCACTCATAAAAGCCTTATTTACTGCTAAGGGTTCATTATATATGCATGAAAAACCAACTAATTTAACTGCCTGGCAACAACTTCCTGCCAGAGGCTGGATTCAGGATTGGAATTCAGGTTTAGGTTGGGGGCAGCCAAGGTGAGCTTGAGAGGGCTGGCACAGGTGGCAAGGGACTGTAGGTACAAGGCTGGCTCCCAATCCTGGCCTGGCGTGGCTAGCAGTGTGATGCTGGGCTCATGTAGGCTCTCAGCCTCAGTTTCTCACCTGTAAAATGGGGATAACCATACCTCAAGCCTAAAATTACTGTGGCAATTAATACCATATTTCATCAAACTAAAGCCCCTGACCACTAACTGTAAGATGTACTTTTAGTTTCTGCATCACTAAGAAAGAAAAAAATGCTGCTATGTAAACTAGAGTTCATACCTTTTATCACTTAGAATTTTTATTTTATGCTTGTTGAAAGAGCTCTTTAAAATTCATTTAGACATAGATTCTATCATATATCAGGCATTCGCATACATTAAAAGGGAAATATAAGCAAAATAAATTGATGGAAGGATTCCTAAACCTTTTCCACATTCAGAATTCAATTTCTCTGAATCACTTTTTGACTCAGTGGTCGATGCCTGCACTTTTCTGCGTCATCTTGTCCTTAGTGCCACCAAGGGTGTTCACGGTGCAGTTATTCTTAGAAATGTTCTCCATTCCTAGCCGAATCTCTCTCTTTTTTTTTTTTTTTTTTTGTCCCCCAAGCTCCCTATTCTGCAAATTTTGCTGCTGGAATTTTTGGAATTTACCAGGAGGTGTTGATAGAAGGTTTGCAGAGGGCACCCAGGACTTGTGTTCCTTCAATGATCTGTAAGTCGTTTGCTGGTGCAAATGTGGGAGCTGCCCTTATTCACAGGGAATCCCCACCGGGCTTGAGCATGCATGGCAATGACAACTGTGCCATGGTGCCCACCTGGCCTGGCTCCCAGAGACTACCAGATGCACCCGCATTTCAGAGATGTTGACATGGGGAGAGAAGGTATATCTAGAATGAATCAAATGTGACAGATTAAAATGCTTGCCAGTGGCTGGGCACGGTGGCTCATGCCTGTAATCCCAGCACTTTGGGAGACCAAAGCAGGTGGATTCCGTGAGGCCAGGAGTTCGAAACCAGGCTGGCCAACATGGTGAAACCCCGTCTATACTAAAAACACAAAAAATCAGCTGAGAGTGGTGGCGAACGCCTGTAATCCCAGCTATTCGGGAGGCTAAAGCAGGAGACTTGTTTGAACACAGGAGGCGGGGGTTGCAGTGAGCTGAGATCACGTCACTGTACTCCAGCCTGGGCGACGGAGCAAGATTCCATCTCAAAAAAAAAAAAAATTATATATATATATATATATATGCTTGTGGGTGAGTCTGGCACATAGGAATGGAGAGGAAATTAACATTTCTTGCATGACCTGTGTACCAGGCTGTATTAGTTTGCTTGGGCTGCCATAACAAAGCACCACAGCCTGGAGGGCTTAAACAACAGAAATGTATTGTCTCACAGTTTTGGTGGCTGGAAGTCTGAGATCAAGCTGTAGGCGGATCTGGTTTCTTCCGAGGCTTCTCTTGTCCTGTAGATAGTTACCTCTTGCTCTCTCCTCACATGGTCTTCCCTCTGTGCTTGCCTGTGTCCAAATCTCCTCTTCCCATAAGGACACCCATCATACTGGATTAGAGCTCACCCTAATGGCCTTATTTTAACTGAATCACCTCTTTAAAGACCCTCAGTTCCAAGTATAATCACATTTTGAGGTACTGGAGGGTAGGACGTCAATATAGGAATTTGGGGGGGGGGACATGGTTCCACCTATGATATAGGGCCAGGGTGGGTGCTCTGCAAACAGGATCTCCATTTGGCTACACAGTGACTGCATTGGGCAGGTGGTTTTGTCTTTACTAATGAAGAAACTAGGGCCCCAATAAGTTATCTGTCAAATGTCACACAGCTGGGATGGGGAAGAGCTGAATTTCAAGTCCAGGAGAAGCTGTGCTGTAGGCCTGCCTGCTAATTCTCATGCCAAACTGCTTTCTGGAACCTGAGGGATGTGGGGCATGGTCCTTCCTGCCCTACCCCTAGCTTCGGAGTTAGAGAAGGGGAGGGCAGAGGCCTGAGATCCTGCTCACTCCTCCCTCTCCACATCCTACATTAATCAGAGTTCTTCCAATATCTTATTAAACTTCCTTGTAAACTTTTATTTCAAGAAAGGGTGGCTGAACAGAAAAGTTTGAATGTGGCTGTATTGCATGGTATATTAACTTCCTAAGGCAGCTGACAACACGGGTGGCTTAAAACATTATTCTCTCATAGTTCCAGAGTCTAGAAGTCTGAAATCACTGTGTCTGCAGGGCCACATCCCGTCTCTGAAGTCTCGAGGGGAGGATGCTTCCTTGCTTCTTCCTGACTTCTGGGGGTGGCCCTCAATTCTTGGCCTTCCTTGGCTCATAGATGGTGTCACTTCAGTCCCTCTCCATCATCACATAATGTTCTCCGTGTGTGTGTGTGTGTGTGTGTGTGTGTGTTTTCATCTCTTCTCATAAAAGCACCAGTCATCATAGTGAATTTAGGGCCTACCTTAATCCAGTATGACCTCACTTTAACTAATTACATATGCAAAGACTCTATTTCCAAATAAGGTAGCATTCACAGGGAACTGGGGTTAGGACTTCAACGTATCTTTTAGGGGGACACAATTCAAACAACACCACATGGCATAGCTAAAGGTAAGGAAGGACACTGGTCAGGGAGCGAGGTGATGTGCACAGACGGGGGACTTCCAGGCAGAGCCCTGAGATGACAGAGAAAAGCTGAGAGTGGCCACAGGAGTCAGGGATGATGGTGGGTCAAGGGATGAAGTGGGCTGACTTTGCTTCTAGGGGACGTGTAGAACCTGCTGTCTGGTGAGATGGCTGGGTCTGAGCTGCCTCTCCCTGTCTGGCCCATTCCTCTGCACCACTCACTCGCTCTTAATCCCCTTAAGCCCAGCATATGATACAAGGGAGGCCAGGTCCAGGACAGTTGGTAAACATCAGGACCACCCTCTTGCTTTTCTCCTTAATGAGGAGGCCCAAGTCTTTGAAGCCAGTGGGAGGCCTGCTTTGAATCTAAGGTATCCCAGAGTTTAATTCTTTTGTAATCCTTTGTTGAGGGGTGGGGGGCAGCTTCCAAAAATACCTTGGCCTTAAGCAGTTTTCATTATGGATGCTAGTTGCTCAAACCTTCACTAATTCAGGTTAACCTGATCCCAGCAGAGTTTTTCTTTTTTTTTTCCTAGCATCCTCTGATGTCAGGCCAAACAAATATTCACATTGAGGATGTAAGTCCCACATTTCTCCCGGCATTATATCAGAACGGCCCTGGGAGCGTATTAATAACCTGGAGTCATGGAACAAATGGTTATTTATATGTGTAGGTGATGGCTAAAGTACACCCTCCAGTAATTATTCACAATTAACAAGCACTTCAGTAAATGAACAAAATCTGTTCTTCATCCATTGAGGTAGCAATTCTTTATCCAGAACTCGTGTATCTGCAACTTCTGGTTAACCAGCCCTCCCACACAGCTCCAGAACAAAGCTAATTAGAGATTATAATCATGACCTTCAGGCTCCTTCATGAGCCTGAAGGGTACCTGAGTCATCAATAAAATATAATGTGTTCAGTAGAGTTTCAGTTGACAAGTATAATGGAGTTGAAAATTGGTGATCTATATATACTTGTTAACTCTCTGTTAACTAGACATGTGTTGGCAGCTCTTGTGGAGTGAGCTCTTCTCATCTGCTAGAACTTTCCAGATATTTTCTCATTTAATCTTCTTAGCTCTGCTCTATGTGGTGGGCTTTAGGTGGGGAACTGGGGCTCTCATCTCTTGCTTGTTGAGTCTTAGTTGCTGTCCTTGACTCAGGTCCCTGTGATAATGCAGTTTATAGAGAGTCGGGAATGCCTGGACTAGGAGAAACCTCCAGGGGATCCAGTTTGATCCTTTCATTGTACGTGAGGTGTCTGAGGCCAGAGAGGCTGAGTGATGTGCTCAGGTTTGCACAGAGCTCCTGCCTCCTAGCTCTGAGTTCTCTCTATTACATCACAGCATATTCAACATAATTCAGCTGCTATCTTGATTATCCCCAGGAGTAGGGAGATTGATTTTATGGCCCAAAACAGGCCCAAAAAACAGAGCCTGTCTTTTTTTTCTTTTGGTTATTTAGTTTTTATTTCATAATCATAAACTTAACTCTTCAACACAGCTAGGCATGGAAGGGAACAAGGAAAACATGGAATCCAAAGGGAACTGCAGCAAGAGCACAAAGATTCTAGGATACTGCGAGCAAATGGGGTGGAAGGGTGCTCTCCTGAGCTACGGAAGGAATAGTCTGGTGGTTAAGATAAAATGGAAGTCAAACTTATCGAAGTTGTCTGCAGTCAGCAATGATTATCTTCTTGCTGGTCTTGCCATTCCTGGACCCAGAGTACTCCATGGCCTCCACAATCTTCATGCCTTCTTTCACCTTGCCGAAGACCACATGCTTGCCATCCAACCACTCAGTCTTGGCAGTGCAGATGAAAAACTGGGAATCGTTTGTGTTGGGTCCAGCATTTGTCATGGACAAGATGCCAGGACCTGTATGCTTTAGGATGAAGTTCTTATCATCAAATTTCTCCCTGCAGATGGGCTTGCCACCAGTGCCAATTTGGCGTGTGAAGTCACCACCCTGGCACATAAACCCTGGAATAATTCTGTGAAAGCAGGAACCCTTATAACCAAATCCTTTCTCTCCAGTGCTCAGAGCATGAAAATTTTCTGCCGTCTTTGGAATCTTGTTTGCAAACAGCTCAAAGGAGACACAGCCCAAGGACTCGGTGTTGATAGCAATGTCGAAGGACACAGTGGGGTTGACCATGGCTGATAGTACAGGACTCCTGGTGGCAGCAGCGTTTTAAAAGCTTTTTTTTTATTATTTTTATTTTTAAGAGAGGGTCTTGCTCTGTTGTCAGGGCTGGAGTGCAGTGGCACAATCATGGCTCACTGCATCCTTGACTGGCAGGGCTCAAATGATCCTCCCACTTCAGCCTTCCGAGTAGCTGCTACTGCAGGTGCATACCACCCTATGCATGCTAATTTTTGTATTTTTTTGTAGAGATGGGGTTTCACCAGGTTGTCCAGGCTGCTTTTGAACTCCTGGGCTCAGGTGTTCCTCCCACCTTGGCCTCCCAAAGTGCTGAGATTATAGGCTTGAGTCACCACACCTGGCCTCTTTTTTTTTTTTTTTTCCTTTTTAATGTCAAAGAGCAGTCTGTTAAATTAGCTATGACCTTATGCATTAACTATATGAGTGTTACAAAGTGTTGGCTGAGTCTGGATCCTTGAGGATAAATGTGAGCGGCATGAAATATATGCCCAGTGTGGATTTGGTGCATTTCCATCATGCTCATCTTCCCTCACTCCCGACATTGAACCCATTAGCAGTCCTGCCAGGGCAGCTTTAAAAATGTGTCAAAGATTTGACTGCTTCTGACCATTCCGCGTTTCCTGCCTTGGTCCTGGCCACTGTCTTCTCTCACCTGGATGACCTCTGGGGCCTCCTTACTGGAATCCCTGCTTCTGTGTTTCTCATCACACTTAGACTACACTACACGCTCCTTACCAGGGCCTCAAGGCCTTACATGGCTTGCGCTCTGCCCACCACTCTGCACTCCCTCACACTGTTCCAACCACCCCAGCCTTACCATGCCTCAAACCTGCCAAACTCGTTTCTGCCACAGGACCTTTGCACAGGCTATTTTCTCTACCTGGAATGCTCTTTGCTCAGATGGTTTCTTGGCTCACTCTTCCATTTTATTCAGGTCTTTGCTCAAATATCACCCCTCCAGAGAGGCTTTCCCAATCAATCTCCATGTCTAAGATAACACCCTCTTCCTTTCATTTTGCTTTTTCCAATGTTGCTTTAGTGTTGTATAGAGCACTGAATACTGCCTTATGATAAATAACAGTCCTACTTATAAGTATTTACTTGTTTTTCTGTTCTTTGTCTGACCTGCTAGAATTTAGGGTCTGTGAGGCCCAGAACAAAGTTGACTCCCCATTTCTCCCATCAGTGCCTGGTACATGGTAGATGCTCAATAGGTAACTGTTGAGTAAATTAATAAACTAACAATTTAGAACCAGGCCGGGCATGGTGGCTTACGCCTGTAATCCCAGCACTTTGGGAGGCCAAGGTGGGTGGATCACGAGGTCAGAAGATCGAGACCATCCTGGCCAACATGGTGAAACCCCATCTCTACTAAAAATACAAAAAATAAAAAATAAATTAGCTGGGTGTGGTGGTGCGCACCTGTAATCGCAGTTACTCAAGTGGCTGAGTCAGGAGAATCGCTTGAACCTGGGAGGCGGAGATTGCAGTGAGCCAAGATCACGCCACTGCACTCCAGCCTGGTGACAGAGCGAGACTTCGTTTCAAAAAAAAAAAAAAAAATTTAGAACCAATAAAATAGTTCAATAAGGTGTCTGGTCACAAAAAAAAAAAAAAAAAATCCTGGGGGGGGAAAAGGACTCTAGGAATTTTCCAACCAAAAGGTACAGTACCTATATGAAATAAATGGCAAAGTTTCATAGAGGCATCTGAAAGCTGACTTAAATCAACGGAAAGGCATATCGTGTTTTTGAATGGGAAGACAGTATTGTAAAGAAAACAATTTTCCCAAAATTAGTTCTTGAATCGAATGCAATTTCAACCTAATGCCCTTAGGGTTGTGTAAGTTGACAAAACTATTTAAAAACTCATCTGCAAAGATAAATAGGAAAAAGCCACCCAGGAATTTTTGGAAAAATAATGACAGTGAGAAGGGAACTTGAATGTAAAAATTCTAATATGTATTATAAAGCTGTAATGATGAAGATAGTGTATTATTGGGGCAGGAATATACCAAAATACCCATGAAATAGAATAGTAAATTCAGCAAGAGAAAAAAGGGTATGTTATAATTTACTGTAAGAATTGGATTATAACCCATGGAAGATATTCATAAATCCATACTGATATAAATAATTATATGTACTGGGGGAGAAGGGACAGTTCTTCCTTGCAGAGGAATTTTGATTAATAGTTGTAGAGGAATGATGGAAATAGAAAATCACCAGTAGGCAAATACTGCGATAACAATGGTCACAGGCAAGTACATCAACAGAGGCTAAAATTAGTATTTAGCATGATGAGAACAGGATATTTGCATTATCTCAAAGTATTTCCTCACAAGATATTTATTATTTACTAAGAGGAAAAATAGTAACATTACAGTGTAGAAACCTGGCAGGCACCACCTTAACCAAGTGATCAAGTTTAATATCACAGGTGATGGGACACCCTGACATCATGTACCACCTGGTACGTTGCACCATCATGCACTCCTGCACTGTGAAAGGCACATCGCTTGTATGATATTTGTGCCTCCAATGCATACCCTCAATCTAACCCCAAGAAAACATGAGACAAACCCAAATTAAGGGATATTTTACAAAGTAGCTGGTCATACCCTCTCAAAGAGTCAAGGTCATGAAAGATGGAAGACCAAGGAACTGTCCGATTGGAGGAAACTGAGAAGACATGATAACTCAAGGCAATGTAGGATCTTGGATTGGATCCTGGAACAGAGAAAGAACATTAATGGAAAAACTGGTGAAAATCAAATAAGGTCTGCAGAGTAGTTATGTTAATTTTCCATTTTTTTTTTTGCACTATGGTTACATAAGTTCTTAACATTAGGGGAAGCTGGGGGAGAGGCATAAAGGAACTCTCAATTTTATTTTTGCAAATTTTCTGAAAGCTTAAAATGATTTCAAATAGAAAGCTAAAAAAGAATTTACTATAAGAGTAAGGTGGGGAAAAATAATGGATTATTCAATTAATGATGGTGAGACAGTTAACCATTTGGAGATATGCATAATTTTATTTATATATATGTATATGTGCTTTATTTATAAAAGTATATTCCATACCATATACCAAAATAAATTCCATGTGGATTTAAACAATTGATCTCATGGAGATAGAAGAATGATGATTACAGAGGCTGGCGGCAGGCTGAGGCAGAGAACTGCTTGAACCTGGGAGGTGGAGATTGCAGTGAGCCGAGATTGCTCCACTGCATTCCAGCCTGGGTGACAGAGTGAGACTCCTTCTCAGAAAAAAACAAAAACAAACAAGCAAAAAAAACACAGATGCTGGGAAGGGTAATGGGGTTGGGGGGATAAAGAAGGGTTGGTTAATGGGTATAAAAATACAGTGAGAGAGAAGGAATAAGATCTAGTATTCAGCAGCACAATAGGGTGACTGTAGTTAACAGCAATTTACTGTATATTTCAAAATAACTATAAGAGTGAATTAGAATGTTTCTAACACAAAGAAATGAATGTTTAAGGTTATGCATATCCCAATTATCCTGATTTGGTCATTATGCATTGCACGTGTGTATCAAAATATCACATGTATCCCAGAGATATGTACAACTATTATGTGTCTAGAAAAATTAAAATTAGAAAAATAGAAAAATAAAAAAAGACAAAGTTACATGTACTCTTTAAAGCAAAATAAGAAACATTAAGGTTAGATGAAGCAATATTGAAAATGAATTTCTTATCCTCAATAATTAGAAATCAGTGAATCTATATGCTACAATTTTAATTAATATTTATTTAATGAATGTATATTGTATTATAAATGCATATTAATACATTTCTATTTATGTTAATATTGATAATTTTATAAAAATAACTTACTGTCTACACCTGTCTAATTGTGTTACCTGGGGATATCCTGGTCAGTTTTCAGGTGAAGGTCAGATAAAACTGGGCTCAAATTTAGGCTCCACTGCATACCAGCTGTGTTTCTGAGTTTCTAAGCAATTAATTAATGCTTAGACATTAATTAATTGGATTTGGATTTGTTGAGTGGCCCTCTACCAGTCAGGGTACTAAAATTCCTATTCTAGTTTATGCTTTTAGTCTTGATTAATTCATTTGTAGGCTGGAGATTACAGCACCTGCCTCCTAAGATTGTTGAAAAGTAGTAAGATAGCGTATTGAAGCCCTTGGAACAAAGCCTGGTATATCGTAGGAGCCCATTCAATGTTGGTGCTTCCTATTTCCAAAAAGTAGGCATTTCTCCCCTGGTAAGTGACCACGGGTAATCACCTGAATTATAGACACTATCATTTAAGAATATAATGTAGTGGTTAAGAAAGCACAGACTCTGGAACCAGGCCAAGTTCAAATTCTAGCTCTTCTACATACTGGCTGTGTGACTTTGAGACAGTTACTTAAGCATCTCTGCTTCAGTTCCTCACCTACAAATTCCCCAATAAGAAGATCTATCTCAGAAAGGTGTTATGAAGATTAAACGAGTTAAGATTTGAAATGCATTTGAAACAACAGCTGGCACACAATAAGTGCCATATAAAGCTTTGCTAAATAGAATATAAATTATACCTGGTCTTTCAAAATAGATCACAAAAGCAAAAAATCACTGTACTCTCTGCATTGAGATTGGGAAAAGGTGCTATCCTTTTTAGCTCCGTAAAGGCCTGGCCAGAGCCCCTGGGGGTCAGCCCATCCTTCTTGCCCTGGGCCAAGAGACCCCAAGCTTCATTCAGGAGAGAAACACAGCAAAGCAATGGGCTTCTTGGGGTGAGGCAGTGGGAGGAGGGTAAAGAGGTCTTTGTAGTGACATTAGAATTGAGGCGAATCAAGGATAGTGATTTCAGGTGGATTTGCAAATGAATGATTAACTTTCACCATTTTGACAATATATCCAAGCTCCACCTCTGCCAATTCTTCTGGGATGGTGGTTAAGGTATTTAATACTTCAGGGATAAAGTTTTCTCCTCTGAAGAATTCTAACAACAGGCAGGGTGCAGTGGCTCACGCCTGTAATCCCAACACTTTGGGAGGCCGAGGTGGGTGGATCTCTTGGAGTTGTTAGGGGAGGAAAAACCACCTCCAGGTCAGAAGCTTACCTTGTGTGTCATATTTCAGACAATAGGAAGGAATTCTCCAGTTTCTTTCCAGCGGGGTGGAGAGAAACGTTCCCCACCCTCACTGGAATAGTATAGTCAGCCTTAGTCCCCCTACCTCCTGGGAGATGCATGACTTGGATCTCTTTTCCAACATTCTAGTTGTGTGACCTTGCTTATCTAACATCACCTCCCTGAATTCAGTTTCCTTATCTATAAAATGGAAATGATGACACTTGCCTCTTAGGGCAGTGGAGCCTAAATTTGAGAAACCCCATCTCTACTAAAAATAAAAAAATTAGCCAAGTGTGGTGGCACATGCTTGTAATCCCAGCTACTCAGGAGGCTGAGGTGGGAGAATTGATTGAACCCAGGCGGCCGAGGTTGCAGTGAGCAAAGATCGTACCACTGCACTCCAGCCTGGGTGACAGAGTGAGACTCTGTCTCAATTAAAAAAAAAAAATTCTAACTATGAACTCAAGTGTGGGGAGGAGTAAATGAGCAAAAGCCAGGGACCAGGGCTTTGGAAACACGTGACTTCTGCAAATGTGAATTATTATCATGGACCCAGTGGCCATGGGTCCCAGAATTGCCAACCCCAGGACTGGCAACTGTGTGAATCTCGAGTAGCAGGTGACCTTGTCCACTCTGTGACTTCCAGGGACAAATGGGCTCCTGAGCAAATTATTTTCTCTGCCCAAAAAGACTGCCGAGTGCTCTTGCAAAGGGGGCCAGCAAGTAACAACCCAGCCACTCTCAGCGTGCGTGGGCACGTTGGCCGTTCTCTCAAACAGAAGTATTGTGTCCCAAGGTCCTTTTAAAATAAGCCTATTTTGAGATGTTTATATACAAACCAGGGAAAGAATGGGGGTATTATGCCCATAATGGAAAGTGCTCATAAATAAAAAGGCGCCATTTATCGTCCATTTCCAAGGCTGCTCTGTGGGCTGCTGCTGTGGATCTAGGCCCGGGAGGGGACGGATATTGGGCCTTGTCAATCAGGCTGGCTGCAGGAAGGAGTGGGCTTTGTGCCACAGACCCCGAGTTTGCAGAGTTCCAGGAATTTCTTCTTTGTCACTGGGGCCTGGCTACCTCCAGCAGATGGAAGATCCACTTTAGGAAAATCGCTTTTTCATTGTAATCAAGGCTTATAACATGTTTTGGTGAATTCTTTAGAATCACTGTAATCACTGTGGAGAGCCCATGGGGTTAGAGGTGGGAAAGGATGGGTTTTGAGTGCAGCATATCACACACACACACACACACACACACACACACACGCACACACACACACACCACGCAGGTTACTCTCAATTATTGTCTTGCTGGATCTGTCACCACAAACATATGCTCTCAGGTCACACCTGCCCAGTGCATCCCCATTACGGGTAGGTGCATTGTGAGGGGTGAGGAATGAATCTCTTTTTGAGTGCTGACTATGTGCCAGGCACAGTGCGGAGAACTCTCTCTCCATTATCTCATTTTATCCCCACAACAGCCCTAAGAGGCAAGAGTCATCATTTCCATTTTATAGATGAGAAAACTGAATTCAGGGAGGTGATGTTAGATAAGCAAGGTCACACAACTAGAACGTTGGAAAAGGGATCCAACTCATGCATTTCCCAGGAGGTAGGGGGACTAAGGCTGACTATACTATTCCAGTGGCGGGTGGGGGAAGTTTCTGTCCACCCCGCTGGAGGGAAACTGGGGTAATTCCTTCCTATTGTCTGAAATATGACACACAAGGTAAGCTTCTGACCTGGAGGTGATTTTTCCTCCCCTACTAATTCCAAGAGTCCTTTTACAAAGCAAAATGGAGTTGGCATTGGTTAGGACAAAGAAGTCACCCCCCAGCTCTGTTCATCTTTCTACTCCAGTCGAATAAAGGTCAACCCCATCCCTTACTTCAAACCGCTGGCCAGTAGAATGAATACTGTATGGAGAACATACAGGATTTGGAGTTAAAGGAAAGTTGAATACACAGAGAATAAAATGGTTGTTACCAGGGGCGGGGCAAGGAAGGGGTGCAGAGAAAATGAGGAGGTATAGGTCAAAGGATACAAAGGTGCAGAGGTGTAGGAGGAAGAAGTCTAGAGTTCTAATGTGCCACATAAGGACAATAGCTAATATTGTATTGTATTCAGGATTTTTGCTAGGAGTATACTTTAAATGCTTTTGCCACACACACACAAAGGATAACTATGTGAAATGATAGATCTGTGTATTCACCTGACTCTAGTAACCATTTCACTATGTATACTTATATCAAAGCCTCATGTTACGTGCCTTAAATATATACAGTAAAATAAACAAATAGAGGAGGCTAGAATCCCATGGGTTTGGTGCGATTGTTGCCTGCTCGGTAGAGTCAAAGAGCACTGGCTGGGGAGTCCTCAGTGTTGTATGATGCCTTAGACCAGGGGCTCTGGACCTCGCTGCCTGGACTCAGTCTTAGCTCATCAACTGTGACCTTGAGTAGATTTTATTTTGCTGAGTCTCAGTCTCAGTTTTCTCATCTCTAAAATGACACACAATTGTACCTACCTCACTGGGCTGGTGAGACAATGCCTGAAAGAGGCTATAGTAAGTTGCACCCTTCTAATGTTTTCTTGACTCTCTTGTCACCTGCACGTTTCCCGGGCAGTTCCTGCACACATCTATGGCTTCCAGCCTCAATCACCTGTGATCCTCTCTGCCCAAGGGCTCCTCTGATGCTCAGGAGGGTGCTCAACCCCTGCACAGGACATTTAGAAGTGCTAGGGAGTTAATGTTCCAGGAGGGACCCTCAACCTGTGGAAGATGGGAGTGGGTGGATCCATACCCAGCTTTCTCACACTTGGTGGAAAAATTCTCATGTGTGTAACACAGAGCTTCCCAAAGTGTCCCCAGTAGGACCAAGCCTTAGTTGTCCACAGAGGTGACCTGGTCATCACTGTACCATTTATTGACTTTTATCTCTTCTTTGTTTTATTTTCTGGCTCTCACTGTGCTTCCTGGGACCACCTCCCGAGTAAACACCCTGCAGCCAAATCCTCATCTCAGAGTCTGTTTTTGGAAACTCCACCAAGACAGGGGCTTAGCGTGACGCCTAACATTTAATAAGTACTCAGCAAGCAGTGTTTACAATTAATTAATTATTATTTTTGAGAGACAGGGTCTTGCTGTGTTCCCCAGGCTGGAGTGCTGTGGCTATTCACAGGTGCGATCCCACTACAGATCTGCACGGGAGTTTTGACTTTTGACCTGCCCCATTTTCTCTCTGGGTCAGTTCACCTCTCCTTAGGCAACCTTGTGGGCCCCCTCCTCAGAGGTCACCATATTGATGCCAAACTTAGTGAGGACACCTGATTGCCGTGACGTGCTGCAGTCCAGAATTCCTGGGCTCGAGCAATCTTCCCACCTCAGGCCCCCGAGTAGCTGGGACTACAGGTGTGCACCACTGTGCCCAGCTGTATTTACTGTTGTATTCTTGTGGTATTAGCTCTGCTACCTCCCTGGCTCTACAACATCCCTATGAAATCCCGGGGGTGTCTGTTATTCTCTCTTGGCTTGTGCCCAGCTTTGGAGAATATGAGCTCTGGCTGTGAGCTAGAGGGTGCCTGGATACGAGTGTCTCCTCTTCTTGAGTTTTGGCTTCAGCACCTGCCTGCAAATAGCTCCCGTGATCTCAGGGAGCTTGGCCATCATTGGCAAGAATGTGTCCTTCCTGCTGGATTATGGCTCGTGCCTGAGAGTAAAAGAATCTAGCTGCGTGCCCTGCCTGGAGAAGGTGGCTGAGCCTCCATTTCCTCTTCTGTAATAGGGAAATTAAGAAGTTAGGGTTGTTGGGATGAGTTAACAAGGTAATGTTCATGAAACATTCAGTACAGTGCTTGGCACAGAGGGAGGACTCGATACATGGTGGTCAGAGATTTTTCTCTAGACCAACCCCCCGACTGTACACCTGGAAATTTCAGGCTCAAAGAGTGACCCGTCATGGCTTTTAAACATGCAGTTGCACCTGCCATGAGATGTAAAGGCGGGTGGAGTGGAAGGGCCTGGCAGGCCTGAATGACAGCAAACTTCCTTCCTGGCTACTTCCTGCAATGGCAGCCTCCACTGATCAAATATTCATCAAACCCAACAATGTGTCCATAACACCGAGCAAAGATGAGAAGGGCACTCATCAGGCCCCCAGGAAGCTCATGGCCAAATGATGCTGCCCAGTAGTATGAAGGATGTTTTCAGGCCTTTGGAAGGAGCTAATCTGGGAAGTTTCAGATAACTTTAATAACAAAAACATCATTTTTTATAACTATATAATCATATTAATTGTAAACATTTATTGATGTCTACTCTGAAGCAGGCACAGTTTTAAACAGTTTATAGAAATCAATTCAGTTGATCCTATACTGGTACAGATAGACTATTATTATAATATCCATTTGACAGATAAGAAACTGAGTCCCAGAGAGGTCATGCAGTTTGCCTAGGGTCACACAGTTGGTAAGCAGGGGCACTGGGATTTGAACTCGGATAGTATGGATCCAGAATCTTTACTTTTAACTCTCATTGTACTACCCCACACTTAAAATAACACAAGGGACCTGGTTGTCTGAACTTTCAGTGGTTCCTCTGTAGAATCTTTGTGCAACTTTTAGTTTAGTGATGCTTAGGTTAATTTTGGCCTGTTGGCTTCTTCCTGTACTCTGATAAGCTGTAAGTTCTGGATTTGGGTTGGATTCCCTGGGAAACTTGAGTCAGTCAGATGTGCAAACATAACTGGATGCCAGCTCTGTCCTAGTTTCCTGGGGCCCTATTGCAGCTTCTAAGTGTGAGGAATTTATCATGGTTTCCCAGAACATTACTGACCAGCCAACCATTTCCGTCCTATAGATGGAGGGTTTTGAACCTTTTCAGGGTCACAGGTTGTGGTTAACGCTGTTTTGGTGTCCTGCCAAGATCCCCTTTGCTGAGCCATCCGTGAGCTGCTGTGAGTATTGGCTGCTAATGATTCGTAGCTGCCCTTTTCTTAGGGTTGCTATATTTAGCAAATAAAAATACTTAATTTTATCTGGAAAACTTACATCATCTCCAGAAATGTAGGGAGCAACTCACAGCCAGTAACTGAGGGATGTAGATGTAGGGGTATAAGAGGCTGGCCTCATGCCATGGGATGGGGTAACTGTGTATAGATTATTCTCCAGTGTCCCCCTGGGGATCAGGCCAGGGCTACATATCACCCAAGATCACACATTGCTGGGTTCTTTTCTCTTCCTTTTCCTTGAAAGTTTCCCCTGTGAGTCCTTCCTCAGTAACTTCCATGACCCTGAATCTTGGCTTCAGGTTCTGCTTCTAGGGAACCCAGATCCCCTTGAGAATGTGATAAAAACTCGACTTTGTCCTTTAAAAACTGCACAGATATACCTACACCCCAACGTTGGCATATGATTTTTGGGATTCACCTTGAAGGGAGCCCCTTACTTCATCCTACGTTTCCTAAACCTTGTCTATCTCGCCCTCTTATAGCTGATAGAGAGTGACTGGCAGCCACTGGGGTAAAATGAGAGTTAGCATGAAGTTTGCACTGCAAATTATAAGCAGAGGGTTTTTTTTTTTTTTTGCCTATGTGATTTCCATTATTTGCAGAAAGTCTGTGTGGAAATCAAAACATGCCCAGAGAGAGGAAGTTGTCAGCTGAATGCTTTGATAAGAGATGATAGTTGAAAGAACATGAAGGAAATACAAGTCTGATCAAGTCACATACCTGTTTCTTCAAAGACTTGCCATTGCTCTCTTGATAAAGATCAAAGTCCTGGACAATGTCTTGAGGCCCTCCGTGGATAGGTCCCCCTCATGCCGGCTTTATTCCAAATCACTTTCCCATTTGATCCCCATGCAGCAGCAGCCACACTGGTTTCCTTCAATCTTTCCAACTCAGCATGCTCCCTTCCTGCCCCAGGGCCCTTGCACATGTCACTTCTTTTCCTTGGATTACTCTTCTCAGCCTTCTTGCTCCTCCATTACTCAATCACTTCATTGGGGAAGCTCTTTCTGACTTCCCAGATCAGATGGAAGCACTCACATTATCTAGGACTTCTCCTTCATGTTAATTACCTATTGCTGTGTAACAAATTACCCCAAACATAACATAAAACCACAAACATTTATTACTTTCGAGTTTCTGTGAGTTAGGCATCTGGGAGTGGATTAACTGGGTGGTTTTGACTCAGAGTCGCTCATGAGGTTGCAGTCAGGTTGTTGGCCAGGGCTGCAGACATCTGGAGAGGCTCAACCGGGGATAGAGGCTCTGCTTCCAAGATCACCGACATGGTTGCTAGAAGTCCCCTGTTCCTCCCTAAAGGGGGGTTCTCCCTTACCCCTCACATGCCTGAGTATCCTCACAACATGGCAACTGGTACTTCCTTCAGAGCAAATGATGAGAAGAGAGACAGAAAGAGAAAGAATGAATCCACCCAAGATGAGGCCACAGTCTTTTTATAGACTAGTCTTGGAAATGAAATCCCTTCTCTTCTATTCCTTACAAGTAAGGCACTGAATTCAAACTATGCTCCAGGAAAGGGGAATTGAGCTCCACCTCTCAAGGGGAGGAACATCAAAGGCTTTGTGGACCTACCTTTAAAAGGACCACTGTTATTTATCATGGCTGGTGTCATTTAACTGGTATGGTTACTTGATTTGTGTCTGTCTGGGCTGCACTCTTCAAAAAGGAAGAGTCTCTCCTTTATTTCTCTTACCATCATATCCCAATGCCCAACCCATAGTTAGCACTGAATAAATATTTATTTAATGAATGGAATGATTTTAATTTTTTTGTCAGTATAGTTCAAGAAAAGTCTGGCAAAGAGGTCGTGATCAATTTTTGACGGAATGTCACTGAAGCTCATCGTGCACATGAAAATCCCTGCAGCTGGCTGGCCTTTTGATTTCAGTTTGAGGGGAAGCGTAGCTGTCATTTTTTTGTTCATTCATTTAGTGAACATTTATTGAGCACTTATTGTGGTCTAGAAAGAGTCCTGGGTACTGAAGATGCAGAGATTAATAGGATGCACAGTGATTTTTATAAATTAAGACATCCACATGTTCGTGTATAAAGCAGCCCAAAGGCTTTTGAATGATCTTCAAACATGAAAGACAATAGGCAGCTGTATTGGAAACAGACTCCTTGATATTGAGTTTGCAGAAGCTGTTTTATCAGCCCAGCATGTCGCCCAAGTGAAGTGGAGTATTTACATTTAATTCCAAAGTGGTTGTGCCAACATCAATCCTCTGGTTTTCATACTTTTTGGTCACTGTTTGCAAATGTAATAAAAGGTTTTTGTCAAAGAAGCTGGATAAAGATGGAAAGAGAATGGCATTCTATGTGACTGGTGGGAAGCGCGAGTGGTTGATGCTGGGCAACAGTCGGCTAAGGTCGCAGGGGCATACGTGGAGAACAGGGACAATGTGAACAAAAGGAGTTTGAAAAAATGAAATAGCAGCAAAACTTGGCTTGGGCCAAAATGTGTGCAGCGTGGGAAAAGCCCTGGTCTGACGCTCAAGAGATCTCAGCTCTGGTCCTCACATTGCTACACACTTTCTTTTCTGGACCTCTAAGTCCTTATTTGTGAAATAAGTACATTGTATCAGACCAGAGGTTTTAAAACCTCTTTTTTCTTAGTGTATCTCTAGTGCCACCCGGATATGTAAAACAGAAGATTTAAGCCTCTCTTCTCAGAGGACTAAGAATAGGGGGCTGTATCCCATGCTATCGATGTCTCTTGCATATTCTCTTGTTCTGCAAAATTTTGGCTTCTTCCATTAAATTCCAACTGCCAGCACATGCTCCCTGTCACTCCCTCCCTGCCCAAGGGCTTTTTCTGGCTGCCAGAGTTCGTTTTGCTGCTTCTGGGCAGGCTGGAAGTCCCAGAGAATCAACGTCCCCCACAAGCAGCTCTGAACTAATGACTGAAGGGAGCCGTGGTATTTATACCCCAGCTCCCGCACACCTCAGGTGGGATGTTGCCAAAGCTTGTGCTCTAGTCTGGCTCACACAGGTCCCTAGAAGGCACAGGCTCTAGCTGCCCACAGTGGTAACTGCATTGATAACTCACCCTTTGTTGGTTGCCTTTCCTTCCCCACTTCTTCACTCCCCAAGTGGTGACCGCAGAATCACCTCCCAAATATACAACTTGCACTTGAATCCTTGTCTCTTGGTCAGCTTCTAGGGAAACCCAAACTAAGAGAGGGACTCAGAGCAGAAAAAAACTCTTTCTGCCTTCCTCATCCACCCGAGACACCTCTGCAGAGCTCCTAGGCCTCAGGGCACTGTGCAAACCACTGGACTAAAACAAAAAAAGCTTTGTGTTTCCTTAATGGTGGTGGTATTAAAAAAATGCGCACCTCTCTCTGCTTTAGTAGAACTTTACACAGGCATTTTTAGGTGAAAAGAACCAGATTCCTTAGAAACCCAAAGTCAGATTATGCTTTGACTTTGTAGAAGGGTTATTATGAACTAGCTTTCTCTTTTGCTCACTTGCTTTATGGAGTGAGGAAATGAATCTGTGCCAGTTGGCAGATACACTCGCCCAAAATAGTTGGGGACAATGAAGCTTGAATGGCTTTTAGATGGACATTGGCCCCCTCCTTTTGATTGGCGATGTTCTTTCCTGACTCTTCTTCCAAACTTTACATGGAGGAGAAAGGGGAAAATCAGGTCCTTAGAGATGTTTCTCTCCCACAGCTGGGAAAGAATAACAAGAAGCATGAAGGGTGGTGTGCGTCATGGGTGCCCTGCTCAAACTTCCTTGCCCTTCTTGCTTCGGGGCACAGTGGCCTGACTTCCGACTTTCTGCACCTGCACTTCCTTGCCTGGCTGGTGTGTTGTTGCTTTTCAGGGAATTAACACTCCCTGGGAGCAGCCCTCAGCCAGTGATTGATGGGACCTGGGATACAGCTACCCCAATTACCCTGTCCCTGGGGTGGGAAAATTCAGGTGTGTACATGACACCAGTCCCATTCCATTCCTGGGAGTAAGTGCTCATCTCCCACAGAGGTGACGTGCTTGATAACACTCCCTGTATTGGCTGCTTTTCTTCCCTGCTTCACTTCCCCATTCCTCTATGGGTATTTTCTCACACTTCCCAAATAGATTTTGGGTGCTCAAATTCTTGTCACAGAGTCTACTTCTGGGAGAACTCGAACTACAAGAAGAGTTTCCCAGGCAAGCACTGGGTAGTTTCTGCTTATCCCTTATCTGTTCCTGGGAGCCTGTTTTCTTTGGCTACAACATCAGTTGATGAGAGAAAGTTTATGGGTGCTGTCAAGTGCCTCTGGGCTGGGGACCCGGAGTTGGCGAGACCTACTCCTAGGAGACTGCTGTGGGCTGGGAGTACAGATTAAAGGGCATGTGTGCTTCCTGAATGAACAGCTCTAGGTTCACTTCTAGAGTGATACTGCGGTCACCACTTGGGGAGTGAAGAAGTGAGAAAGGGAAGGAAAGGTGAATTCTACACCCTACATGGCTTCTGCAGTAATCTGTGGTCTCTGCCCACCACTGTCTACTCTGCCCATTAGGCTCCTGCAATAGCAAGCTACTTGGAGTCTCCCCACATCCCATTTCCCATCCATTTCATGCCTCTTGACTTCGATTAACTGTTTTCTCTGCCTATATTGCCCTTCCCTGCCTTTCCCTTAGCAAAATCCTATGTATCCTATAAGATCCAGTCTAAAGGCCACTTCCTCTATAAAGTCTTCCCTGTATCCCTTGGGTGGAACAAGAGCCCTCGCCCGTATTTTCATGCCTCCCGCTCACCCCTAGCGTCTTACTCTAACAGCACATTCACATACTGCACTGAAATTGTCAATGTATACATCTGTCTCTCCACCAGACAGTGAGCTCTTTGAAAACCAGGCTGTGTATTATTCAATTTTTGAATCCCCAGTGTCCTTCAAAGGGACTGGCACACTGTAGGTGCTGGATGTAGGGTGGGTTCCCCCAAAACAGACCGCAAGATGGAGATTTGTTTGCAAGTGAAGTGTTAAGAAACTGCTCCCAGGAGAAACCAGTATGTGGGTGTGTGTTGGGGGCGGGTGGAAGAAGGCCAGAGAAGGGGAGGAGGCCAAGTGAAGACAGGATTTCAGGCAAAAGTCTTGAAGAGGGGAGCTTCTGCCTGACCCTGTGGGGAGCTCTGGGGGCATGAGTTATGCCTCAGGAGTTGTCCCAAAAGTTGGACTTGTGCTCTCCTGGACCGGACAGTCATTGGCTGCAGATGCTCCAAGGAGACATAAACACCCAGGCACTTCTTCATCTCTGTGTGTGTGGGCAAAGTGGCTCCAGGAGCCCAAAGCCAGCCTTCTGGGGGCAGTCCCAGATGTGGGAGGTTAGAGGCAAAAGCCAGGGGGTGATCTACCCACAGAAGCCAGGGCAGTGTCCCACAGAGGATCAGGTCCCACCACCAGAGTGTGTACTAGAGGGCTCACCGTATGCCTGGTGACTTGTAGGGAAACGCTGGCTGGGCAGACCCCTTGTGCCACTCCTGGCACCTCCAACTCAGCCGATCTCAAACCCAGCTCATCACATGGCCCATCATCCACCCTCTCCCTGCACCTGTTCTTGCCGTGCTCTCTGCGTATTTGGTTCTAGCATACTCCGAATCTCCAAAGCCAGATGCCAGAACTCACTCTCATAAGTTCACCCCTCATAAATTCACCCAAATCTCTCAATTCTCTTGTCAAAGTCTCTTTTGAAGTCATTTCCTATCTATTATTATCATTATCTTGCTGCTACATTCTCAAAGCCAAGGATGGCACTTCTGCTTATTGAATGAATGAATGAATGAATGGCCCAATCTGCTGAAAGAACTCCCACCTCCATAGCTTGGTGTATTAGTCTGTTCTCACGCTGGTAATAAAGGCATATCCAAGACTGAGTAATTTATAAAGGAAAGAGGTTTAATAGACTCAGAGTTCCACATGGCTAGGGAGGCCTCACAGTCATGGAGGAAGACAAAGGAAGAGCAAAGGGACTTACATGGTGGCAGGCAAGAGAGTGTTTGCAGGGGAACTCCCATTTATAAAGCCATCAGATCTCCTGAGACTTTTTCACTACCACGAGAACAGTATGGGGGAAACCACCCCCATGATTCAATTATTTCCACCTGGCTCTGCCCTTGACACATGGGGATTATTACAATTCAGGGTGAAATTTGGGTGGGGACACAGCCAAACCATATCTCTTGTCATGCAATTTTTCCATGAGCTGATCCTACCATCTTTCTTAATTTTTATACATTGCTAAGTACACATTCTGTTTACGACAGAACAAACTACTCAGTCTCATGCAGCATAACTCACGTGTTCTTGACCTCTCTTCTTTGCTCTGCTCTTCTTTGCACCTAAAAAGCCTGATTTCTCATCTTTTCTTGTAAAAATCCAGCTTATTTTCCAAGGCTCTTCTTCCTGGGTGAGGTCTGCCTTTGAGCTTGTGACGTTTAGTTTGCTCCTCTCCTAGGGAACCGCTAAAAAGATTTTTTGGCTTTGCTATCTTTAAAAGACAATGAGCTCCTCCATATCAAGAATGCGATGTCTGGTTGGCTTTGTTAGTCTTAGTCTGTTTTCTGTTGCCATAACAGAATACGAGAGACTGGGCAATTTCCAAAGAAAAGGCATGTATTTCTTATAGTTCTGGAGGCTGGGCACATCTGTTGAGGATCTTAATGCTGGTGGGACTTTCCACAGATTCCCGGGTGGCACAGGACATCACATGGTGAGGGGGCTGAGAGTGCTAGCTCAGGCCTTTCTTTTATAAATTGACTAATGCTCCAGCCTCATGACTTTATCTTAATCCTAATTACTTCCTAAAGGTCCCACCTCTCAAATCCCATAGTCGGATTTCCCACCCTCTTCATACTATTACAAAGGAGATTAAGTTTCAACATGAGTTTCAGAGGGGACAAACATTCAAACCATTGCAGCTGGTCACCAAATATTTTAATTGTCTCCTTTTGTGGGCACATAGGACTGTGTTTTCCTATTTCCTGGAACTAAGCCATAACCATGTGACTTACTTTGACCAATCAAATGTGAGCAGAGTAACTTGTGCCACTTCCAGGTGGGGTCTTGAAAAAGACAGTGTGGGATTCTCCACATCCCGTTTTTCTTGCTTTAGCAATCATGGAAGAACAGAGATAGAGCCTCCCTCAGCCTGGATCCTTGAGTGAGGACACTGTAGATTGAAGGCTTCTGTGTTTCCACAACAGATATGTGGCATAGGCAAGAAATAAATTTTTGTTGCTTCTAGTCACCAAGATTTGGGGGTTGTCACATGGCATAACTTAGCCACATTAGGCCTAACCTAATCTCTTGACTGACATAGTATCGGATTCATCTTCCTAGCCCTTCAGAATCCAGCAAGTGTCTTTGTGTAGAAGTGCCTCAAGGTAGATGTGTTGCATGAAGTACACTAAGAAACTCTGTTTCTGGACTGAAGTCACCACTACCTTGTGCCTGAGATGATGAAAAGGATAAAATGGGCCTGCCCTAAAACTAAGGCATTAAGAGGTTGAATGTACACAGATGGAGTTAAGTGAGGCATTGAACGACTGCCCACTGAATTTTCATTGTAGATAGTCAGTGAGGTGGTTACAGTTTTGAAATGGAAAGAATGTCCTCCACATACTATTTCTCTTCCTTCCTCCCTCCTGTCCTTTCTTCCTTCTCTCCCTCTCTCCCATTTCACCCTTTTCTTCCTTCCCTCCCTCCTTTCTTTCTCGTAAACTTAGTTCTAGCTGTTGGTTGAGCATGATCGCTTTTATGAGAAGCAGGAAGAAACCAGCCATATGAACTTTAATTTCTTTAAAGGTATGAATAAAGAACAGAAAACCTAGACATAAGAAAAATAAAATTGTATTTTTAAAACATTAAACTTTAGGCTAGCAGAGGCAGTTTTGATCAGATCTTCTATTTCTCAATTTATCATTCTCTATAGCTCAAATTTTGCCCCAAAAGCAAAAAGAATAAGATTTTCTAATGGCAAAATAAAATTAATATTAAGTTTTTGTGCCTTGCTTTCCTCACTTTCTGGGGTTATTTCCTATCATCATGGTCCAGGATCTTCGAAAGACCTTCAAGAAAAAAATTTTTTCATCAGCGACTGCAACAAATGAATCACACGGACAATTTGCTACAATGGGCTTTTTTTTTTTTGTTTTTTCTTTTTGTAGGAAGGCAAGAAATTCTGAGTGGGGAAGCTCAGACTTCACCAACCTCATGGTCCTGAAATTACTCATCCGGACACGAAACAAAATTGAAAAATCAGAGAGATCTATTTTGAAAGAAAAAAGAATGGTTGATGGCCTGAGAACCAAGTAAGTACTCATTTTGCTTTTGTGCTATTGGATGAAGATACTTGGATCAAAAGAGGACTTGGAAATGTCAAGGAATTGACAGGCAGGGCTAAAAGACTCAGGCAAAGTGTTTATCATACCAAAAAAAAAAAAAAAAAAAGCATGCATCTGGAGTGTCAGCGGTAGCACTCAGACCGGAAAGCCCCACATCTCCCCTCTTGCCATAACAAACTCATTGACAAGAACTGTCATTGACTGTGCTTTATCTCCCATGTGCTACTGTGAGGACGCATTCCAAGTGCATCCTACGTAAATTGAGGTTTGCTTCCTGACCTGGGAGATCAATTCACTGTCAAAGAGAGCTGGCTGATGAATCACCTTGTGGCTGCCACTGCATTGAAAATCACATCAAATACCTTCTCAAACACACTTCTGAATTACATGCTGGAATCTCCAAAGAGAAGGTTATAGATGAATCTGGAACAATGTGTATTTATCTATGTAGCTCACCAACGTGCATATCTCACAAAGCCAATGAAATGAGGCAGGTGCTCAGTGGTTTGGGTTGTTTTTGCAGTAGAGTGTCGGGGTTAATAGCATGGATCTTGGAGCCTGGTGGTTGGGTGTGAAGCCTGGATCTACCACTCACCAGCTCTGACTTTGGGCAAATTATTCAGTCTCTCTCTCAATAAGTTTGAAAACTCTGATTTACTTTTCTTGGCTACAAAATAAGGATGATTATCATGGTACCTTCTTCCCTCAAAGAAAGGGTTGTGTCTTAAGCTGGTTCCCTCAGGGGAACACCCGGAGACATAGATTTAAGAGCAATTAGTTAATTGGGAGGTGAAGGTAGACGAGTAGTAAAGGAAGACTGGAAAGAGCAAGTTACCGCTGCAGGTGACTTGAGCTTAACCCCCTGGGGAGCTCTGGAGACTGTAAAACACACAACTCAGGGTAAAACGTGTAATCCAGGGGTGAAGGAGGTGGGGTATTTATACACCAACTCCAAGCCAGCCTTAATTGAGGACTGCTTTCGTGTGCAAGTGCATGAATGTACATGTGCCATGTGAGTGCATATGCCCAGTGGGGGTGTTAGTTCCCTGACACTTTTGGCCTGCCATTCAGGCTGCAACGTGGGCTCTGTCAGGAAGAGAAAGGTCTCAGGCAGAGCAATGCATGAGCTGGCAGCTGGACATCAGGCAGTGTGTGCTGAAGTAGTGAGGATGAAGTGTGTGTGCAGGGCTACAGCCTGTTGCGAAGATTAAATGAGTTAATTATTGTGAAACCCTTGGAAGAGTCCCTGGCACAAAGCAAGCACTCCTTAAAGAGCTTGATTAAAACTGAGGCTAGATTGCTGTTCTTTGGGATGACTTATCTTAGGATGGATTTTAGTTTTGTTTTTCACTTTTTTCTTTGAGATGATGAACTGTTATTAGGACCTTGGTACCATACTGGTGGCCAAATGCACTACAGGTTTTCTTGAAGATGATGGTGTAAATGTAAAGAGGGTTTACTGATGGAGCTGTCTCAATCAGAGGGCATATCATCATGTCATGGCCTTTGTGACAAATATCTACCTGTTAGGAAAGCCGACACATGACCAGCACCTCACTCAATACTGGAGATCACAACCTATGTTATGCTGTAGTAACAAGCCTGGAATCTTAGGGGCTTAACAAGAATTAGCACCAGCCTAAGCTATTCTCTCCACCCAACCTGTACTGTGAACTCATTGAAGACAGGGGCCAGGCTGGATAAAATGGACACACCACTGTATCCTTAGCACCTAGAACAGGACGCAGTGCAGAGAGGGGCCAGTGGTAAGTGAATGAATGAATAAATCAACAAACGAACCCCATAAGCATCATGCTCGCCGCTTCTTCATCTGAAAATTGGCTTCCTCCCATTGAACGTATACTTAGCTCAGATGCTGCTGCCTTCTTGAAGCTCTCTGGAGTCTGAAATAATCTCTCTCCCCTAACTTCTTGAACACCTTGTGTCTGTCTGTGGTGGACCACAGTTTCACATTCTGCCATGCCCTATGTAACTAGTGTCCATGTCAGCCCGTACTCATCCCACTCTTCTCTCAAATCCCACTGCGGGCTTCCAATGAGAGTATCAACATTAGGATACTCTCTATGTCCTGACCTGGCCTGTGAGACTCTGTGTGCTCTAGGCCTCGAGTCTCCCCCTGGGATCTCACCTACCACTTTCTCCTCTCCTGCTGTACTTTGGCCACAGTGGCCTCAGCTGTTCCTTGCACATGTCATGCATGGTCCTGCCTCAGGCCTTTTTCACCAGCCCTTCCCTATGACTGGAATCCACTCTTTGCCTCCAAATCACTTGCTCAGTTGATTCATATCACTGCTCAAATGCCATCCCCTCAGAAAAGCCTTCCCTGACCTCTATATCTTTTTTTTTTTTTGAGGTGGAGTCTTGCTCTGTTGCGCAGGCTGGAGTGCAGTGGTACAATCTTGGCTCACTGCAACCTCCACCTCCCAGGTGCAAGCAATTCTTCTGCCTCAGCCTCCCGAGTAGCTGGGATTACAGGCAAGCGCTGCTATGCCCAGCTAGTTTTTGTATTTTTAGCAGAGACAGGGTTTCACCATATTGGCCAGGCTGGTCTTGAACTCCTGACCTTAGGTGATCCGCCCGCCTCGGCCTCCCAAAGTGCTAGGATTACAGGTGTGAGCCACCGCACTGGGCCCCTGACCACTATATCTTAAAACACACACACCACCACATCCATCTGCTTTCTATTTTTCCATATCGCACATTTATTTGATTGTCCTGCCTGCTCCCTGCACCTACAATAAAGCAAACTCTACAAAGACAAAGACCTCATTTTATTTAGTGTGGTATCTCCAGCTCCCACGGCAGTGACTGGCACTTAATAGGAGCACAGTAAATATTTGTTAAGTAAATAACATTTGTAAAATAAGTGCATAAGGATTACTGTCCCATTTTAGTAATGGGGTGACTGAATCTTATAGACTCAGAGAAAACTGCACAAAGGTACATTGTTATTTACTTATCTCTCATTTACAGTACATGTACTCTGTACGGACATGTCTTAGTTATTCTGGCTGCTATAACAAAGCACCAGAGACTGAATGGCTTAGAAATAACAGAAATTTATTTGTCACATTTATGTAGGCTGGAAGACCAGTGTCCCAGCATGGTTGGCTTCTGGTGAGGGCCCTCTTCCGGGTTGCAGATTGCTAACTTCTTGCATCTTCACATGGTGGAAAGAGACCTCGCTAGCTTTTTGATCTCTTCTCATAAAGGCACTAATCCCATTCAAGAGGACTCCACCCTCATGACTGAATTACCTCCTCCAAACCCCAGTGCCAAATAGCATCATAATTGGATTAGGGTTTCAACATATGAATTTTGAGGGGCACGAACGTTCATCAGTCTATTATAAGGCACTCCACTTTAATCTTTATAACAGTACATTTTTTACATATAGGAAAACGGAGGCACAAAAAGGTTATGTAACTTGTCCAAGGTCACACAGCCAGGGAATGGCAAAGTGGTGATTTGAACCAGATAGTCTTCCTCTTAACCTCTGTGCTGCACTCTAGGAGATGGAGTCCAGAAGGAACTCACTGTGGGTCGCTGGAGGAACCAAGAGAACAAATTGGAAAGCGCTTTGTCAACTGTCCCAACGTTGACTGAAAATGTCTCATATGAGAAACATACATGGAATCCCTACCACTTGAGCCTGGATAAAAGCTAGGCATGCATGTCAGGAGTGATGTTGGAGGTAAGGCAATTACTCCATAAGGGAAGCCATCGGGCCCACACAGGGCTTAGGCGTGTTTGTGAGGTGGTTTCATCACTGCATCTGCAGAGAAGGTTCATACAGAGAGGCTCCAGGTCTGACTTGCCATGTCAGTGAAAGTGGACAATGTCTCTGCTTCCAGAATATTCTGACATCATTCTCCAGATAGACCCATCAGTGGGCTACCGTCTGAGCAAGGCATCCTTGCTCTGGCAAACTCCCTGAAGGCAGAGCCTGTGTCTCCGCAGTACCTCACATGGGGCCACAGGTGGAGGTGAAAGGCTCCATAAACGGGGGTGGCCTTTGTTCTGCCCAAAAGCAGACATTCAGGTAAAAACATACTCATGTCAGACATGGCTCATGTCACCTTTTACCAGTCTCTCCCCATGTTGATCTGCCCTACATGGTGGCTGTCTTCCTAACTCAAAATATGATCAAAGCCCTTACGTGCTTATAAACTTTCCCTGGATTTTCATTGTCCACAGAAAAAATTTCAATAGAATCTATACTTTTAAAAAAGCCCTATGGAACTATAGAATGTAGCACACTTGACAGAGGTCCAGAGACCATCTATTGTATTCCCTATACCTTCCCCGCCCCCGAACCTACTAATTTTAGAGTCCTGATAGGGGAAAGTGAATAAGGCAAGGATGTAGCAGATCGGCGGTGGAGCCAGGCCTGGAACCCAGGACTATAAGCGCCCAGTCCAGTGGTCCATCCTCTGTGAGCACTGCAGGTTACAAACATGTAACTGCAAAGTCACAGAGAGCAGCTTTCTGTTTGAAGGCGGCTGAATTCTCCCTTTATCCTGTCATGGTAACCATTTTCATAAGTTTTATCCCCCCCTTGGCCTCTGATCTACAGACTAGATAATTAATCAGGCCCTTGAATAATTAAAACTACTAAAAATGCCTTTGTACCTGCTAAAATTGCTCCAGTAATTACTGCCTTGTCAAGAGACTGATTCCGTTGACTGGAATGCTTTTCCAACAGATAGAAAGTATTTCCATTTGAGGCTTCATGGATTCAGAAGTTGAGAAAGAAGTGTTTGTTATGTTAGCGAGTCCCTTTGAAGATGAATAGCACCAACTCTTAACTCTGCCATCTCCATAGAACCTCCTCTCATTCTAAGGAATAGATAAAGCGTATCTCTTTCTTTGCTTTCAGAGCCTGTTGGAAAATGTGATGATTAATTAAAATATTAAATTGACTTATTGGAACCAGATTCTGCACTTGGGCCTTTCTGAGCCTGGCTTCCAAATTCAACATCCACTTTTCAATAAGTAAACGCCTGTGGGATCAAAGTGAATGGCAGCACTTGCTTTTCTCAAGTTACCACCTGGTCCTTCTTGACTCAGCTGACATCAGGTGTTGGGCCCTAAGATATAAGGTTCTGTTCCTGGGGCTCTGCCATTTCTTTGTTATATCTTCCAATGAATGGTATTTAAAAAAACAGTTCTAGGTGCCAAAGGCTGACAACTTCAAGCTGGATTCAGGGTGCTTTACAGAAATCTGGTGGACATTTCTAGGAAATACAATGCAGTTGAAAGGTTATGAGTTCTTTGAGGCATAGTTTTATTTCCAGCATAGAAGAGTCCCGCAAATTTATCACTCTTCTACTTTCTTCTCCATGAAATGGGGATTGTAATGCATGCTTTCAGAACTGGAAACAATTAGTGAGATAATGATATAGCATCCAGTAGGTGATTGATATGGTTTGGGTCTGTGTCCCCACCCAAATCTCATGTTCAATTGTAATCCCCAATGTTGGACATGGGGCATGGTGAGAGGTGATTGGATCATTGGGGTGGATCCTTCATGGATGGTTTAGCACCACCCTTTTGGTGTTGTTCTGATGATAGCATTCTCACGAGATCTGGGTGTTTAAAAGTGTGTAGTACCTCCCCACTCTCTTTCCTGCTCCAGCCATGTAAGACGAGCTGGCTTCCCCTCCACTTTCTGCCATGATTGTAAGTTTCCTGAGGACTCCTCAGAAGCCAAGCAAATGGCCAGCATCATGCTCCCTGTACAGCCTGTGGAACCGTAAGCCAATTAAACCCCTTTTCTTTATAAATTACCCAGTCTCAGGTATTTCTTTATAGCAGTGTGAGAACGGCCTAATACAGCAATCATATGTGTTCAGGGACATTCATGGGGGATTTCCTCTAACCTCCTGCCAGCTGCAAGGGGATCAGATCCTGCTGTGGGACTTAGTGGATTGATGGCTTCTAGTTATGAGTTTGCTAAAGACAATCTTAGTCACTGTCATTTAAATAAGAGATGGTTTATTACCAAAATACTTTTATGGTTGAAACACCAAACTCATCAGCTAAAGCTAATAACTGAAACTGTGGCTCAGCATTTGATGTGGGCTTCCTTAAACCCTTCCTTGTTTGTATTAACTACATAGTTTTCAGGAAGTCTGCGTCTTCCTTAACTGGTCTCCTTCCCCTCTCTCGTCCTCACATCCTGTTGTTTCTACCTCTTAAATATTTCTTGACTCCTTCTTTTTTTCTCTTTCTCTTTGTCTCAACAACTGATGCCCTGGTCAAGCCTCATCAACTCTCAGTTGGTTTCCGGTGCCAAGGTTTAACAATTAAATAAAAGAAGCTTACTTTTGGGCTTGGGCACAGCGTGTGTTAGGTGGCGGCACATATTGGTGAAATGTAGTACTGCAATCCAGCTCTATAGGCATATATTAATAATATACACTCAGGAAAGAGGAGGGGCAGGAAAGCAGTGTTCTTGGAGCTGTGAGTGTAGAAACAGGACAATTTAGAAACTTCTATAACAGTGTACAGCATGCTCTGTTGTAATTATCTGTCTTGTGTTTGTCTTCTCATTAGAAAGTAAGCTCCTTAAAGCAATGAGAGTATCTATTTTCTTCACTAATTTATATCTAGTACATAGTCTGACTTTGGCACATGACAGATGATCAAACTATATATGTTAAGATAAGTATGGGTAACATTCTCATCAGTTGCAAGAATTCCATCAGAGGTAAAGTTTGCTTAACTGTGGGAGGGACTAAACTAGCTACAGTTGAAGCAGACCAGCTGGGGTGGGGTGTTCCAGACATAACCTAGTAGCCAACTACAGAATAAGGTCAGTAGTCACTACAAGGAGGCCTGGTAGGAGGTAGAAATGCCAAACCAAAACTAGTGCTCTGTGCCAGGAAACGAGCCCTGGAATACCAGTGAAAGCAAGTCTCCCATCTTGGAGGGCTTGGCATTACGGCACAATATTAAGCAGGGGCTCAGACACAAGGGTATAAGGTGGGATCCTATTTTTAGATCTAGAGAACAAAAAAAGAGCTTGGTCAGAAGGGTCAAGACAAAAGTGTTGTCTTCAGAGCCAGAGTCAAGGCCTTCATGGAGCCAGCAATTAGAGTGATTTGATAGCAAGTCACCAATACTACTCAATCAGGTCTCTTAAATCTTTTATGACCAAGGACAGGAATGATCATAGCATCTAGGAAGGAATGACAATGCAGGTATAATCAAATAGGAACAGATTGTTTCAGACAGGGGGATATTCATATGAGTGTATAAAGGAGACATTATTTTATAGGTTAAGAACATACATACTCTGACTCAGAATGTTAGCCATTGGTATTGTTCACCAATATTTTTTACTTCCCCCTTTCAGGCATCTGATAGGATTATGCTTTCCTGCCACCTGGAAACTAGGTGTGCCCATGTGACTGGTTTGACCAACAAAATGTGAGCAAATGCATTTAAAAGCAGATGCACAGTTCTACAACTTCCTCTTCTTCTGCCTGTGCAAGTGAGGATGCATCTATTGATTGGGAGGTGTGGTGCAGTCATGGAATGCTCCCTTGAAAAATTGTGCAAACCATGGCAGACTTTACATGATAAGAGAGCAATTTTGTTGTTTTAAACCAATGAATAAAAAAAAGAACACATACTCTGAAGTCAGACAATCTAAAGGATGAATTCCAGCTCAACCAGCTCTGTGACTTTGGGATGTTAGATTGCTGCTGTGAGCCTTGGTTTTCACATCTGAAATATGGGTCTATTGCACATACCTGTTGTCAAGATAGTATGCCAGTAGATGCTTTATGCAGTGTGTGGCATATGGCACATGATCAATAAATGGTAGTTTTTATTACAGCCATCATTTTCCAGCTGGGCAAATATGTTGACTGGTATGAGGGAGAGGAGGAAGGGTGGCAGTAGTTGGTGATTCCAAGAACATCAAGTACTATCCAGTTTCTTTCACTGTCCTCTATTAACATTTTTGGTTGTTTGAGGCTAGTGTCCAGCATTGTTTTGATGGGCAGCTGCCCCTGGTACAAAGCTCAGAAGAATCACTGCTTTGAGTACTTTTCTTATAGACCCAGTCAGGATAGTTCAGGTTACACTGCTGTAATACACAACCCGCAAATTGCGGTGGCTTAAAACACAAAGGCTTGTTTATGGCACACACTACATGCCCATTATGGACCGGTAGGAAGCTCTGCTCCATGTCTTCTCATTCTGGGACTGAGGCTGCTGGAACAGCCACTATCTACAACATTGCCAATCGCTGTATCAAAAGCAAAGAGAAGATGGCATATTACTGCTTAAAAGGCTTCCACCTAGAAGCAACATGGATCACTTCTGCTCACATTTTCTTGGCAAAAGCAAGTCACCTTGTCACACTTAATTCTAAGGAGATAGAAAAATGTCATCCTACTCTGTCTCTGGAAGGAAAATTAGAAATATTCAGTGAACGGGACTAATGACCATTGCACTCTTAAAACTTTCCGACTTAGTCCACTGAGAGAATAGTCCTACTCTAATTTGGGGGTATCTCTTGTTTTTCTGCACCCTTCCCCCTGACTCTCAGATCAAATCTAGCCTCTCTGCCAACAGGGATGAGCACATGACTCAAGTTAAACAAGTCATAGTATTTCATTACTCAACCACAGTCATTGGTTCAAGGGATGGGCATGTGACCAATCAGGATTCTTCAAATTGGTGCTGGGAGAAAAGCTTCCTGTTTTCTCTGAACATGGAATTAGGAGGATATGAGCACACCCTCAGTCATGCTCTCTGCCATTGGCAAACAGTGCTGGGAGAAGAATGCTGAAGAACTGAGAGAAAGGAGGTAGAGGCAGAGTCCTCGTGAAGGTTGACTGGCATCTAAGGCTGGCCATACACTTCCCTTCCCATCCGGGCTGGTCCTGAGCCTTTTTGCCTTCAGATTCATGCCTTGCCTTTCCTTTCCTTGCTCTGCTCTGTAATCAGAGAGGCTGATCCCTGGTGGCTTCATTTTCCCAGACTCTTGTTTCAGCTGGCTTCCAGTGGTTTGGCCAATGGAAGATGCTGATTGGATGCTGGAGGCAGGGGAAAAGGAGAAGCAAGGGAATTTCTCCTCCTCTTTCTCTGCGTTAGGCAATTTCTCCAGCAGCAAAGGAGTATCCTCCTTGGCCTCAGCTTCCCCTGAACACATCTGTCAGCGTTCCAGCTTCCATGCATTCATGTACTCCTAGGCTTCCAGCACCTGTATCCATCCATCTTCGGCCTGGCAGTAGCTTCTTGCGCTCGTGTATTTGTGCGTTACCTTCCTCTCCCTTCCTGGTCTCCCAGCTCTCTCATCATCTGTGTAGCCAGTTTCCTGCATTAAATCCCCTCTGTTGCAAATACTTGAAGCAGTTTCTGTTTTCCAAGTTAGACCTTGACTGTTCAACCACTGTTTGATTAGGGAAGCCACTGTGTTTCCTCTTTGGCTCAGGTGAATTGGAGATAGGTCTCTGTCACTTACAACTGAGAGTTTGGACTAATGCAGCAGTCAACAGGAGAATAAGTACCCATCACCTCCCAAATATTTACCCGATGCTAGGCACTGTGCTCAGCACTTTGTTCTCATTATAGAATCCGTGAGGTAGAAATTATGACGACCATTTTATAGATGAGACGCAGAGACACAGACAGGTAAGTAATTTTCTCTCAATCACGTTTATTTTCTTTAAGCAAAAATTCACTTAGAACCCGCTGCTCCATGAAACAAAGGATTCCCACAGGTATGTCAAGGCTCAGCAGTGGCAAGACAAGAAAGGAGGTGAGGAATGACAAAAGACAAGTCTATATGCTATTTCGTGACCTGGCCTAGAATCTTAACACGCTTCTCCTGGGCAGGAGTGTAATGAGTAAAGGGAGCTCCATGTAAATGAGCTACAGGCATCCCTAGTAACTGTGATTCAAGTCAAGTTCTTGCCGCTAATTGCACACACATTTTGCTAAAGGTAGTAAATAGGAATCATTCACGTGACCTTAGAGACCGCGGCACCATTCAGTATTCATAGCAAATATATCACTGAGCTTCATAAGAGAATCATTTTAAAACAAAGCTTGGTCAGCTGTTTAATAATTTACTGATAGTGACAGCAGGGAGAATATCTAATAACCAGTGAGATTGGCTTTCAAATAGAAAATAAATTCATGTTAGAAGAGAGGGGGAAAGAAAGGGAAGCGGGGGAAAGCATGATTAGCAGCGAGGAAATTTTTAACATTTGTCAGTTGCTGATTTTTTTTTTTGGAATCCTAGCAGAGTGGAGAAACCTGATTATTAAGAGGTTGCATTTCATTTTAAAACATTAACGGGCCTTTAATGCTCTTCTCACAGGAAACAGGAATTATACAGAGAGCGCACCTGACACAGGGTGTTGACCCCAACTGGGCCCTGGGTGGCATCAATCTTGGTTAATCTGGGGACTTTTTGGGGGCCATATGATCTCTTCTCATATTTCAGCTGTTCCTGAGGGAGTGAGGTTAAGGCCTGAAAGACTAGAAAAACAAAGCCTCAAAGAAATAAAATCAACTCAAACTACAACTGTATATTCTCCCGCTCTGGGAAGAAACTGGCCCAGAACTTATTACAAGGGATTTGGCCTCTGGGTAAACCGAACCGTATTTATTTTTGTTTACTGGCAAAGCTCTATTGAAATGTCTTGGAGATGAAGAGTTTTGAGATGGACAGGCTCGAAGTTCACAGCTGATTCTCATATTCCTGGCCCATGATTGGGAGACACAATTACAGGAATTTTAAAAAGTCCAGGAGCTGTCAGGAGGAAAACAAAACCTAAAACCCGTAACAATCCCGAATCAGCAAAACTCCTTGTGCCTCAGTTTTCTCACCTGTAAATAGGACTAGTAAGAGAGGTGAAGGGTGGGTAATGCATGTAAGGCTTTTAGTTGCATACGTGGCTCAGAAAATGCAAGTTCAAACATTGCAGAGGCGGAAGCAAAACCAGTGAAACATCCCCAAGGTTTTCAATCCTTAAGCTTCAGTGGCAGACGGTGATGTACAGTGTATTTATGGGTAAAAGAACATCTGGAGCCCCCCCTCCTCCATCCCAGTCCTTTACACCCCTCCCCAGCACACAGGGCACACTCTGTCCTCAAACCAGTCCCTAAGTTTGCCACTCTGGAGACAGGCTTCCAGATAAGACAGATGATTTCCGTGTTCCCAGATGGTATTTTCTATGGTTTTACATTCCAAGTTGGTACCCTCGATCCTTCACGTTGATTTCAACAAACTCACTTTCACCTTGTCTTGAGTTAGTAGCATTTTTCAAGCTTAGAGAAACAATGATTTATCAACGTTTTATTTGATGTGAGAATGGCTTGAAGAAAGGTGTGCTGTCTGGCCCGTCACACCAAGGAACAATCTCTGTGCGTTCTAGAGTCCTTTGCCATTTGTCACGCCAAGGAACAATCTCAGTGCGTTCTGGAGTCCTCTGCCATCATCCCAGCTCTGTTTCACGAAGGGGAGAAGGAGATTCTGGGGGCTGAAGTTCACTGTTATCATTTGGGGTGAAATGTATTTCTGTGTTGTATAATAAAACGCTTTGTAAACAGATGCTGTTTTCTGAAACGTATGGTAATAGTACCAGCCCCATGATAGAGAGACACAATTCCAGGAATTTTAAAAAGTCCAGGAGCTGTGGAGAAGAAAACAAAACTTAAAACCAAATCAGTCCCAAATCAACAAACCTCCTTGTGCCTCAGTTTCTTCTCCTGTAAGTGGGGAATAATAAGAGAGTTGTGGGGTGGATAATGCACATAGGCTTTTAGTTGCATGCATGGCTCAGAGTAAGTACAGTTCAGTTTCACTAGATTGGCGATAGACTAACTGGCTGGTTGAAAACATTTTGAGGGTAACATGCTTTGGTACAGAGGAGGAGGTTGTATAAAAATCACAGGGTTAGGCCATGCACGGTGGCTCACACCTGTAATCCCAGCACTTTGGGAGGCTGAGGCGGGTGGATCCCTTGAGGCCAGGAGCTTGAGACCAGCCTGGCCAACATGGCAAAGCCTCTTCTCTACTAAAAGTACAAAAACTAGCCGGGCATCATGGTACGTACCTGTAATCCCAGCTACTCGGGAAACTGAAGCACGAGAATCGCTTGAACCCAGGGGGAGGAGGTTGTAGTGAGCCAAGATCGCACCACTGCACTCCAGCCTAGGCGACAGAGCCAGACCCTGTCTCAACAACAACAAAAATCACAGGGTCTATCTGGGTATGGGGGGTTAGAACAAGCATCAGATGGAGAGGACGAGGCCATATGGAAAGAGCAGGCCCCAGGTGACTGGTTAAGTCTCTAGACCACTTATTTAAGGGATTTATTTATTTTTTTTTTTTTTGAGACGGAGTCTCGCTCTGTCGCCCAGGCTGGAGTGCAGTGGCGCGATCTCGGCTCACTGCAAGCTCCACCTCTCAGGTTCACGCCATTCTCCGGCCTCACCCTCCCAAGTAGCTGGGACTACAGGCACCTGCCACCGCCCGGCTAAGTTTTTTTGTAGTTTTAGTAGAGACGGGGTTTCACCGTGGTCTCCATCTCCTGACCTCATGATCCACCCACCTCGGCCTTCCAAAGTGCTGGGATTACAGGCATGAGCCACCGCGCCCAGCCTATTTAAGGGATTTTTAAGAGAGCTAGACCAGTGCCACCAGACTGCCCGAGATTATTTGGAGAATATTCCCCTTCCCCACTCCATTCAGTCTTCATGGAGCTGTCATTTATGGCTGTCATCCTCAATACAGAGAGGTGGACAAAAGACCTAGGCTGGGCAATTATGGTGACACCCCTTCCCCTTGCCAATATCCCTGGCCAAATTGATTCATTTAGGAAATAGGATGTGAACCAAATCACCCAATAAATAGCTTTACTGGGTTTTTGTGGACAGTGTGGTGGGGTGTTCAGAAGGTCTCATTTTATACTGAAGGTGGTAAGCTGTGAGACCTGTGTATGGAGCTGTCATTGGCCGGTTTCTTTGACTACCCATAGAGAGAAGCCCAGCTGAGATACAGAGACAGACAGATAGGGAGAGAGAGGAGGCCCGATGCCATCATTCGAGTACCTAGATCCAGCTTTGCCTGAAGGTGCTCATGAAGTGCTCAGCTAAGTAAGCCACTGCGTTCCTCTTTTCACTTAAGCTTGTTTGAGTTTGGTGTCTGTCTGTCATTCATAAGAAAAAGAGTCTTGCCTAAAATACAAGGAGTGTATGTGTTCCCCACTCAGTATTTATCCTTTAAGCCCTTATAGGTGTCTGAGACACAGAATGGGCAAGATACAGACCTGGCTTGGCAGCCCTGGAGTTGTGCCTGGAGGCTCTCAACTTTCCTTGTCCCTGACACTGCATCAGCCATTCAAACACTCTTGCGTGCCTGAGAATCACCTGGGGTGCCTGTTAGAAATGCAAATTCCTGAGCCTCAACCTCCAGAGATGCTGATTCAGCTCCACACATAATTAACAAACAGCCCAGTTCTGGTGCAGGTGCAGTCCCGGGCCCCACATTGAGAAGTATGTCCGCCACTTGCCCAGCACACCCTCTTCAGTAGAATGGGTCCCATGTGCAGGGATCCCCTAAGGTGAGCAAGTGGGGGGGCATCTTTAGGAAAGTATATTAGGTTATAAGGGCGGGTGGGTAGAGCTCTGTGTAGCTGTTCCCCCAGAAACTTCTTAGATGATTTATATTTCACCTGCCTAGGGGTAGGGAGAACTCTAAGGAGTCCTTGTAGTGCTCTTGATAGAAATAATTGGGGAAGATTTAAAAATACTGTTGCTTGGGGCCTACTCAAATAAATCAGTGGCTGAGGGTGGGGTCCCAGGTGATTCTCATACGCAGCGGGGTTGAGAACCACTGCAGCAGAAATCCAGGAACAAACGGGCTCTGGGGTCTCTCCTGAAGGTCCTCTTGCCAGCCCAAATTTTCTTTGTACATCATTGCAGGGATGAAGTGTAGTGAGCAGAATTCTGTTACTATCAGGGAGTGGTTGTTATGGAAGATCTCTAGGTGCTTATCAAAATATAATAAATCAATGAAAATAACAATTACATGCCATAACACAAAGTAGCAAACCTAAGTAAATAATATTAATAAGAGAGGGCTATGCAGGAAAACATCATGAAAGTATATTAAGAACCAAGAATTCTAATTAAGCCAACTCTGTAAACCAGAGGTCTGAAGAAAGTTTGCAGAAGTTTCTATAAACATGAGGCGTTCTTTATCATTTCTGCTTCAAGTCTCTTGGTGCCTTTTTTTCTCAGAGGTTGGCATCTGCTGTTCCTTGGACTCAGGACTCACTAGAAGAGGCTCAGTGCCATGGGCAGACAGGCCACTAAAGCCTCTGGGGACTTTACCGTGGTTTCTTCCTGCCGTGGACAGCCCTGTTACTACTTTGAGCCCCCAGGCCAGGTGCCTCTGGCAATCTGACCAGAGGACAGGTTCTGCGTTGGCGTGGACAGAACCACCAAGTTACGACCTTTTGTGAGATTCAGTCTGATAAAAAGGACACATTTCCAGGCTCTTCCCTGAAGCATTGGGCTTATCAGTCTGGGGTACGTGAGTTATTAACAAGAGTTCCTGGTGGTTCTCAGGACCAGACACAGTGGGGAAGCACCACCCCATCATCTCATCCTGCACACCCGAGAGCCTTGCTGGGGTCTTGCTCATGAGTTGGTTTCCCCATAGATCTCAATAAATGGGTCACTGTCCCTTCTGTTTGATAACAGCTCATGCAGAATGTATATGGCCCTGGCAGGCAAATTTGGCCCTAGTCTTAACCCGTATGTATTGAGTGCTTGCTGTATACCATGCTGGGTTGGCTTTGGGGACGTGAGGGTGCGTAAGACAGTACTGGCATCCCTCAATGCTGTCACCCTGGTGGAGAAGGCAGATCTGCAGATGGTTCCAATAAGGATGGAATTCACTAATTCTTCATCCAGCCCACTACAGTCTAGCCCACAGATACTGCGCAAAGCTGAGCTTTGAAGGATAAGGATAAGGATGCCTGGATAAGGAAGGATGCTGCTTTTGAATTTGGCATTCCAGAGAGAAAAAACTACATGGGCCGAGGCCCAGAGGGAGGTAATGGACAGTTGTCATGTGCGGCTTGGAGCACAGGGTAAATGGAGCATGGAGGAAATGAAATGAGAACAGAGAGCGTTGCACTTAGGTCTCAGCTTTGCCTCTTTGAACTTGCAGACTCTTTCAGATCTCTGAGTACTTGCCCAGGCTGTTCCAGCCACCTGGAATGCCCTTCTTTTCTTCTCTACCTGGGAAGACTTCCCTTTGGTGAGGGGTGGTCTAAGGTGAGTTACGGAGGGTATGGGCTTAGAAAGGCAGGCTGGGCTGAGCATGGTGGTCACACCTGTAATCCCAGCACTTTCGGACGCTGAGGTAGGGAGATTGCTTGGGGCCAGGAGTTCAAGACTAGCCTGGGCAACATGGCAAAACCCCATCTCTACTAAAAATACAAAAATTAGCCAGGCGTGGTGGCACACACCTATAATCCCAGCTACTTGGGAGGGTGAGGCATGAGAATTGCTTGAACCCAGGAGGTGGAGGTTGCAATGAGCTGAGATCGCACCACTGCACTCCAGCCTGGGTGAAAGAAAGAGAAGACTCTGTCTCCAAACAAACAAAAAAGGCAGGCTGGGCCCAGCCAGTGGAGAGTCTTGTTGGTTATGGTAAGGATTGTGGACTTCATGCTGAGGGCAGTGGCGGCATTAGTGAAGGGTTTTAAGCTGGTGAGCAACAGGTTGTGGAGTGACTGTCTTCTTCAACAACCACTCTGGCTGCTGTGTGTGGGGAGGGGTTGGGAGGGACAAGACTTCAGGCAGTAAGAAGCTAAGTCAGAGCTAAGGTTGCTGCGGGGAGGTGGGGAGAAGCAACAGGTTCACAAACATTCTGGAATCTGAGTTGGGAGTCAGGGACCAGGAGAAGGGCCGAAGCCCTTTTTATTTTATTTTTTTTTGAGATGGAGTCTTGCTCTGCCACCAGGCTGGAGTGCAGTGGTGCGATCTCGGCTCACTGCAACCTCCGACTCCCTGGTTCAAGCAATTCTCTTGCCTCAGCCTCCTGAGTAGCTGGGATTACAGGCATGCGTCACCACACCCAGCTAATTTTTGGATTTTTAGTAGAGACGGGGTTTCACCATGTTGGCCAGGATGGTCTAGATCTCCTGACCTCAGGTGATCCACCCACCTCGGCCTCCTAAAGTGCTGGGATTACAGGCATGAGCCACCGCACCTGGCCAGGGCTGAAGGTCTTGCGGGGACCTCAGTGCTCTGAAAAGGCATGTGCTCAATTCCAGGGCACCAAGCTGTTACACGAATGGTGGCTTTTTGCTTGCTTCATCAGAGAAACCACTTTGCTGGAAGCAAGAAGTAAAGCCTGGGGCCATATCTCAATCATGTTTGACATCCATTATTCAACCCCTGACACTAACACCACCCTGTCCCCAGTGTGCTTGGGTGACCTCTCAGTGTGGGCGGACTGTGGCCTCCTTGCAGATGGGATCACTTTATCTTAACATCCCCACTGCCCAGCAATGAGGCCAGGTGTCAGTCAGAAGTGAAAACACCTGTGATGGGTACTTGCCACCCATCACTTAGCTTTTTAAAAAAATTACCAGAAACAGCTGTTTGGCAGATGCCACTCGGGTGAGATGCAGTGCTGGCATTAAATCCAGGACACCTCAGACATTGAGGTCTACTTGGCAACAATCTGGACCACGTGTTGGTATTTTGGCCCAGGGAAGAAGCAGCTGGCCTTCCGTGCCATGTTGCTGTCCAGGTGTCTATGACAGTTGGTCTAGAGTCAAGGCTGGGGTGATCTGGTGAATTTAAGACTTGGAAGTGGGAAGAAAGGAAGGGAAATGGGCTACGGAGTGGGCCAGCCCTGTACTAGGCGTGTTCACATCCATTAACTCACTTAATTCTCACTCAGCTCAGCGAGGTGGGAATAATCACCCAATTTCACAGATGGGGAAACACATTTGGAGAGGGAAAGTGATGAGTGTGTGGTCACTTGGGTGGTAAATGGAGGTGTGGAGAATGCAGGCAGGTGCAAGGCCTCCCCAGAAGAGGGATGTTATCAAAATGGAGCATGGCTGAGAAGAGGAACCAGGTGCCGTGGGCCTGAAAATCTATCAGAAGAGGAATGGGAAGGGTTTTAAGAAATTGAGTATGCTTACCTGGAGCACACCCAATCTCCAAACGAAGGTCACCTGGAAGGGCATCCCGGCTGTTACTTCCCCAGGAGGCAGATCCAACTTTGGAGGGAGAAACTATCAATCGGCAGTATCGGTAAAGCTTTAGGGAAATCTTTCTAACCACAAGGACCTCAAACTGGAAATGGATTCCGTTACAAAGTCCTGATTTTGAACGGAGTGATATTATTGGATACTACATGCTTTTTTTTAAACAGAAAAAATGGTTGGATCATGAGGTTAAACCTGAAAATACTTAAGATTTCTAAGTTGCATTTGGGTTATTTATATTTGCACATCTTGACAGACAGCATTAATGCATGTTAATATTCCTGCCATCAAAACATTACTCAAACCAGAACTACTGGCTCTGAAAGCATCTGCGGTGTGTGCACAGTCACTCTGCTAATAGAAAGGTTAACTTGTATTTTTGAATTATTGATGGTGGCTTGTTACTAATATCTTTTTCCTCAGAAAGGAGGAAATTATTAATGAAGAGATCATTGCCAATGTGTCTGACATCTATTAATGGTTTCATCTTGCAACCAGATTAAAAGAGACAGCTGGTCCATGAATTTATGTGTGGAGGCAGCTCCAAATGTGCTGACAACTCCGTGGGAGGGCGGGGCCGATGGCAGTGGGGCCTGAGCATGGCGCCGGGGGCTGGTACAGGGTCCTCCCCTGGTTGGCACAGCCTCCGTGGAACGGCTGTCAAAGGTTTTGCTGCTGAGGGACCAGGCAGCAGATGGGCTATCACTCTCTTGGCATCTTTCCAAACTCTTCTGTTACCCACAGGAGCCCATTCGCACCCTCACCGTACCAGTCACTTGTTGGCATTTGCTCTGTGTTTTGGAACAGTGGTTTCCAACTTGAACATGCATGAGAATCACCTGGAAGGCTGGTGAAATGAGAGCCCAGGCCCCACCTCCAGCGTTTCTGATTCAGCAGGCCTGGGGTGGGACCCAAGAACTTGTATTTCTAACACGTTCCCAGGTGAGGCTGATGCTATTGGTTCAGAAACCACACTTTGAGAATGAGTTTTAGATCAATAATTGTCAAATTGTGCTGTAAGACTTCCTCTAAAGAAAGGGTTGGCAAACTTTCTATGAAGGGCAAGACAGTAAATATTTTAAGCTTTGTGGGCCAGACTATCTTTGTCACAATCACTCACCTCTGCTGCTATATTTCAGAGAGCGGCCGTAGGCAATATGTAAATGAATACAGGGGTTTGTGTTTCGATAAAACTTTATAAAAATAGGCAGTGGTCCAGATTTGGCCCATGGGTGGAGTTTGCTAACCTCTGCTCTAGAGCAGTGCTGTCCAGTAGAACTTTCTGCAAAAAGCAGACATAGGCAGTATGTAAATGAATAAGCATGGATGTGGCACAATAAAACTTTATTTATAAAAACAGGCAGTGGGCCAGATGTGGTAGAGGTTTGGTGACCTCTGTTTTAGAGCAGCACTAATAGAATTCTCCATGATGTTGGAAATGTTCTGTATCTGCACTGTCTGATACAGCAGCCACTGGCCACCTGTGGCTACTGAGTACTTGAAATGCGGTGTGGCCAAGCACTGAAATGCTAAATTTGAACTTTAAATGACTAGTGGCTATCTGTGCCACAGCAAGAAGACAGGCTCCAATGGAGCAGCCACCCCCAACACAGGAAGTGAACCTTCCCGCCCTTCCTACATGGAGAGTCTTTGCCCTTCTTGAGCTTCAGTGTCCTCATGTGTAAGATGGGGATCAAACAATAGCTACATCACTAGACTTTCCTCACTGGACTTTATTTGATACTTTAAACATAGAATACACTCTACTAGATACATGGTTTGGAAATCTAATTAGTAAGGCACGTGGCCCCAGCAGATGTCTTCCCCCTGGTGCTCTGCTCCCCACTGGAGGGCTGACCGCTGGGGGCGAGGCAGGGCTGGGGAGATGGGGACCAGCTCTGGGGTTGTTACCCCTTTCTCTTTGTCCAGTCTCCTCCACCAGATTGTAAGCTACATGATGGCAGTTACCATGTCTGTTGTTTAGGCTGCAAACCCACAGCCCTAAGATCCCTGACACACATCAAAAGGCCAGCACACTTGTTGAAAGGATGCCCCAAGTTTCAGGTTTCCCCTAAAACTGCTCGACAGAGAGATCTGTAGCTGAAATGTCTGGACACTCCTGTCTTGGTCCCTGACACAACTGAAAGGGAAGCCACTGGGCAGATATGGAAACTGACACACGGAGAGGTCTCGCCAAAGGTTTCATGGGGTTAAGGACACAGTCCAAAGATAAGAGGCCTGCTGTCTGAGCATAACTAAAAGAGTTTGTAGGGCAGAATGCCATCTCTTACAAAGCTCACCCTGCCTCCTTCCTTCAGCACTGATGCAATGCTGGGCCCAGCCCCTAGCCAAGCAAATCTTGGTCATGTCCCAGCTCCCTGGGCTGATGGGGTCAGAGGGGAAAGAGGGCTCCCTGTGCAGGAGGGTGGGAGATGATGCTGTAACTTTCCATTAGTTCCCTCCCCTGAGAAGCCAGCTAGCTGGAAGCTTTGTGTAAGGCATCTTCAGCCCTGTGCCAGCCCTCTCTCTCCACCCCCACACCCCCATCTCCTAGCAGCCCTGTGGTAAGTGTCCAGGTTCCCTTTGGCAACTCAAGTCTTGTAGAACACATGAAGAGGAGACAACATTTCCACAATGTAAAAAGCACCACCACAGTGACCTGCGCTGGGGAACATGCCTTGAGCAGGAAGGGCCCGCTGGCCAAAGTTCCAAAGGGAAGCCCTAAGGGCTAGTGTGAGTTTCCCAGGGAGATGATACAGTGCAGGGCTTCCAGGCAGAGGGACTGGCCGGTGCAAAAGCGTGGCAGTGCTGTGGGTGCCAGAGCCTGGCCGGGCAGCAGGTGGCAGCACGTGCTACTGAAGGAGAGGGGGCAGTTTCTCGGAGTAGAGGGAGGTTTAGAAAGCACAGAGGGTCACGGTTCATGACCACGGTGCACCTGGGCAGGTAAGTCCTGGTGCAGGATCAGGTCCCACTCCACCAGCTCAGTGACTACTGAATTTTTTTTTTCCCCTCGGGGCCACATGAACCCCATTCAGACCTGGGGGATTTGTCTGCAGTGATATCACATCCCTAAAGCAGGAGTGCAGGGGGGTGCCAAAGGGCGTTGCTCTGAGGATGCTGTGAGAACTGCTATTTTATAGTTTTCCAGAAAGCTTGAGAGAGGGGATGAATTGGCAGGAGCCCAAGAAAGTGGCAACAAGTTACAAGTGTGACACCAAGCTCTTTAGTGGCTTAGAAATCTCCCCACCCGGGTCATCCCCTGGGATCTGCCATGACTGGGGTCGCTTGTGGTGGTCTTGGGTCAGGCCTCTCCTCGCACACTTCCTAACTGCTCATCTGCCCAAGGCAGGGTTAGAATGAGTGAGTGATGGAGCAAACAGCTGGAAGCTCAGCTCTGAGCAGAAGGGATCTTTCCATTCCAATTGTCCCTAAGGGCTATAGCATTGTGGTATCCCCAGAGAACAGCACAGAGTAAGGCACACAATTAAATGCACCATAAATATTGGTAGAATTATTAATCTCCAAAGCAGCTTGTAAAAGGTTCAACTCCCAGGCCACCCCCGACAGGCCTGCCAAATTCCACTCTCCCCAGCAGGGGTCTGGGAAGCAGGACTTGGAGAAATCTTCCTGGTAGTTCTTTGACCAGGCAAGTGTGGGAGGCACTGGCTGGTCCAACAGGCTAGTCCAAGCACGTCAGCTTTTGAAAGTGGTCACGGTCATGGTGGTGGTGGTGGGAGTCGGGGTCCGGAGAGGGGTGGAAGAATTTGCCTGGGATTGTAAATTGGGCTTCCATGCCAGGGAACTGGGCCACTTTACCTAGTGGGGACTGGGAACTGGGGACTGACAGAGTGACGCCCTGTGTTCTCTGCCATGCCAACTTGGGTCCAGAGCCTGGGGCTCCCCACTTTTGGAAACCCTGCCATGCTTGATTTTCACAATTCACTTACAGTCTCCCCAGTCCAGTCCCTGGTACCCCAACAAGGATGGGGGTGGGGGGCTGTGCTGACACAGAAGAAGGAGGGCTTTGGCCAGGTAGCAAAGTGTTCACAAAGTGTGAATCCCTTAAGCATTTCTGGGTATCCCTGCCCCTGGCTTTTACATCTCAGACCCCCAGCCAAGACTCAGGTACCAGCTGCCTCCCAGGACAGCAGAGAGCCAGGCTGTGGGCCGTGGGCTGCCAGGGACAGCTCCAACCCTGATCTATGGTTTTAGGCTTTCAGCCCCAACCAGGTCTTTGTTAAGACCGAGAAGAAAAGGGAAAAAGCTACAAGGTTCTGTCTCCCTAGAAAAGGAAAGGGAAGGCTGCCAGGGAAAAATTGTAGGGGGTGGGGGGATGCCTCATGCCCCTTCTGCGCCCCCTTCCGCGTGGTGGTGGGGACAAGAGAGAGATGTGGGTGAAGAAGAAGGTGGGGTGGGCGGCTAATTGAGGGGGACGACGATTGTGGCGCGGTCAGCGATGCGCCCAGAAGAGTGTGAGTGGGTTGTGTGTGTGTGCGCGCGCGCGCTCTTAGATGAAATTCTCATCTCAGGGTGTGCCCGAGACCCTGGCCAGCAGCCGCCTGCCCCAGCTTTGGGCAGACGCCCCCACCCGCTTTCGCAATTCACCTGGCCCCTTATCTTGAGTTGCGAGGGCTGCTCCCTCCCTCCCTCTTCTCGCCACCGAACCCCCATTCACCTGTTCCCCACCCCGAGTTCAAACGGCTGCTGCAGCTTCCTCCTCCCCGCACCGCCCCCGTACCTGCGCCCCCACAGGGCAGACGATGCTTGGCTGCGCGGCGCGGCGCGGGGCGAAGAGGCGAGGACCCTGCCCGGCGTGTGGGTGCGGGGGTGATGTGTGGACGCGCGTGACTGTGCCAGCGGCCCGAGCTGGTCGGCCCCGGAGAGGGTGCGCGGGGGAGCCCGCGTGTGCCAGCCGCGGGCGTGTGCCAGGCGCGGGCGTGCGCGTGAGGGTGTGTGCACGGCCGAGGCGGAGCGCCCGGGCGGGCGGCGGCGGCGGCGGCGGCGGCAACGGCGGCGGCGTTAGGACTCGGGGGACACCGCCCCCCGCCCCCCGCGTCCCGCCCCCGCCCAGCCTCCCGCCTCAGTTCGCGCCGCGCCTCGGCTTGGAACGCAGGAGCGCCGGCTCCGGGAGCCCGAGCGGAGCCAGCCGCGCGCACAGCCAGCGGCCGCGCCGGCGATGCGGGGCCACCCCGCGCCCGCCCCAGTCCCGGCCCCGGCCCCCGCGGGAAGGGGCTGAGCTGCCCGCCGCCGCCCGGATGGCGAGCCTCGCCGCGCTCGCCCTCAGCCTGCTCCTGAGGCTGCAGCTGCCGCCACTGCCCGGCGCCCGGGCTCAGAGCGCCGCAGGTGAGTGCGCCCGCCCGGCTCCCCTGGGCTCCCCGCTCCCTCCTGGATGCGCGCGGGCCCCCAGCCGCGGGGCCCTCGGAGGAGAAAGTTGTGTGGGCTCGCGGGGGCGCGGGTCCCCATGGCCGGAACCCGGGTCTCAGCTTGCAGGCGCGGGAAGCAGTGTCCCCGCGCGCCCCGGCCAGCGAGCCCGGCCCCTCGCGTCCCTCGGCAGCCCGCGTTTGGCGAAGTTCCCCGCTTCAGTTTCCTGCCGGCCCCCCGGGCTGGAGTAACTTTCCGCGGTTGTTGCGAATATTTCCACTTGCTGCCTCCCACTTGTCGGAATCTGCCACTTGAGTGTTTGGGGCGGCGAGACGAGGAGCGGCACCGACGCCCGGGGTGGAGCGTTCTCTCCCGGGCAGCTCCTCGGGCAGCGCGCGCTTTTAGTGGGGAGGACAGGTCCCCAGCAGGCCGAGGCTGCCGGGGCGGCGGCTTTTCTTTTTTCCTCGGAGATACAGGAAGCTCTCCATTTGCTCTGAACACGCTGCTCCCCTAAGCAGGCCGCTGTAGGCACCCGAGGGGATGTTTGCGTTGATGACCGAGAGCAATACCTCCGCCCTACCCGCTGGCTTTTCTCCGAGGTAGCTGGGCGCCCGTGTTAAGGCCCTTGGAGGGGAGTGGATTTGACCCGTGAGCGCGTCCGCTCCTGAAAAGTTCGGGGAACTCATATTTGGGTTTGGCCACGGGAAGGCGGTGAGCAGAGGTAGTTCCCCAGAGTAGGGGGAGCGGGGGCGGGGGGGTGGTGCCTGCCGTGCTCCTAAAGGCACGTTGGCGGGTGCTGGAGGGCACCACAGTCCAGGGTCTTACACATCACCAAGCCCCACCGCAGGCAGCTTCCACCCCCGAGCCCCCCCCCCCCCAAGAGTAGCGGCGGAGGGAAGAGAAGGGAGTGCTGCAGGTGTACTTCCAAGTTCAAAATCACCTTAAAGTTTCTTAGCACCGATTGCTTTTGGTGTAACCACGCCGGCCTGAGGTGGCTGGGATTGCGGGGACAGGCTGAGATCAGCCCGTGGGACGCAGGAACAGGCTGGTTTCGGATCGCTAAGCAACAGCTGTGCCCATTTATTATTTCACCGAAAGAAGGAAAGGAAGAAAGAAAGAGCAAAAGAACGAACCTGTGGGGAGGTACAGCGTCTTTGCACAAGCTGCGTCTGAGGTTAAGGGCCGCTGGAAGGACATTCCGTTGGAAATGCTTTAGAGCCTTCCTTGCTTGGTACTAAAATGGAAGCGGAATAGGCGACTTCTGTGAAGGGACAGCCTGTTTCCCTGGCTGGGAAGTTGGGTGACGAAGACACTCCTTTTGAGGTGTGTGAAGCTGAAAGGTTGGATTAGCAAGTGAGAGAAGAGGGACAGCTACAGCACCATTCTAAAGATGGTGCACAATTCTTGTTTTCCTCATTTTGGGGGGTGTGTTAGGTGTGCTAGGGGAGGGAGGGGTACTAGGGAGGATGCCCGGGGCAGTCCTGGGGATCCAGGCATGATTCGTGACTCAGATTTTATATCCTCTAAGGCATGACCGGCCAACCACACATTAATACCACTCACGTTCCCGCGGCAGAAACAGGATCAAAAATATTCCATCACGGGTCTCGAATCGTTCTTGGGTAGCAAGCGGTAAAACCCGTACCGGCTCGGGAAGCTGTCCAGTGCTGAACGCCGCCCGTTCCGGATGCTCCCGCCAGGTGGCGCTCGCCCACAACTATTAAAATGCAAATCTGGTTGCTTTCATATCAGGAATAGAACTTCTTTTCAATTTTTAAATGAGTAATGTGTTTATTCAGCAGCCTTTTGTTAAAACATTTAGAGAAGTGTGAGGAGCGAGCACCTTTTCTTTGTTTGCTCTTTAGAATGCAGGAGAAAGAAAAGAAATCCTGGAATATGGTTTGGGAAGAAATCTGTGGTTCTTTTGGGTCTACCTGGGCAGGGTGGTTTCTGCAAACCTGCGATATAGCATATATTTAGCAAGTGGGTGCCTTTGTGCCAGGGGCTCCTTAAACGAATGGGATTAGCTTGTATTGGAGAACTGGTGCATTCTAAGCCTCACACATTTGTAGAAATGGGGATTTTCTGTATATATCTGTCCTCTCCTTTCCAGTTTAACGGCAACTAGACCATCTAAATTAGATTTTTTTTCCCCAGGGTTCCTCATGAACATCTGTATTTGTCAAAACAAGAATACTGTAAATGTTGACTTAAAAATGGACTTATCTTATTTTATTCCTAAATTCAGAAATTGTTAGTATTTCAAATCTAGTATAAATATGACAATAACTTGATTTCCTTTAAAGTATTTTATTTAAAACTTTTGGCAAGTTTGGACAAATACATTTTAAAACTAAGTAGTGTGTTTTCCATGTTCTTTTGATCTGAAAATTCCCAATCTTGAAAGCAATTTCAATTTATAAGGTTACATCCATAACATAGTTGGGCTAATATGTTTTGCTGTAACATGTTGGTCTCAGTGTCCAAAAGTCGGGGCGGAAGCTTGTCATCAAAAGGCAATTTCCTTTTTCCTTACTCTAAGACATATTTCTTGAGCCACGACGGTTTTTGGAAGGAATGATAGTAAAAATCAAACAAACAAAAAACCTTTAGAAACAGCCTCTTAACAATGTGGCAAAACATGATTTGGGATGGGGGAAGAGAGAGACAGTTAAATGAATAAGGGGATAATGAATTCATTTACTAGTGGGTTTCAGAATCCACATATTGAGAGCAAAAATGTATCTTATAGGGGACTGACTTGCAATTGCAATTGTTAGCAATGTAGTCATTTAACTCAATAATCACCGTTGGATACCTCTGGGGAACTGTTAGCAGTACAGTCGAATTTTACTTTCTGTCATGGATTGCTTGATTTGTTTCCTAATAAAAGAACAATTAATGTGCAAACGTGGCTTAAATTCTGTTCCAGCAACAATCGCAAACACATAGTAAAAGCAGACCATATTCTTGGGTTACAACCGACTCTCTTTCTACTCAACTTAATTTCTTCTTGCTTGTACTCAGCACAGCTCTTGAAGGTGTCAGGCTGCCAGCTGAGATGGTATTCCATGTAGTCGTATAGCTGTCACCTTTCACAGCCACGATCAGAGGACATGACAGCATCACTCTTTCAAGCACAGGATACTCCCCTGACTCCGTGACAGTGTGTTGCTGTGGAAACAAGAGCAATGCTGTGTAGGCGGTGGTCCTTGATAAATATTTACTGATGATGGTGAAGAGATGGTAGAGTCTCACGGCAGCTATAATGGGGGGGCGAGGGTGGGCGCAGGGGAATTTAACTCAGGAGGCAGCCTGGTTTGGAGAAAAGAGTATGAGCTTTGGCATCTGAAGTCCTCAGTTTAAATCCCGCCTCTGCTTCTTTCTACCTATGCCGGCTTGGGCAAGTCATTTACCTTCTCAGCTCCCCAGCTTCTCATTTGTAAAGTGAGGATAATTATAGCTGTCTCGCTGGACTTTGTGGTAACCAAATAAGATGCAATATGCAGAGTGAATGGAAGAGTGCCTGGTACATAATAGGCACTTTGTCCCAAGAGGAGCCTTGTCTGTTACTGACCTCAGCACAGGTGTATGTGCACAGGCCAAGGCGGGTGGGGCATCAGTCTTATGCTAAATAGTGAACTGGCCATGAGATGGCTGGGTTTGGTGATGATTTTTAGTTTCCTTTTTTTTTTTTGAGATCAGTCTTACTCTGTTGCCCAGGCTGGAGTGCAGTGGTGCAGTCTTGGCTCACCGCAACCTCTGCCTCCTGGGTTCAAGCAATTCTCCTGCCTCCGCCTCCCAAGTAGCTGGGATTATGAGTGTGTGCCACCATACCTGACTAATTTTTGTATTTTTATAGAGACGGGGTTTCACCATGTTGGCCAGCTGGTCTTGAACTCCTGACCTCAGGTGATGTGCCTACCTCGGCCTCCCAAAGTGCTGGGATTGCAGGTGTGAGCCACCATGCCCACCCAGTTTTCCTCCTTTTCCTCTTTTCAGGGGCTTGATTCCCTGCAACTGCTTTTACAAAGAGATTGCCAATGAAATTTGCCAACAGATGACACTAGTAAATCTGGCCATTCAAGGGTTTAAATAGGGAATGTTGACTTTTAGGCATATTTTACTCTCTGACTTAGAAGTGTTGATAAACCACAAATGGCTACATATTGCGTCAGGACACAACATTTGGATGCATTCTGTTTCCCTTCCTACACTCTCCCGTGTGCAGCCTTCCTTGCTTTTCGGCTCTGTCCTCTGCTCTTCCCTAACCTGGAGATCAACTGCACAGCACTCTGGGGCTGTGGGGGAAAAAGATACTTTGTGCACTTGATAAACAAGCAAAGAATAAGAAAACAAACAAGGGCCATGGCATTCCAATAAATAAATTAAAAAGCTCTGAGATTATTGAGAACAAACCATGTCGGACAAGTATAATAGCATTTGCAAACACCTTACAGAATTGGGTCCAGGAGGCAATACCACATAGATATTAGAAAGCAGTTAGCGTGTCTCATGAAATCTTACAGAATGGATTCAGATTAGTATGGAGAGGAAGAAAGCCACATATTTTCAATGGGTTAACAAAAATCAGATACAGCCACAGGGACAGGGGTTCATCAATAGTGTGTGTGTCCAGGTGGGTTAGGGTGACCGGTTAGGATCATGGGTTTCAGCATTTCATATGGTCCTGCTGGACACTTTTATTTGCCAGTAGAGGCAGAAATGAGCAGGATAATGGCATTTATTTATTATCTATTGGTAAGAGTTGCAGGTGCTAAAGAGGATACAGAGGGACCCAGTGAGGATTCTAGATATACATTCCAAAGGGACGTAACAGAAGTCAACCATGAAAAATGGGAATCGATGTGTCAATACAGCGGGACAGGGAAAGAGGTGTCAGTGAGGCATGGTGATCATTAGGGCCTGTTTTTTTTTTTAGACAGAGTCTCACTGCTCTGTCGCCGGGCTGGAGCACGGTGGCGTGATCTCAGCTCACTGCAACCTCCATTTCTTGGGTTCAAGCAATTCTCCTCCCTCAGCCTCCCGAATAGCTGGGACCATAGGTGCACGCCACCATGCCCAGGTAATTTTTGTATTTTTAGTAGAGACAGAGTTTCACCGTGTTAGCCAGGATGGTCTCAATCCCTCGATCTTGTGATCCTCCCGCCTCGACCTCCCAAAGTGCTGGGATTCCAGGTGTGAGCCACCGCACCCGGCCCATTAGGGCCTATTTTATCTTCAAATGTGAGCATTATTTCAGTTAGTCCTTCCTAGGTATATCCACACGGAAGGGCTGTGCAGAAACCCCATCAGATGCACCTTCAGACTGGTAAGTCACCTGGAAATTGAAGCAGTCCCCCAGTGTGGCAGACTTAATTTTTTCTCACACTGAAGCCAGGCTGCTAAAGTGCGTGTGACACACAAACACGTCCCCTGGAGCATAAGTGGAAGAGATGCAAAGTCTCACATTTCTTGAATATTCAGTTGACAATTTTTGTTTGATGCTGGAGGGAATAAAAAATGGTGGAGTCACTTTGGTAAACAGTTTGGCAGTTTCTTTAAAAAGTTAAACAGACACTCCCCATAAAATCCAGCAATTCCACTTCTAGGAATCTACCCAACAGAAATGAAAACATATGTCCACAGAAAGACACGAGCATGAATGTTTGTAGCAGCATTATTCACAGAAGCCAAAACCTGAAAACAATCCAGATGTCCATCATCCCTCCAAGGGAATATGACTAGGAATAAAAAGGAATGAACTGCTGATACAGGCTACGCCATGGATGGGCCTCGAGAACATTATGCTAAACAAAAGAAGCTGGATGTAAGAGACTGTATATTTTATGAGATGCACAGATAAGGCAGATCTATGGAGACAGACAGCAGACCAGTTGTTGCCTAGGGTTGGGCATGGAGCAGGGGTTTATAGGAAGCGAGCCTGAGAGAACAGTTTATATGCTGCTCTCAAGAGATGTTTGCAAACCTCTAACTTTCTTGACTTGGAAACTGGAAGGTGGTGATGGTCGTGTAACTCTGCATTTCCTAAAAGGTATAGAATAGTACCCTGATGATGGATGAAATTTTATGGACTAAAGCTGTTAAAACTTTTATTTGACCACGGGCCTTTGTGAAGTTAGACTTATGTGTAAATCTCAGCTCCCTAATGCACTTGTGATGTGGCCTTGATAAGTTACTTCAGTGCTCTGCATCTTTTTTTCTGCATCTGTAAAATGGGGCTACTGATGCCTCATTGCTGCAAGAGCTGGAGATAATACCTGTAAATTGTCAAGCCTGGTCCCCGGCAGAAAACAGGCACCAAGGAAATGGCGTTACTATGACTTATCTCTTGCTAGTTTCCAAAATAGTTTGTTGTATTAGCAATTTGCAAAGCATTATCTCTCGCTCTTTGAAAGGCTCTTTAGACTGTGAATTAAATCTATGAAGTAGCATTTTTTCCCCTCATCAATTTGGCAAAAATGCAAAAGTTTAAGACTATCAAGTCTTGACAAGGATCTGAGCAATTAGGTAGCTTTGTTCATTTTTGAGTAGTGAAAATTGAAACAGCCTTTCTGAGTGCTAATTTGGCAATGTCTATTAAAATTAAAGACACGAATAACTTTTACCCTGAATATTTTGGTAGGGTATGGATTTGTGGGGGAGAGAATAGATCATTCATTCATTTCTTTTCTCATTAAGCTAAGGATGTAGAGATTTAACAGAAGAGTAGAAGTGCCTTGGATCAGGAGCAGATGCAACGTTTTTTGTTTTGTTTTGTTTTGTTTTTTTTGCGCCTTTGGTTTGATGAACAGAGGAGAAAACAGCTCAGCACCAGCTTTGTCTCTGCCTTTGTAGGGGGCTTCCATCAACACCCAGGAGGAACTTCACGCTAATAGTTCAAGCGCTGCTCTTAAAAGATGTTTGCAAACCACGGCCGGGCGAGTGGTGGCTCACGCCTGTAATCCTAGCACTTTGGGAGGCCGAGGTGGATGGATCACTTGAGGCCAGGAGTTCAAGACCAGCCTGGTCAACATGACGAAATGCCAGCTCTACTATAAATACAAAAATTAGCCGGGTGTGGTAGCATGTGCCTGTAATCCCAGCTACTTGGGTGGCTGAGGGATGAGAATCGCTTGAACCCAGGTGGTGGAGGTTGCAGGGAACTGAGATCATGCCACTGTACTTCTGCCTGGGTGAAAGAACAAGACTGTGTCTCGGAAAAAAAAAAAAGAAGGAAGATGTTTGCAAACTTCTAACTTTCTTAGCGTCGTGGAGCTTATCCTTTTCTGTGGAAGAATGCAGTGCTGCCGACTACATGTTCCACAGTTATGTTCCAGCTCCTGCTTCCCAGGACCTTGGAAACCTGTTTCTTCTCAGACCACCCCTCATTTTGCTTTACTCCCCCTTTTATCCTGTTGGTTCTAGGAGCAGACACAAGACCACAAACCCATTTCTCTTGGTCCTCCCTGACCTCCTGGTGGGTGGTTATGTAGTCATCCCTTAGGGATCACGCATTTGTCTCTTTGTAACTGAGCATGAATGAATGGGTTCACATCAGCAAGCAGGACTTTTAAAAAACAGTGCTTCATGTTGGATCATCACAGGTACTAGTGGCCTTGGGTGATCTTGACTTCCTCTGATTGACTGTAATTATGCTTTTGTGCGTGTCCCCCTTAAGTGATCAGTTTGGCTATTGGAAGCTCCTTCAAACCAGGTTCTTATTTACCACCTCCAGACCTCCTTGAGAGAGTCCTTATTTTCCAGTGACAACAAGGATTTTCAGGCCCACGTCTTGGTTTGTTATTATTTATTATATTATTATAATAGTAGTTATTATTTAAAGAGCCCTAGTCCCTTTGTTGTGGGAACATCGGAATCTGGGTGCATATTTTTGGTGTTTTGTTTGAACACTGGCATACAGCAGGGTAAAATGGGAACAGCTGGTGGCATTAGGGATAGAAAAGAAAGAGGTTTTAAACAGCATGCATTTATGATTGTTTATCTCTTTGATTTTGTAAAGTTAGTTTGAATAGGATAACTCATTAATCTAATTAAAAAGAATTTTGCCACATTGCCATATTATGTGTTTCAGTGAGTATTACTGAGAAGCTGAGGTCACCGTGTCTTTTTTTCTTTAGCATCTTGGAATTGGCCTCCAAGTGCCTGGGCCCAGTGTCAGGTCCAGAGTCAGGTCCCGGCTGTCCATGTTTCTTTCTTGGGCACCAACTTTCTGAAAAGGAAAAGTAGGCCCAACTCCTGTTCTAAAGGAGCTATATTAATTGTCTGTTAATAACAAGTCACTCCCCCAATGCAGTGGCTTTATCGTCTCACTATTTCTTTGGCTCAGGAATCTGTGTGGCATAGCTGGGTCGTGTGGCTCAGGGCCCCTCACAGGCTGCAGTCAGTTCAGCTTGAATGGGGAAGGGTCTGCTTCCAGGTTCACTTCCGTGGCTGTTGGCGGGATTCACTTACTCACGGGCTCTTGGCTTGAGGACCTCCGTCTCTCATGAGCTGTTTGCTAGAGGCCACGCTCAGTTCCTTGCCACACAGGCCACTTCATCAGACAGCTCACAGTGTGGCAGCTGGCTTTGTCAGAGTGAGCAAGTGAGAGAGCCGGAGAGAGTGTGAGCAAGATGGAAGTCACAGTCCTTTGTAACCTAATTTGGGAAGGGACATCACATCACTTTGTCATATTCTGTCAGAAGCAAGTCACTAGGTTCAGCTCACACTCAAGGGGAAGGAATTGCACAAGGAAGTTGTCTTAGAGTTCTGCAGAGAAACAGAACCAATAGGCTATATATATTAGAATATATAATAGGGCATATATATTATATATCACATTTTAAATGTATATTATATATTGGCTGGGGGTGGTGGCTCACGCTTGTAATTCCAACACTTTGGGAAGCCGAGGTGGGCGGATCACCTGAGGTTAGTAGTTCGAGACCAACCTGGCCAACATGGTGAAACCTTGTCTTTACTAAAAATGCAGAATTAGCTGGGCATGATGGTGTGTGCCTGTAGTCCCAGCTACTTGGGAGACTGAGGCAGGAGAATCGTTTGAACCTGGGAGGTGGAGGTTGCAGTGAGCTGAGGCTATGCCATTGCACTCCTGCCCGGGAGACAAGAGTGAAACTCTGTTTGAAAAAAAAAATGTGGGTGTATATATATATATATCCCTCTCTCCCTCTCTCTCCCTCTCTTTCTATATATATATGACAGGGAGAGAGAGGAAGGGAGGGAGGTGGGGGCAGAGAGAGAGAGAGAGAGAGAGAGAGAGAGATTGATTCATTTCTTATAGGAATTGGCTCATGCAGGTTTAGAGGCCGAGAAGTCCCACAGTCTGCAAGCTGGAGTCCCAGGAAAGTTGATGATGTAAGTCCGAAGGCCTGAGAATTTGGGGGTTGATGGTGTAGGCTCTGACTTGAGTCTGAACACCCAAGAACCAGGAGCACTGATGCCCAAGGGAAGGAGAGGATGGATGTCCCAGCTCAAGCCAAGAGAGCAGAATCGCCCTTCTCTACCTTTTTGTTCTGTTCGGGCCCCCAGTGGATTGGAGGATGCCCACCCACATTGGGGAGGGCCATCTGCTTTACTCAGTTGACCAGTGCAAATGCTGATCTCTTCCAGAAACACCCTCACACACACACCCAGAAATAACATCTTACCAGCTAGCTGGGCATCTGTTAGCCCAGCCGAGTTGACACATAGGATTAACCATCACAGGCATGAATGCCAGGAAGTGGGGGTCATTGGGAACCATTTCAGGAGCTGCCCACCACAGGAACCTGAAGTCACACACAAGTGTGGGAAACCTTGTTTCTTGGAGAAAAATACAAATATAACCTTTGAAGTGTGTTCAGATCTTTTAATTCTTTTTATTTTGGGGGCACTAATGCCAGTTCAGTGTCAGGCTTTCACTCTTTAAAGGCCTTAGAATAGAGAGATTTAGTGTCTCAGAAGGGATTTAGTTTAAGTTTTGTAGAAGTTAATTAGGCATGTCAGAAAGTAGAAGTGAATTAATATGAAGATCCATCAGAAAACTTTTCAACCTTTACCCCCAAAATTGAAGTACGACTGTGTTTTTGTAAGACTACAATTTTTACACTGGTATCTAAGTTCCACAAAAACCAATTTATAAAAAACACCAATAGATTAGGGCTATGATATAATTTAGCTGAAACTTAATATTTTTATTACATGTACATATCCCAGTTTTTAAAATTGGCGCTTATTTTAGACCTTTCTAACCCATTTCCAGAGGTTTAAAAATGGGCTCCATAAAACTAACATAGAGAATATGATAAGTTATAGCAATTAAAAAGTCTGATGTAAACACGTAAGTTATTATATGGATTGAAACACGTCATGCCTGAACTCTTGGTTTTGGTTGTTGTGGCAGTAGTACAGTCATCACAGAAGAAACTGTCACAATATTCTTTTCAAGGTAACTGTGTTTAGGGCCCCAGGAGATCCTGCAGTGAAGGAAGGATGTTTTGTCAGAATCTAAATGGGCTGACCAGACATTGGACTTCTGGTGGAGATGTGCTTCAAGAATTTACTGGTTTTTACAGTTTAATTGTTTCATTCGGGGGTGGTGGTGATTCCAAAGATCCCCATTGTTCTTGTCTAGGCAGTATCTGTATTTTGGTAGAAGAGGCACCAATGTATGATGGTTCCAACCCTAAGTCCTTTTGAGTCATTTCTACAAGGTGACCCTGGGAACGAGTGCTCTAAGACACCTTGAGTTCACCCTTCATCTGCCTTGGGGAAGTGTTTGGCCTCCACTTTCAGGGGCTTGGGTTTTTGAGCAGTTTCTCATTTATTACCTGTCCCCTTCAGTCTTGCTACATCTGGCAGTGCAAGGTTGGGTGTGAGGGAGGTGGGGGTACCATGTTCTAGGTGTCTAGGTCAGGGCTGCTGCCTGTTGTTGTGTGGAACCTGCACAAATGCACTTAACAGGCCTGGGTCAAGGAACTTGTTCTGCTCTGCTGTTGCAGCTTTGAGCTCAAAGCCATTTCAGTGTCCAGTCTTTCTTCTCTTTTCAGATCCAGAGCTTTGGATGTTTTGACTGTTACATTTTTCTTTGTCAGTGAATCTTTCCTCTGCCTAAGATTGTCCATTTACCATCTCTTAACCTTTGCATTATTTTTTCACCTTTTTAAATAGAAAGTGTGTGTATTGGAATGGGGGAGTGGCTTTCAGCTCAGAAATCACAACTTTGAGCCAAGATTCTAAACAGTCTCAAATCAGGGTTGCGGGGTGGGTGTCAGGAATGATTAGTTATTTTCCCAGAGCTTCTAGCCTTAAAGAAGCCAGGCACAAAGCCAGCTTCCTCCCTGTGTCTCAGCTGGCTCCAGTTCAGGGTGTTTATCTTCCCCTAAACAAAATTGTCTGGGATGAAGTAGAGGCCAGCTGTCTAACACTTCAGTTGCAGTTTTGAGATCATTTTTATTAGGTTTACTAAGGAGCAGTGGAACCTACTGGAAAAGAGGAAATGTATGGTTTTCAACTTGTGAGATGCCCAGCTTAATCACGCAAACACCCAACCAAATCCAGATACTACAACACCCTTGCTTCAGCAGAAGTTTTATAAACTTTTTCTGGGTATACTTCCCAAGGTGAATTTTCCATCTCAATGAAGTTCTTTAAGTTTTCCTCTTGGAAGATCCCTGTTCCAAGTAGGAAAATATTTCTGGGACTTGATGCTCTGAACACCATTTTTGTTGGAAAAGTGCAATTAATTTGAACAAATTTCAAAGTTACTGCTGCCTTTAGAAAGTATACACATATTTTAAAACAGAATTTTTTAGTTTAAAACTGTAACGGGGCCAGGTTCCTGATGGGTCACTTTTTTATTGAAGGTTGACTTGATGAAGTCAGACTTCTTATCCTTATTATCTTTTCCTCTTCCCACATACGAAATATTTAACATATATTTAAATGTCTTTGTGTAAATCTCTCTGTATTGCAATTGTTCTGCCTGAGAGTTGGCTTGATGAGCATTGAAGCATTTCTTTATTCCATTCCCATTTCCTCATACTTCCAAAGCCTCAGCAGTTATCATTTGTCCCTGGAAAGCTGCTGACCACCTGTTCCACCTGGGATTCTAGGGGTCTTTGGTATCTTTCCCATTCCAGGTTTCCTTTTCAGATGTCTAATTTGAGAGCATCCTTTTGTGATCCATAGATTTTTGGCTCAAACTTCAGATATTTCCTCCTTCTGGGGTTTCATCTTTTCTGGAGATCCTTAGTTCTAACCACTGCTTTGGCTCACACAAAAGGTTCCAGGAATTTTGCCTTGTGCTAACTACCTTTGTCCCAGCCATCTTTCACTATATGTCAGGTCCAAATGGATGAAGGGAGAAGAACCATGGATAAATTCCACTAGACTCAGCTCCCCGCAAATTCTCATGTTTTAGGCATGTTTTACTCATTGTGTCCTACTTTGATATTCTGATCCCTATCCAAAATGTGGCCATTGTGGTGGGCTCTTCATGTCTGTCCCACTTCTGACACCAATGGCGTCATTGCAGATGGGTTACAGATTATCTGGCAAGGACCTTGTATGTGCTCCCAAACTTATACATTTTTTATTTATTTAGCCAAAAATACAGGATATTATGGGAGTGCGGTGACTACACAGAGCTGAAGCAGATGTAGTATATCTTGGGCTGGCTTTTTCTGGCCTCATGGTTTACTAATGAGGTCTAGTGACCTCTTCAAACTAGCAGAATCCTGCTTGTACATAGAAGCATCCCAATTTTTGCTATGCAGCTTCCCTTCTATATCAGCATGTTGGATGACCTCATACTAATAATCTGGGCATCTATTTAAGGACTATTTACAAATATCAGGATTTTCTGGTACATGAACCAAAGTCAGCATCTGCAAATCCACATGTTCTTCTGTGGAAAGAAAACAGGGGTAATTTAATGGATACATCAATCAAATATGTATTAATAATCAAACTATGTAAGTTTATGTCAGCATTGAAAGCAGAATGGAAGGCTACACTCTTTAGAAGAGGTATGGGAAAAATGGAACTAGGATGGTGGATAAAGGGCATTTTGCCTTTGTCCGTGATATTCTGTTGCTTTTGAAAAGGAGAACATACTTTAAGAAAATTTGTTAAAATTGGTTGATAATTCTTGGTGGAGAAGAACCTAGGTGTTAATTGCACTTCTCTTTGTAATATTTCTGCATTTCAGTTATTCCTTTAAAAAGTGATGTCTGTTTGCGGCTGCAGTGAGCTATGATTGTGCTGCTGTGCAATCATATCTCAGGGTCTTGATCTGTTGCCAGGCTAGAGTACAGTGGCACAGTCAGAGCCCAGGGTCTCGCTCTGTTGCCAGGCTGGAGTGCAGTGGCACAGTCAGAGCCCAGGGTCTCGCTCTGTTGCCAGGCTAGAGTGCAGTGGCACAGTCAGAGCCCAGGGTCTCACTCTGTTGCCAGGCTGGAGTGCAGTGGCACAGTCAGAGCCCAGGGTCTCTCTCTGTTGCCAGGCTGGAGTGCAGTGGCACAGTCAGAGCCCAGGGTCTCGCTCTGTTGCCAGGCTGGAGTGCAGTGGCACAGTCAGAGCCCAGGGTCTCGCTCTGTTGCCAGGCTGGAGTGCAGTGGCACAGTCAGAGCCCAGGGTCTCTCTCTGTTGCCAGGCTGGAGTGCAGTGGCACAGTCAGAGCCCAGGGTCTCGCTCTGTTGCCAGGCTGGAGTGCAGTGGCACAGTCAGAGCCCAGGGTCTCGCTCTGTTGCCAGGCTGGAGTGCAGTGGCACAGTCAGAGCCCAGGGTCTCGCTCTGTTGCCAGGCTGGAGTGCAGTGGCACAGTCAGAGCCCAGGGTCTCGCTCTGTTGCCAGGCTGGAGTGCAGTGGCACAGTCAGAGCCCAGGGTCTCGCTCTGTTGCCAGGCTGGAGTGCAGTGGCACAGTCAGAGCCCGGGGTCTCGCTCTGTTGCCAGGTTGGAGTGCAGTGGCACAGTCAGAGCCCGGAGTCTCGCTCTGTTGCCAGGTTGGAGTGCAGTGGCACAGTCAGAGCCCGGGGTCTCGCTCTGTTGCCAGGCTGGAGTGCAGTGGCACAGTCAGAGCCCGGAGTCTTGTTCTGTTGCCCGGCTGGAGTGCAGTGGCACAGTCACAGCTCCAAGAGATGTTCTTGAAATTTAAGATTTATTAATAAGGTACAGATAATAGGAATTTTAAATATATGTACAGTTTGCTTCTGTCATCTTTTCAAGACAAATTTAGGTTTTATTTTCTATATGGAAGGCCTTATTTCCGAGTTTGTAAAGGATTTCTCTTGGGAATCCTAACACCCCTGCATCATGCAGAAGAAGGGAAATAGAGAACTTTATCACAGACACAGGGAGACATTTGAACAGGAGTGCATGGGGCCCGTGGAGGGGACCTTCTTAGCCATCAGTTCTATTCCCTTGTCACACCTCCGTCTCTTTCTCTTTCCTGGCATCTCCATGGAGGAGACTTCCTCGCATCCCAGAGAAATAGCAGAGATTCTTTCATAGGACAGCCTTTGGCCTTAGGTTTGCCTGAGGCGTCAGAAAGGCACATTTGACTCAAAGAATAATGTTGCGCAGTCTTTTCAATGTTTAGAGATGCTGTGAACTTGGGCATCACTTTCCCATCTGTGAAATGTCCAGATGATTTCTATGTTTCTTAAAGACTAAACTTCTAGGCCTCTGACTTTAGGATTTTTATTTTATGTTCTGAAAACCAAATCATTGGATATCTTTGATAAAGATTAAATATATTAAAATATATTTTCCCAATGGATCAGTTTTGTTATTTGACACTACTCATGGTTTGGTTGTTCAAAAGGAATAAGTTTTGAAATCCCCAGGTCCAGGAGATAAAGCAACCTGTTTCCAGGATTGTTCATTTCAAACAGTGACTCCATTAGAACTGTCCACATTCGAATATGACAGCAGGGATTTTCACTTTCCTGGGAGGAAGGTTTCTAAACCCAAAAGAGTATACAGAGGAGAAGAGCATTTGGCTCAAGTTGGAATGAAAAGCAGAAAATGCAAGAAGGGGAAAAATCATATGGTGAAATGATGGATGATGGGCGATAATAACAGGGACTAGATTCAAGAGTTATGAAAATCACAGGTGCAGCAGGGTCTGCTGAATATGAAGGATCTAAACTGAAAATCGGAGGAATAAATGCAGGAGATGAAATGACTACCAAATAGGAAGCACTAACATTATTACATGCTTTAAATACTTGTAATGGGCCAGATACTTTTCAAGGGTTTTACTAATTATCACTCCTTGAGTTTTCATAACACTGTTATGATGTAGGTATAATGATCATCAAAACTGAGGAACAGAGTGGTTAAGTAGCAAGCCCTAGGTCACACAGCTAGTCAGTGTGGGAACTTGACTTGAGCCAGAGGAATTCAAGGCTAGATTCTGTGTTCTTGGGCATTACTTTATGTTCTCTCTGTCTGGCTTACTTTGTGCCATGTGCTGTGCAAAATTCATACTTATGGAGAAAATTAGGTCCTGTTTGAAATTACTGGGTGGAAAGCCTTTGTTCAGAATTTTCAATGAGCATGTCTTTGGGGAAATTCTAAGACTGCATTTAATTCTCATAATGATCCCATGAGGCAGACACAGCAATCCCATGTATCAGATAAGATAATTGGTTTTATGGAGGTTCAAGGGCTTGGTCACAATCACACTGTGGTCGTCTCATTCAGAGTCCAGGTTCTTAATCACCATGTGATGTCGAATGTTAGAAGATTTTTATGGGAATAAGAAGTACAGGAGAGAGAGACTGTCTTTCCCAGAAGGAAGCTCCATCTCCCCAACAAGTGAGTCTCAACTATCCCAGTCATACAAGCAGGTAATTCTGAGGGAAGGACCCTCACCTGTCCTGGAACAGAGGTTGAGCCCCTAGATATAGCTGCCCCTGATTTCACACTGGGGACCCAGCACCTGAAGGTGCCGTATACCAAACCCCAGGGATCACCCCACACTGTGGACTTTGGACCTCTGGGGCTCCCGCAAGCACAGCAGTTTAGGAAAACACTTCTGGCTGGACAGAGTTAGTTGAGTTTACTTTCTCCACAGGACAACCACCTTGTGGATTTAAGACAGGTGATCATTATTCCAGTTTTACAAATAAGAGTTCGAAGCCAAGGCATCAGATGGGACTGCTTTTGCATTTGTAGGATGCATCAGGTGTTGAATGCCACAGATTTTGCTGCAAGAATCTCTGATTCTGAGATATAAGGGCCTGCATAATTTTATCTCTGATTTTCCAAAGGCACCAAACACCTTGCGGTTGACTTTTTCATTGTGTGCCTTAAAATGAAGAACATGTAGATCCCCTCTAAGTTTCCGCTCTGTGACTGCAGTGTTAATGCTTGGTTTCTAACATGCCCTTTTGGTAGTTCTTGGCTGAATCTTCCTTCCTTATGGAATCAGATCTGGGGCAGGTGAGTCCATCTGCTCTGTCATGAACCATGTGGTGGTGAAGAGTGCAGGCTCTCCGGCGGATCACCTGAGGTCGGGAGTTCGAGACCAGCCGTGACCAACATGGAGAAACCCCCGTCTCTACTAAAAATACAAAATTAGCCGTGTCTGGTGGCGCATGCCTGTAATCCCAGCTACTCAGGAGGTTGAGGCAGGAGAATCCCTTGAACCCGGGAGGTGGAGGTTGTGGTGAGCAGAGATTGTGCCATTGCACTCCAGCCTGGGCAACAAGAGTGAAACTCCATCTCAAAAAAAAAAAAAAAAAAAAGACTGCAGACTCTGATCTCAGACTGTGGGCTCAAGTTAAGCCTGTGCTAATTTATAAGCTGTATGTGTGACCTGAACAAGCTACTTAAACCCTTTGAGCCTCGATTTTATCATCTGTGAAATGAGGCAAATTGTAGTAACTTGCTTGTAGGATGGTTGTGAGAAATTAATGAGGTGAGGTATGTCAAATGCTTAGCAAGGAGCCAGGCTCATGGAAAGTGCTCCATAAATACTAGCCATCCTTGGTTATAGTGCTATTGCTGGGAGTTCAGTGGAGGCATCATAAATGCAAGAAAACATAAGAGTGCGTGGCTGGGGTGACCAATTGTCCTCGTTTGCCCAGGATGGAGATGGTTCCTAGGACATAGGACCTTCAGTGCTCATTGAAAACGCAGGAATGTTTGAGACAAATCAGGATGAGTCGGTCACTCTAATGCTCATCCCAGGCCCACAAGCTGTATTTAGAGTGATCTTGCTGCACAGCCTGTGCAAGGGCTTGCGAATTGCATATACGATTTGTATTTGTGTAGCAAAAAAGATTATCTGATATTTGACCTGCATTTTATAGCTGTTACTTTAGGAAGAAATAGAAGAGCTGTTTGTCAGTTTTGGAAATTATCCCACTAGTGGAACTGTCTGGGATCTGGTGGTGTATCTCTCCGGATCTTAACAGAAAACAGAATTCAACTCCTGTGTGTCAAGAGGCTTTAACAAAGGGACTATTCATGTGGCGGGGTTGAGGTTAAGAGAACTCACAAGGGATGCCGAGGCACTTGGAGACTAGGACTAGTGGGAAGCCTCAGTGAGGTTTTGAACCCTTTAATGTGAAAAGGGGCAAGGGGAGGGAATTGTGTTAATGGAGCCCTTCTCTGTACTGCGCTGGGTTCCAGGAGGCTACATGACCTCGACTCTTTTGCATTCTGATTCCTGACTGAGTTTAGTGATGGAGTTTGGCACTGGTAGGAGATGGTATGGCAGGAGGAGAGGGGTTAGGGTACTTGTCCTCTGCTCTTTCTGCCTCACTACTTTCTGGTATGGTTGTGTTCCTCAATGGCAGTGGTTTTCAAAGTGTGGCCCCTGGACCAGCAGTGTCAGCATCACCTGGGAACTTTTCAGAAATGCAAAGTTTTGGGCTCCATAGCAGATCCACTGAATAAAAAACTCTGGCGTGGGACCCAGAAATTTGTGTTTTTAAACCCTTTCAGGTGATTCTGATAGATGTGAAAATTTGAGAATCGCTGGTCTAGAGAACAAAGACACACCATTAATCCTGGGTGGGGTCTTTGGCCAATCAAATCCCTTCTCTGGTTTGGAGATCAGTTTTCCTCTCAGCCAAATAAGAGGGAGCTTTGCTGTCTCCAACCATAACACTTAACTCTCTGAAATGGTCTTCTTGTTTATCTTTGTGTTTTATTTTAGACTCTTTTCTATTTTATTCTGACTTTTTTCTACTGGAATTTGTGCTCCATAATCATCCGTATTTTGTTCTTTTCCCTGCTGATCCCCCATGCCTAGCGCAATTCCTACACATAGTCGGGGCTCACTTAATGTTGGTGAATAAATGAATATTCAGTGATTTCTAGGATACTTTCAGCAATTTTAATCTTGAATCGAAGATTCTGTGTTCTGTCTTGTATAATAGTAGCTGTTTTATCTTAAATCTGTCATTCAGAAATCTCAATTCATATTTATATTTTCTAAAGAAAGATAATAATTAAAGAAAGAATACTTAAAGTACCCTCTGTGTGCCACAGACCTTGATACCTGCACATATGTCACACATTATCCCATTTAATCCACGTCAAGACCCTGTGAAATTGCATTACTATAAAGAAATGCAGTCTTAGTGAGGTTATGCACATACTCAGTCACGCAGCTGTTAACTGGACAAACCTGGTTTCCACCCAGCTATGTTCATTTCCAGACCAGCATTGTCTCAGTTTCGAAGCTGCGAAAGATTCACAAGAATCTTCTGAATTGTGAAGATTGACTATATTGTTGAAGACTAGTTTGCCCTTAAATATATCTCATCTTGGGTCACTCAACATGTTGGAAAGAGAAGAGGCATTGGAGTCAGAGAGAGCTGAATTAAAATCCCAGCTCTTGCCACTTACTGAGTCTGCATCCTTGGGCAAATTACTGTGATGTTTTGAGCCCAGATTCCCCGCTGTCAATGGGAATAATTCTACCAGTCTGGCAGGGGGTTATGAAGATTTCAGAGGATGCATGTCAAATACCTGGTGAGGGATAGTAGCAGTGGTGGTTATAATATTATTACCTTTTGGAGAATTGTTAACTCACGCATGTGTCGTGATAAATTTCAATTTGATGGGTGGATTTTAGAGTTCACTTCTGTTCATTAGGAAAAATTTGTAATGTGACTTGAACTTATAGCCATTGTTGGAGATCTTTTCATCGCCATCTGGATGGGCTCTGAAGCCAGACTTGTTGGGATTCTTAATCATCATGCTTACTCTCTCTATATCCTTGGGAAAATCAGTTAACCTCTCTGAGCTTTAAATTTCTTTATGGAAATTAATAGTGCCTAGCAAATGGGAATAATAGTGCCTATCTCATTAGATGGTTGTGAGCATAACATGAAGTAACATATATAAAATGGTGAATAAATAGTGTGGAAATGATGATCATGCTTAAATAGGAATTTCCTCTGTATATCAAATAAGGAATTTCCCCCGTATATATATCGAGTATATATACGGGGGAAATTCCTAATTTAAGAGTGGAATGCCCATGGTCTCATTGCTGTTGTGTATTAGACATGCAGATACACATCAACACCGGTGGGTGGGCACCAGGTGAGATCCTAGATAGAAATAGGAAATGGTAACTATATACCAGACATTGTGTAAATAGAAGACTTGCCTTCTAATGCACTGCGTGGAACCTAGAAAGAAGCTAAAGAGCCTCTGAGCCACCAAAGAGATATTAAACACACAAAGCTCTTGTTTTTTCCTCCAGAGGAGAGCCCTTAGTCTCTCCTTCAGTGGCCAGCAGCTCTTACTTTACCTACAATTCTAGCAAGTTTTTATTTGATTTCTAAGCTCAGAAGGTTTAGAAGGAGGGAGAAGGCTGCTTCAGGGAGGCATGCTTGCAGTGCTGATAAATAAAGATGGTGATGACCTCATTACTAGAGAAGAGGAGGGATATTGGTTTACGGTAGTGGTTCTTTAGAAGAAATCAACCTGTAACCTATCCTTTTAAATTTATGAAAGCTTATGATAATACAGTGAGAATTGTGCAGAGAGTTGACAGCATGTGACTCTTGGATTAGGATGACTTGAGAAATTCGAATTGAAATGACAGTTTGGACCCTGTGTTAGTTAACTGTTGCTACATTTATAACCCCCAGTGTTGAATTAGGAGGTATAAATGTAAAAAGCAGTGATGAAAGCTCAATCAACTCAGTAGTTGCAGCTGCTAGGTATGAGGGCCAAGCATGCTTTTCTCCTTGGAAGACCCCAAAGGTCCCACCTTATTGCTTTACTGAAGATGTAGTGGCAGTCATGACAATGATAATGTCAGGAGGAGAAAAAATAGATGTGGGCTCCCAGTACGATAACCGATTATTTTATGGATAACTTTGAGTTATAAGAAAAGGTGAAATTGTTTGCCCTAATCGCAGTGACTCTTTTTAGAGTATTTTCAGGCATACCATTCCATTTTAATCCTTGCTTTCAACAAGTCTTCTGATGCTTTTGCAGATAGGAAGCTGGATCTTAGATGGTTTAGAGGACCAACCCAAGGCTGCACAAGAACTGAGGGTTGGGGCAAGGCCTGAAACCTGCTTTTTAGGTTTTGAACCTGGGGTGCGCACTCTGGCCCCATTCTATAATGGAAGAAGGCAGGGAAGTTTGTGGATCATTTTTAAAGGCTTTGCAGACACAGCTGTTCACATGTCTGCTGTGGGGGTTAGCATGATGCCTTCAACCTAATGAACTCTGGATTGAAGTATTTGGAGTAGTACATTGAATTGAAGAATCAACCTTAGCTAGTTGGAAAGCTCTTACTGTCTTAAAGTCAAGTTTTCTTAGGAGCAGGTTGAATGAAGGCACGGTGGGATGAGCATGTAGGAGGAAATACATAAAAAGGGGCACAGGTAAAAGGGAGAGGGAAGAGGTCCCAGAAGAGCATTCAGAGGACAGTTGTGGGGCAGGGCACATGGTTTGCAGGTGTGGCCAAGTCACTCCAGGATGTGTTCTTCTCTCCTTCCTCTAACTTCTTTGATTTTGCTTGATCCTAACTCTTTAGGGAGAATGAATTTATAGCCTGAGGCTCATAGTTAAAAATAACTTTTATTTTCCATGAGAGATTCATATCAGCATGGGAAAAAATTCCTATGCAATAGGGGCTTTAATAGAAAATAATGATACAGCCACTAGAGGATTCCCAACCAGAGGATACCCCCTTCCTCATGATGTCAGTCTCATTCAAATGGTCTGGGAAAGTCCATGGCTCAGAACCATCTCACTGCATTCCTGATGTGAGGCAAGACAGGCCAGGTGCTGTCATTATCTCTTTCTCCTGGACTCAGAGATGGCAATGACATGGTTTGATTTTCCTCTTTGTCATTTGCATCAAAGGGGAAGATGTGGCAATTGATGATGTCCCTTTGCTGGAAGAAAGGGATTGAGACTGGTTTACTGTAGTGGTTCTTTAGAAGAAATCAACCTCTAATCTGTTCTTTTAAATTCATGAAAGCTTATGATAATGCAGCGAGAGGTGTGCAGAGACTTGACAACATGTGACTCCTGGATTAGGATGACTTGAGCAATTCAAACTGAAACGACAAGTTGGACCCTGTACTAGTTAACTGTTGCTGCGTGACCAATTACCACAAAGTTAGCCACTTAACACACATTTATTGTCTCACAGTTTCTGTGGGTCAGTAGTCTCTGAGCACAGCTTAACTGAGTTCTTTGCTTTTAACATCTGTCATAAGGCTGTAGTCAAGGTGTTGGCCAGGGGTGTGATCTCATATGAAGGCTCCATAGGGAAGGATCTGTTTCCAACCTCATATAGTTGTTGGCAGCATTGAGTTTCTTGCAGGCTGCTGGACTAAGCATTTTAGCTCCTTGAGGGGGCTGTTGGCCAGAAGCCACCCTCAGTTTCTTGCCACATGGACCTTTCTAACATATGTGGGCTTGCCCCATTTCCTGAGCAAGGGAGACAATCTGCTATATTCTTGCTACTTCTGTAGCAGGACAGAAGTCATCATCTTATGTAGCCTAATCACATAAATGATATCCCGTCACCTTTACCATGCTCTGTTGCTTAGAAGCTAGTCACTAGTCTAGCCACATTCAAGGGGAAGGGATTATATAAGGATGTGAGTACTGGGAGGTGAAGATCATTGGGGCCATTTTAGACTATAGCTGTCACAGAATCACATCTTAACTCCCACCCCACCTCTTTTTTTTTGCATTATTCAGAGCCTTGTTACAGAAGGCTTCACTTCTATGGACATAGGATGGGTTGAAATTTAACTAAGAGACTGAAATTGGGAGATGAAAAATTCTGATAGATTTGATCTGGTTACTTATTTACCTTGGTTAATTTATTAAGTGTCTTGAAGAGAGTTTGAAATGCATGACTTCCTTTCTTTGTTGCTGTATGTCTAAGAAGTTGTCATTATCTATTTCTTATGACAGTTGAGGGAGCCAGAGTTGTATCTTGTCCAGGCTAACAAGGGTTGAATGCCTTTGGATTTTTAAGAGGTCCAAACCTGTCAAGAGTAAAGGCTTTTCTGACTTGACTAACATGACGGCACTCCCTCTCTGCTGGGGCATGGTTAGCTGGAGCTAGGCTGCTAGACTAAGTTGAATGTCAAGATGCCAGGCACAGTCTATGAACCAATAAACAGGTCAAGTCAGGCTCTTGACAGGACACTGGAAACTGGGATTCAGGAGGGGTAGTCAGAGAAACACAGGGAAGCCTAAAAGGACCAAGTCCCTGACAGCCTTTCCTCTCATATAGGGCAGAATTGATGGGAAGGGAGAAACCACACTTTTCTTTATTATTATTCATTTATAACCCCGGTGTTGAATTTGGACTTTACAAAACCATTTGAAGCCATTGTACTCTGATGTCTGCCAGCCATGAGGCCAGTTTTTCTCTCTTACCCCCCTTATCTGTACAGCTGTGATTGAATTTTTCTCCAGTTTTTTCTTACATTATAAAAATGAGTAGAAAATGGAAATGTGAAAATGCCGGTACTCATGGTAATACATTTGAGGCAAGGATAGAGTCTGTCAGATGTACAGACAGTATTGACTATTTAACTTCAATTGGTTACTGGTCAGATGACTTCACTTGTGAAAGGAAAATAAAATGAAAGAACACACATGAAATCCTGAAAATGTAACCTAAGACATCGTGTCTCCAAGGCCATGTTTAGTGATGGAAGAAAATGAGGAAATCTTTAAAATTGTGGACAGACAATCAGCATTAAAGAAAAATAAAGCCTTCAGTGATTCAAATACAGAGAGAAATCTACAGATCCATAGAGGGTTTTTTTTTTTTTTTTAGACAGAGTCTTGCTCTGTCGCCCGGGGTTGGAGTGCAGTGGCACAATCTCGACTCACTGCAACTTCTGCCTCCTGGGTTCAAGTGATTCTCCTGCCTCAGCCTCCCGAGTAGCTGGGATTACAGGTGTGCACCACCCCATACCCAGCTAATTTTTGTATTTTTATTAGAGATAGGGTTTCTCCATGTTGGCCACGATGGTCTCGAACTCCTGACCTCAGGTGATCTGCCTGCCTTGGCCTCCCAAAGTGCTGGGATTACAGGTGCGTGCCACCATGCCCAGCTAATTTTTGTATTTTTAGTAGAGATGACGTTTCTCCATGTTAGCCAGGCTGGTCTTCAACTCCCGACCTCAGGTGATCTGCCTGCCTCGGCCTCCCAAAGAGCTGGGATTACAGGTGTGAGCCACCATGCCTTGCCCCGTAGAGCTTTTGAGGGGAAGATGGTTTGCTCCAGACTGCTTGATCAAGAGGATAGTGTTCCATTCCCTGTTGACACATTTTTTTCAAGGAAGTTGATGACATCATCAGAATTGCCACTCAACTGCCAAAGTAATTTTTTAAAAACGTAAGTCAGACCATATCTCTCCCATTTTAAATTGCTCCACTTGCACGTAGAATAAAGCCCCAAGCCGAAACTGTTGCTTCTAGCTCCTGATACTGTCTTTTATCCCCTCTTCTGCCATTCACTTATGTGTTAGTCTGTTCTCATACTGCTGTGAAGCAATACCTGAGACTAGGTAATTTGTAAAGAAAAAGAGGTTTAATGGACTCACATGGCTGGGAGGCCTCACAATCATGGCAGAAGGTGAAAGGGATCAAAGGCACATCTTACATGGCAGTAGGCAAGAGAGTGTGTTTAGCAGGGGTGGGTGTGGTGGCTCACGCCTGTAATCCCAGCACTTTGGGAGGCCGAGTCGGGTGGATCACCTGAGGTCAGGAGTTCAAGACCAGCCTGACCAACATGGTGAAACCCCATCTCTATTAGAAATACAAAAAATTAGCCAGACATGATTGTGGCAGGCGCCTGTAATCCCAGCTACTTGGGAGGCTGAGGCAGGAGAATCACTTGAACCCAGGAGGTGGAGGTTGCAGTGAGCCGACATTGCGCCATTGCACTCCAGCCTGGGTGACAAGAGCAAAACTCAGTCTCAAAAAAAAAAAAAAAAAAGTATGTGCAGATGAACTGGCCTCTCTAAAACCATCAGATCTTGTGAGACTTATTCACTATCATGAGAACAGCACGGGAAAAACCCACCCCCATGACTCAGTTACCTCCCACTGGGTCCCTCCCATGACACATGGGGATTATGAGAGCTACAATTCAAGATGAGATTTGTGTGGGGACACAGCCAAACCATATCAGCTTACTTGACTGAGTTTAGCCTAGGAGCCAGAAAACTGTGTCCCATGGGCCAGATCTGGCCTGCTGCCTGTTTTTGTATGGCCTGTGAACTAAGAAAGGTTTTTACATCTTTAAATGGTAGATAGTGAATCAAAAGGAGGGTATTTTGTAGTACTCAAAGATTCTATGAAATTCAAATTTCAACATTCATAAAAATGTTATATTGGAGCAGAGCCCTGCCCATTCATTTCCATATTATTTATGGTTGCTTTCATGCAATGGTGCAGTTTGGTAGTTGCAACAGAAACCGTATGCCCTGCAAAGGCTAAAGTCTCTACTATTTAGCCCTCTACAGAAAAGGTTTGTGGGCACTGTGTTAGTTACCTTGGCCTTTTTTTCTCTTCTCGTATAGTCAACACCTCTGTCTCCCTCAAGACCTTGGCTCTAGTTGTTCCCTCTACTTGGGACGTGCCTTCTTTCCAACTCAGCTCAAATATCTTTCCTTCACTTTCTGTCCACATAAGCTTGGGTGTGTTAATAGGTTAATGGTATCAGCTATCTCCAAGTATTTATTTATTTGGTTATTTACTTAGTTTGCTTCTCCCATTTGAATGTAATGGGGAGAAAGCACTTAAAGAAGCAATTCTCTCTTGCTTGCTACCTAGAAAGCACCTGGCATGTACTGGGTGCTCTACAAATGTTGAAAGACTGCATGAAGGAGTGGAAGCCAGTGCCGAATCCTCTGCTATATCTGTGCCAGCACATCCTTGTCCCTAACAGCAAACTCGTTTTCTCCTTTGCATGAATTGTATTTTCAGTAAGCTGAGATAATTGGAATTTAAGGTAGGACTTTCCAAAATTAAGTTTATCATTTGTAACTTAATTTATTTCTTAATATTTTAAATAATCCCAAATAATCATCAGTACATTGCATGACACTCAGGGGGTAAGAAAATGAAACATATATACCAAAGGTAAAATTTCATGGTTTTTAGAAGTCGTCCTCCCATGTATACCCTCTTCTGCTCTACCCTTATAGCACGCAAGGATCTGTATAGTCCAAATTTTAAACATTCAATTTGCAACTCATTTTTAGGAACACATTTCGTAAAGGAGAGGTTGAGGAACGGATGTGTTCATATCTCCCTCTCCTCTCCACTTCTTTCTATGCACACAAAGACACACACATGAGATAGATGTGCTGTCGGTGTATATATCTTTGGATAATTTTTCCCCTGAGGGAACCAGTCCAGTGCAGGAGCCACGGAACTATCCAAATAATGTGTATGAATGAGCCACAGCCTTCCACATACAGCCTGTTTTTTTTTTTGTTTTGTTTTGTTTTTGAGAAGGAGTCTCGCTCTGTAGCCCAGGCTGGAGTGCAGTGGCATGATCTCGGCTCACTGCAAGCTCTGCCTCCTGGGTTCACGCCATTCTCCTGCCACAGCCTCCTGAGTAGCTGGGACTATAGGCGCCCACCACCACGCCTGGCTAATTTTTTATATTTTTAGTAGAGACGGGGTTTCACCATGTTAGCCAGGATGGTCTTGATCTCGTGACCTCGTGATTTGCCCCCCTCGGCCTCCCAAAGTGCTGGGATTACAGTCACGAGCCACCGCGCCTGGCCCAGCCTGTTCTTTACTTCCCAGTTGTACTGCGTGGACCACGTGAACACTTTCATGTGATCACACCTAGGATTAAGGGTGAATGTGGCTGGCCTCCAAGCAAGATTTGTGTTATAGAACGGACTGTCAAAAAGTGAGCACTCTGTGCATTTCATTGTTGACCACAGATGTTTATTTTGGAGACTCAAAAATTGCTAAGAGGATGCTGATTGTTTCAGGGCAAACTTTTGTAAGGATTGCCACAGTTCCTAGCAGGGCATCCTTGCAGCTATCTCCGCTCTCTTCCTAGCCAGTTCTTCTGGTTCACCATTTTGCTGAGTTCCTTCTCTGGGTTGGTCACTGTGGATTCACCAGCAAGGGATACCTGAAAGATCATTTCTGTCCTCAAGGAGCTCACCGTCTGGTTTGGGGAGACAGATGGGCATGTTGGCTATCACCATACGGAGATGGTAGGTGTAAGACGCTGCTGCAAGGAGCAGCCTCACTTGGCTGGAGCCAGGGATGGTTTCTGGCAGGAAATGATGCTTGGCTATGAGTAGTGAGATGGGGAGCAGACAGAAGAGCAGCCTGAGCCAAGCTGCTGTCCAGCGGGTCATCATGAAAAGCCAAACCCTTTGGTGTGGTTGGAACCATGGGTGACTGACTGGTGTGGCTGAAGGGAAGGGGAGCCAGGCAGCCCCAGACCAGATCCTGGAAGCTTGACTCCTTGCTGCCTCCAGAGTGATGGACCATGGAGACCGACCTTCCATTCTTTGTCTTCAAAGAGGTGATGTTATGTGTTGGGGCATTGATCGTTGTGTGCTTTAGTGGCCCAGGATGGGACCGCACGGAGTAGCCTTTGCTTTTGCAGAAAGCTGTCAGTAAGTCTTTGCTTGTTGTGTGGTTATTACCAGAACATGGACTTTGAAGTCAGATGCTGGTTCCACTGAGAAAAGATTTCTGACTCTGGGAAATTGCTTGGCCACCTCTGCCTCAGTTTCCTTATTTGTCAAAGGGGCATAGTTATAAGATCCGCGTTATAAGGTTGTTCTGAGCATTAAGTGAGTTAATGCATGTATAAAACACGTAGTAAGCACACATTCAATGCTAGCTGTTTGTTACTGCCATTGCTGTTATTTAAGTTATTATTCTCCAATCCCAGCTAATGCTATTTTGTGAAAAGTTTAACTCTTGCCATCGAGAGTCAGTTGTGGAATAAAATTGAATAAGAGGTAGCAGTTTTAGTGTGTGTTTTTATTTTGTTTTACTGAACAACCTCCTAAAATGTGCACCATACTTGTTTAATTACATTTCCCTGCTTCTTGCCCGCCAGTTTCGAAAACAGGAATCACCATATTAGCATGGTAATGTTGCAATAATAATCTATCGAGTCTGTGTAAATAAGGAACATCTGTGCAATATTTATGACCCATAAAACGCTGTTATGCTCTAAAATGTTGTTCTAATCCCAAGTAGGTCATTGTGATGTAGCCACGATCTGAGGACCCTCCTGGGCCCTCTGTTCTGCTCGCTGTGGTCTGTGCCAGCCAGCCCAGATGGGAATGGGCAGTGCCACATGGCAGTTGGCAAAAGTTAGGCTCCTGAGGGTTTTTTTGCCCATCAGAGCAAAAAATGAGTTGCTTTTTTGCAGGAAAAATGGGGAAAAGGTGCTTTTAAAAAAAAATCAGGAACAGCCAGCTTTCAGTTGTGTGCACAGGCTTGGATGCTCTGTGGATTCTGGAGAGGAAGTTTGAAGCTCTGCTTGGTTCCTTGGCATTTGGAGCGTCTGGGTTGAGTGTCTTACCAATTTTGCTTGGGTATCCATGAAACTCTGAGTCAAAGTTGCAGCCAAATCTTAGTAATTTTAAGTAAGATGATTTCTGTTATACCTGTCTTTCTCTTTGCTCTTAATTTTCTTCAGTTTATCCTAATTTCCTTATTTACATTCTCATTGGATCATCTGTGTTTTTATTAATGACCGTATAACTTCTTTAATGAATGTGTCAGGGTAACATAGAGCTCTTTCTCCTTCATGTCATTTGTTGTGTTCTTCAAGTCTGCAAACTCATTTACATGTTTGCCTACGAAAAACGCAAGCAGAAAGCTAGATATAATGTGTGCTCAAACCAAGTTCTGAACAGTGTACACAGAAATCAGCAAAATTTTTCTGCAGAGGATCGGATTATTAATCACAGGCAATACATCGACACAGAAATGGCTCTGCTCCAGGAAAACTTTATTTACAAAAACAGACAGCTGGCCCCCTCTGGCCGTGATTTTCTCATCCTTCCATTAGTATAATGTAAGTATAGAAAATTCACTAGTTGGCTGGACACAGTGGCTCATGGCTGTAATCCCAGCACTTCGGAAGGCTGAGGTGGAAGGATCACTTGAGGCCAGGAGTTTGAGACCAACCTGGGCAAGATAGCCAGACCTTGTCTCTACGTTTTTTTTTTTTTTAAAGAAAATTCACTGGTTACTAAGTGTCCACCTTGGTGAATTGCTATCACAAGGTGAGTTTCGTGAAACCACCACCAAGGCCAGGAAGCAGTACAGGGCCAATATCTTAAAGTCCCTTATACTGGCACCTTCCTGGGTGTTACCCCTCATTTCACCTCAATGTTAACCACTATTCTGGCTTCTAAACATAATAAATACACTTTGTTTTCCATTAGATCTTGTATATGAAAACACTGTAGATTAAAAAAAAAATATTCTTTCAAGGCTGACTTCATGGGTGGGTAAGTGTAGGCTTACCTGTTGACTGGCTTTATATCACCATGATCAAATTATTGATAAGCCCTTTGAGCTTCAGGCTTCTTTTACCAGTAAAATGGAGATGATCATGTTTGTGTTGGGGCTGCCAAGAAAAATCAACAAGATGCCATATGTGAGATTCTTAGCAAAGTCCTGTGTAAAGAAACCACTTAATTTTATTTATTCTTATTGCCTTATCCATGCCAGCAAGCACCTCTTTGGATGCAGCAAGATGCCAGTCTTTGGGACCGTTGCTAACTCTAAACAGAGAGTAGTTATTAATCAACTGGACTTATTTGTGTGTCAGTAACCAAGCCTGGTCCGTCTCAGCGTGGTCAACTTCTTTCAGATTTATTCCGGCTGTTGGATGCCTCCGTGAGGCCTCAGTTGGTGCTCAGTTTTCCCAGGACACCAAACAAATAGCCGTTGTGGGGGTTTCCTGGCATGGAGACCTCCCTGCTCGTTGGTATTCTGGTGGCTTCTTGCTCACACATAAGCACTTGTCTCCTGGGCCCACGTCTGTTCTGCTGTATGGGCTGGTGGGTTGCACCGGGCAGGCCTGTTTCCTGCAGGGGCCTTTTGAGTTGGTCTTTTTCTTTTTCTTTCTTTTTTTTTTTTTTGCAGGGGGAAGTAAGAAGGGATTGACTCCTTTCTGGGTCAACTTACCAGTGTCTCTGTTAGCAGCTCAGCAGCTTACACCACATGGCAGTGCTGGATGTCATCAGATTAGGAATGACTCCATCTTGACCAATTTGTTTGGAGATAGGGGGCCTTGACATGGTCGGGGCGAAAAACAGCGACCACAGACATGAAGCATACCTTGGGGGCACAAACCTCCGTCCTCACTATCAAAGCACCTCTACTTCCTCCTTCCAGAAAGGAATACTTAGCAAGATCATTATGGACATCTGAGAGTATATTATATGGAAGGAGTGCTCTGCAGCCAGAGAACAATGTTGTAAAACACAAAGTGCCCTTCTGAAAGGCATTTTCTGTGTGGCTTGTGAGCAAGTAAGTTTTCCCTTCATGTGGAAAGGGCGTAATGAGGAGAAGAGAAAGGGAGAAAGGAAATTGAAATTCCATGTGGCAGGCATCACGCCAGGTGCTTTGACAAACATTATTTTCTGAAATCCTCATGCCAACTCTGAGAAGCAGATATGATGCCTGCCATTTTATAGATGGAAAACTGAGGCTCAGAGAAGCTGGGTGAATTGCCCCAGATAGGCAATGATGACTCTGCAGCAGGTGCCAGTGTGTGCCCTGTCCACATCCTTTGGGCCTTACCACTGCAGTATGCACCAGCCGACTTCCAATTGCATCTCTTTCTCCAAAGCTAGAAAGTAGTATCCACCCCCAGCTCTCATGGCATGGTTGGTGGGAGTTGGTGTATAAATACCTCAGCTCCCTCACCCCTCAGGTGGGAGAACTCTGGGGTGTGTACTCTACACTGGATGTCAGGGTGCCCTGGTGGAGTTCAGCTCTATTTGCTGACAGCGATAACTGGCTTGAGAACACACCCTTCACTGGCTTCTTTCTTTCTCTTTATCACTTGGCCTCTCCTTAACCAGTGCCCCCTAGGATTACCTTCCAAATAAATGATTTGTTCCCTTATCCTCATCTTAAGTCAAATGCTAATAATAATGGCAACAAAACAGTCATTTTGCTGATTTTTACTGAGCGGTTACTATGTCCCAGGTGCTGTGCTAAGCTGTTGAGATGGATTTTGTCACTTACTGCACAATATAAACCATGTGAGAGAGCTGAGCACAGAGAGTTTGAGTGACTTGCCCAAGGTCACACAGCTAGAGTCAAACCATTGGTAGAGCCAAGATTCTTCTTCTAGATTTTCTGACTCCATGTTCACTGCTCCCCACAACTGGCTTCCTATTTTACACAAGGTGTCCTTGGTGAGTACCAGTATTGTTATAGAGTAGAATTGTTTCAGGAAGTGCTTGTACCCCTTGGGGTGCCTTGCAGCTCTGACTGCTCAGGCCCTGGAGTGAGGTCTGGCTGTGTAGTTTGGGGTCATAGGAAGTTTTGATGGGAGCACGAACAGAATGGGGGAGATGAAATGATAGGCAACTACCATATAATTTGTGCTGCTTTGAATTGGACTAAAGGCCAGATGTTCTTTGTTGGTAAATATTGCATTAAAGACCTTCTCCATGCTAATGACTCCCGAATTTGTATCTCCAGTACAGAACCCTCTCCAGAGCTCTTGCCTCCAATATTTAACTGCGTGGCATTTCCACTTATATGTCTAACATTCATCTCACATGGAACTTGTCCAGAATTGAACTCCTAATTCTCCAAACCAGCTCCACCCTCAGACTTCCTCATGTCAGTCAATGGCAACTGCACACGTCCACTTGCCCTGGCCAAGTTGCCCTAGTCTTTCTTGATTCCTCTCTATGTCCCATACCAACATCGAATCCATCAGCAAGTCCAATGTGTTGTCTTCAAACTACATCCAGAGTCCCCCCACTCTCGCCACCTCCACTTGCGAGCCACCTGGCCAAGCCACCCTCTTTTCCCCTGGGATTATTAGAAGGGCTTCCTAATCAGTCTTCCTTCTTCTGCCTTGTCTTGACAGAATCTACTCTCAAGATGGCAGCCAGAAAGGCTCACTGCAAATCAGAATTGGATCATGTCCCTCCTCTGCTCAGAACTCACCCAAATTCCTCCATCTCACTCAGCAAAACCACAGTTTTTGTTGGAAAACTTGGAAGGGCCCATGACTATTTAGTCCCTGTAACCCATGCATGCTCCAGCCTCTGGGCCCAGTTGCTTTTCCTTGAACACATCAGGCACACTCCCACCTTGGAGTCTTTGCTCTACTTGTTCTTCCCTAGGATACCTGCTTGGCTAACTCCCTTGCCTCCTTGGAGTCTGAAAGCATACTTCTCAATAAGATGACCGATATATAACTTGCCATCCAAACCAGGACACTTTTGAGATACAAAGGTAGCACTAAAAGAAACTAATTGACATTAATTGGTCTACAACTGGAATAAGCCAGGAGTGACTGTCCTGGGAAAATTAGTGAGTCTCCTTCCCCCACCAACTACTTAGTTTAATACTGCAAAGTGCCCACTCCCTCCCACCATAATCAGCTATGGGTTGGCTTGCAGAGGGAGTCAGTTAAGGTTCTACCTTTACAGTGTACTTTATTATATTTCTCGTAATTGTCTGTTTCTGCTTCCCATCCCCAGTAAGATGTAAATCCAAGAGGGCAGGGATTTGTATCTTTTGTTTGTTTGAGACACGGTCTCACTCTGCCACCCAGGCTAGAGTGCAGTGGCATCATCAGGACTCACCACAGCCTTGACCTCTCAGGCTCAAGTGATCCTCCTGCCTCCACCCCCTCCCCAAGTAGCTGGGACTACAGGTGTGTACCACCATGCCTGGCTATTTTTTTTTTTTGTATTTTTAGTAGAGAGACAGTGTTTTGCCATGTTGCCCAGCCTGGTCTCAAACTCCTGGGCTCAAGCGATCCTCCCGCCTTGGCCTCCCAAAGTGCTGGGATGATAGGAGTGAGCCACCGTGCCCAGCCTGTGTCTTTTTTTTTAATTGCTGTGTCCCAATGGCTTAAAACAGTGGCATGTGATAGGGATTCAGCAAGTAGGTGTTGAATGCATGGATGAAGGGGCAGAAGGCTTCTGACAACTGATGCATCACATCCAGCTACCATCTCTGCCTGAACCCTGACCAAGGAGCTGATTAATGTGGGTGTACCCCTCCTTGAATCTCAAAATGTTCAACAAAGAGCTCTCACTGCAAGCCAGGCAGGGAAGCCCTTGTGGCTGGTGTCTCTCAATGATCTCAGACACTCCAGTGTAGCTGTAGCAAATTTTTCCATTGGATGATCAATGACTGAAGAGGAACTGATGAGATCCTGGCACTCTTGCTGTATAAAGAGTATGTAGGCTTTAATCCTCCCTCCTCCATCCAAGTCAGCATTGGGTTTGATCCAACCATTCACTCTCTTTGTCCATTGTAAACCATGGCAGGAAATTTTAAGATGGTGGGGTGGGGTCTCAGGACAGGTTTTGGAACCATGGGCCAACACAGCCTTGGGAGAAGACTTTCTCCTCATTCATCATTTTATACCAAGATGCCAATTAGTCATCCCCTGAGTCTGTCTGTCTCTGTGCCATCCAGGCATCTGTCCATCTCTCCATTCATCAGTCATTTTAGCTCTTTGAGCTCAGAGCCCTAGATTCCAGTCTCCTTCTGTCATTAACTTCCCAGGAAACCACAGGCACCCGCTCCCTTTTTTGGGTCTCAGTTTTCTCATCTGTAAAATGGATGTTGCTAAGGCCCCTCTGATGCTGTAGCTCCTAATTCTGAGGTTCTGTTATGGACAAGCCTCCATGCCTGATGCAGGTGGAGCTTGTCCACTTGATCTGTGGTTCCTGTCCCCAGTGCTGATCAGGAAATAAGGCCTTTCATCTTTCCAACACCAGGAGCAAAGAGAGAAGCCCCCAAACAAGGTTCCTCCCAGCACAAGGACCCACCCAGCACTCCCCATGCCTTTCTCAATTTCAGGGAAGTTCAATGTTGCTTGGAGGTGTCGTGAATAGTGTGTAAAAATGCCCAGATAAAATGATGGACAGATTTCAAAGTGCTCCCAGGGAGGAATACTGAGAACAGGGATTATTTTTAAAAAGAGAGGAACTGAACAAGCGACTTGGCTCCCTTCACATATGTGGAAGTCTTGTGGTGAGGGCTCAGGCTGCTAATTTCTGAAGAGTGAGAAACCAATTTACATTAAAAAAATTTATTTTAATGTTTTATTTCTTTTTTTAAATCGACAGAAAAAATTGTATGTTTTTATCATGTACAACATGATGTTTTGACATATATAGACATTGCAGAATGGTTAAATCTAGCTAATTAACAAATGCATTACTTCACAAAGTTATCATTTTTGTGGTGAGAGCACAACATCCACCCTGTTTGCATTTTTCAAGAATACAATTTATCATCATTAACTAGAGTCACCATGCTGTGCAATAGATCTCTTGAAGTTATTTCTCTCCTAACTGTAATGATGTATCTTTTGGCCACCATCCCCCATCCTCTCCCTGCTAACCATCCCAGCCAATCGTACCATCATTCTACTGTCTACTTCTATGAGATCAACTTTTTTTTAGATTCCACATATGAGTGAGATCATGCAGTGTTTGTCTTTCTGTGCCTGGCTTATTTTGCTTGACATAATGTCCTCCAGGTTTATCCACATTGTTGCAAGTGACAGGGCTTCATCCTTGATATGGCTGAATGGTATTCCATTGTGTATATTTACCACATTTTCTTTATCCATTCATCCACTGATGGACATTTAGATTGATTTTGTATCTTGGCTAACATGGGAATGCAGATATCTCTTCAACATATTGATTTTATTTCCTTTGGATATATACCCAGAAGTGAGATTGCTGGATCATATGGCAGTTCTATTTTTAATATTTTGAGGAACCTCCATACTGTTTTTCATAATGTCTGTACTAATTTACATTTCCACCAACAGTGTATAAGGGTTCTATCTTCTCCACATCCTCTCTAACACTTCTCTTTCGTCATTTTGATGAAAGCCATTCTAACGGAGTGAGATGATATCTCGTTGTAGTTGTAATTTGCATTTCCCTGATGATTAGTGATGCTGAGCATTTTTTCATATACCCGTTGGCCATTTGTATGTCTTTTTTTTTGGATCAATGTCTATTCGAGTCTTTTGCTCATTTTAAAATCAGGTTATTTCCTTGCTATATAATTGCTTGAACTTCTTATATAGTTTGAATATTAACCCCTTATCAGATGTACAGTTTGCAGATATTTTCTCTTATTCTGTGAGTTGTCTCTTCAGTCTGTTGATTGTTTCCTTTGCCATGCAGAAGCTTTTTAGTTCGATGCAATTCCATTTGCTTTTGAGGTCATATCCAAAAAAATCACTGCCCAGACCAATGTCATGGAGCTTTTCTCCTATGTTTTCTTCTAGTAGTTTTATACTACCCAAAGCAATCTAAAGATTCAGTGTAATCCCTATGAAAATACCAATGATGATCTTCACAGAAATAGAAAAAACACTCCTAAAATTTGTTTGGAATCACAAAAGTCCCTGAATAGCCAAAGCAATCTTGAACAAAAATAACAAAGCTGGAGGCATCACACTACCTGACTTCAAAATACTGTACATAGCTGTAGTAACTAAAGCAGCATGGTACTGGCATTAAATAGACACATAAACCAATGGAAGAGAATAGAGAACCCATAAATAAATCCATGCATTTACAGCCAATGGATTTTCAACAAAAGTGCCAAGAGCACACAATGGGGAAAGGACAGTCTTGCCAGTAAATGGTATTCGGGAAAGTGGATATCCATATGCAGAAGAATGAAATTAGATCCTTATCTCTCACCGTGTACAAAAATCAACTGAAAATGGATTAAAGACTTAAATATAAGTCCCAAAATGATGAAATGATTAGAAGAAAACAATTTTATGCTTTTATGGGGAATTAAGCAGTTTTCAGGAATACCTCACCTGTAAGGACAGTATTAATGGATTTACTACTTGGGTGTTTCCTTCCCCAAGACGTGAAGATATAGAATTGGAGTATCTTCTCACCTGCAAGGAACTTGCAGCAGTTCTTTTTTTGGGGAGAGGGATGGAGCCATCTCTAGAGGTTTCTCTACAAGCCACCTGATTCTGAGAGGCTGGCTTCATTCGCTCCTCTTTCCTGGTTATGAACCTCATGTTCTTGCTATAATTTATTCATCCTCTTGCCTTCTCTGTGCTGAGCTTGTTGCCAGCCTCTGTGGAAATTCAATCCCACTGCAGTTACATTGACCGATTGCGCTAATCTTTTTACAGAACTCCTCCCATAAACAGAACCAAATACCCAAATAGTGGCATGGTAGCATGCGACCTTTATTGAGACTTTCTTGAGGCCATGTTGTCTGAATCTGATTTCCATTTGTTTGAGGAGATAGGATGGGTATATATTTATGTATCCGGAGAGTCCTCTTTGTCTCTGTGGTTGTAATAATGTATAATGTGAGTTCTGGAATTATTTTATACTGTGTTTTTCTCCTGAAGGCAGGGAACTAACCTTTATACAGATAACACACTCACTTACATACCATTTTAGTACTTTTTTATTTGGAATAAAAGGGTAAACATAAGAACAATTCATTTATAGTTCCTTTGCCTTATTTATCTAGATTATGGAAAATAAGTAAAAATTTCTACCTCCTTAGCCCACTGGCTTTTCCACTTCACCTCATGCAAAGCTAATTATTATTTGCTATTCTGTGTGTATCCTTTCTGACTTTTTCCTATGGATATATTAACATATCTGTGTTTGTACACATGCATACTTTTTAAACAAAGTTTCATTCATACTATATATATTGGTGTCCACTATGTATCTCAAGATATTAGCTTCATGGAGAGGATGGTCAGAGGGATGATTCTGTTGTGTGCCTTCAACATGCCTTTGCCCACTCACTCATGTGTTTTGCACTAGGTAAATGCCCCTTGGTCTTAGGACAATGGAAGTATCTGGATTTAAACAATTGAGTGTTACCCTAAATTTTCTTGGCTAGCATACAACAGCATAAGAGGGAAACAGGGAGTAGATAAAACCTGGTTGAAGGGTAAAAATGTAGAACAAGTAGGTAAAAAAAAAATTGGGAAGTATTTAAGTAATACAATCTCCATTTCAGGTTTTGCAATTGAATGCCAAGTGTAGAATGTTAAATGGGACATTTTCAGAGCTTGGGAGAAGCTTGATATATAGTATGTAATTAAGAGGCTAAGGAGAATGCCATGTTTTATATCCTTTACTTGTCACTTGTGCAGATTTGATTTCAAATATGATTTTTGAGGTTACAAGGGTAATTAATTGTATAGTATCTTCCAGGAAATATCATTCACCTGAGTATCATCCTCTACATTGACAGGTCCAGAGGAAGAATGTGTGAAAGGAAATACAAGATGCTATGAATTTATTCACTTTATAAATGTTTATTAGGTAGCTACTATGTGCTGAGGACCTTGCTGCTCAGATTGGGGCACACAGTGGGGATGGCAAGGCATTGGGGAGACCTCACGTAGTCTAGCAGGGGGCAGAGAAGGCAAAAATGGGCTAAGCTACACTGAGATAGATCTGTGGGTCCAGATCAGGACAAGACGCCTGACTCAGCTCCATCACTTGTGTGCAATGAATTCATATGTATTTTTTTCTTGTCTAGTTATAGATTATTTTAAACAAGTAATACAAGCCCATTTGAGAAAACAAAGATACTAGGGGAAAAAGACAGAAGCAAAAATGATATCTGTTTGTGTTCCTACTACACAGTTAACCACTTTAATATTCTGGCATATTTCCTTCCATTTTTTTTTTCTTGGCTAACTTTTCAAGGTAGTTGTACACTTATTTACTTAGTCTTTGAGCCTGTGGTTCAACTTGAATATGAGACAGAGGCTTTTTCTGAGCAGTTCTGGTATTTGATGAAATAGTTGTTTCCATGACGAGGAATGAATCCCGAATGAAATATTTAAAAAGCTTCATCCAGATGTTGCAGTAAAAAGAAGCTCCAAATTCTTTATACTATTGCTGGCTCAAAAATATAGATGGCTTTATCAGGAGGGCTTCCTGAGCTCAGCCTTCTTCTCCATCTTCAGGAGAGTTGAGAGTTGTATCTCATCAGTCTCATTAGTCTTCAAGTTCTTGGTTTCTTTTTTTTTTTTTGAGACGGAGTTTCGCTCTTGTTGCCTGGGCTGGAGTGCAATGGCACAATCTTGGCTCACTGCAACCTCTGCCTCCCGGGTTCAAGTGATACTCCTACCTCAGCCTCCTGAGTAGCTGGGATTACAGATATGTGCCACCATGCCTGGCTAATTTTTTGTATGTTTAGTAGAGACGGGGTTTCTCCATGTTGGTCAGGCTGGTCTCAAACTCCTGACCTCAGGTGATCCTCCTGCCTCAGCCTTCTGAAGTGCTGGGATTGCAGATGTGAGCCACCACACCTGGCCAAGTTCTTGGTTTCTTAATTTTGATGTACCTATGGAGGGAAGTAACTAGAAAAGTAAGGCTACATGGTTTGTTTATTCATATCTGGAGTCAGTTCCTGGATTCAGTTTCTAGTTCTCAGATGAATTACTAAAACTTTCCAAGACTCAGTTTTCTTGCCAGGAAAGTTGGTATTCCCCCACCCCCACCTCTTTATTAACTCTCTTTATTAGAAGCTTTCTGTTCCTATGCCATGGAGTCCATGCCTTTTTTTTTTTTTTTTTTGTTTGAGACGGAGTTTTGCTCCTGTTGCCCAGGTTGGAGTGCAATGTGCAATGGCACGATCTCAGCTCACCGCAACCTCCGCCTCCCGGGTTCAAGCAATTCTCCTGCCTCAGCCTCCCTAGTAGCTGGGATTACAGGCACAAGCCACCATGCCTGGCTAATTTTGTATTTTTAGTAGAGATGGGGTTTCTCCATGTTGGTTAGGCTGGTCTTGAACTCCTGACCTCAGGTGATCTGCCCTCCTAGGCCTCCCAAAGTGCTGGGATTACAGGCGTGAGCCACCACACCCGACCAGTCTATGCCATTTTTTACCACACTGAAGTGCTAAGATTAGATACATATTCTTGAATATTTAGATGGAGTCTTCAGGACATCTCAGATGCACTGTGATCCATTTATTCTCTTCTTAAATGTGAGGTTCAGCATGAAGGCAGATCACATCTGCCTTCATCTCTAGGTAGGCAGGACACTCCATTGTACCAACTCTGTAACAGTTTTCTCCTAGGGTCACCTTTCTCCCCAGTGCGGAGTGAGCTTTGGGCATTTGAAGACCCTGTGGAAGGCCGGACACAGTGGCTCATGCCTGTAATCCCAGCACTTTGGGAAGCCGAGGAGGGCAGATTGCTTGAGGCCAAGAGTTCAAGACCAGCCTGGCCAACATGGTGAAACCCCATTTCTACCAAAAATACAAAAATTAGCTGGGCATGGTGACACGTGCCTGTTGTCCCAGCTATCTGGGAGGCTGAAGCACGAGAATCACTTGAACCTGGGAGGTGGAGGTTGCAGTGAGCTGAAATGGTGCCACTGTACTCCAGCCTGGGCGACAGAGCGAGACTCAATCTCCAAAAAAAAGAAAAAGAAAAGACCCTGTGGAAGTCGTGACAACCGTTGTGATTATAGCTGCTGGGAAAGCAAAGTTGGCCCCAGAAACAGGAGGCTTCAGCAGCTGGCTGAGTATTAGGTGGGGATGGAGACCGTTATCCTTTACTGGTCAGTTCTGAGTTGTCTGTTGATCGACTTGAGAGTGTTATTTATTTTTTGTCTCAGGGTGCCATAGCTTATGCAAATAATGAACACTGGAGAGGGCAGCCTTTCGAGTGTGGCTACCTAGGGAGCAAACTCCTTGGCTCCAGCCGGTTGCTGCCATAGAGGATCTTGGGCCCAGCCTTACCCAGGCTTCTCATTGCAGAATGAGAATGTGTACTTCCAAGGTTTTATGGGAAATCTCCTAATTTTAAATGTTGGCTAAGTTTTTAAACAAAGATTCTATTGCGTGGATCCAATAGAACCTCAGTGTGAGTCACTAGTCAGATGAGGATTATCTGGAAATTCTTTTCTGGTCTTTACAGTTTAATATTCTGCATTTCCCTTCACATCTCACGGATGTTCACACGTTTCTTCCCTGGACCCTTCACAAGTCTCCTCTTTGAATGAATGCAGGCTGTTGCCATTTTACCTTCCAAAAAGGGAGACTTAGAGACCACGGTGTTCCAGATGCTGTGCAGCAGATCTGGTGAACTGTCATCTTGCAAAGAGAAATACAGTAATGGTAGATGAGGGTTATGATTTATGCTGTTACGGCAGGAACCATCTACCACGTGACATGCATGGTTGCTAAGTGAGAAAGTGCTAGGGCCTTTCACACATGTTACCTCATTTAATTTTCACAACTGTACAATGAGTGAGGTGGTAAATTACCTCCACTTCATGAAAGTTCTGAGAGGTTCAGTTGCTTGCTCAAAGACACACAACTGATAAGGGACACAGCCCAGTTTTCTCACTTGTCTCTTTCACTCTTAAATAGGCTGTTCCTCACCCATTCATTGAGGTGTTATTTCCTCCTATCCCAGGCCTTCTCAAATACCTCCCTTGACTGTGCCTTATACATTGTCTGTTATAATTACCTTTCTTGAGAATCATAGTATTTGGTTGGCTTTTCTCCAGTGAATAGAATTAACCTAGTGCAAGCAGTTTTTCAAAGCATATAATGAGCCTTTTAAAACTTGAATTTTCATGACAAAGTTTATTTTGTTGAAATATAAAAGAAAGGCAAATATTTACTAATTTTTGCTTTATTAAAACATAATGCACAGGGGCATATTTTTAGAAATGATAAATCATTTTCTTCACAAAGGGATCTTGGGTAGAAAGAAACATACCACATTTAAAAATTATATACTATTCTATAATTGCACAAATCAAATATGTGTATTATTTGTAATTATATTGGTAATATATGTAATTACATGAGAAAACAATTAGAGCAAGCTGCATTCCAACAGAACATGGATCTAGATTTTTTTCTTTCCCCCAGTTATTCTGCAGCATTAATTTGTCTTGCAGAAGTAAGAGGATCACACAGACATTTTAAAAAACAACATCTCTGACCTACCTCAAGCACGTTAAAGATTTCTTGAGCAGATACTACTGATGTTTTGCAATCTTGGAGGTGAGAGTAAAGCCCATCTTATTTCTTCACTTCTGCGGCTTTATTTTTCTTGCCTATGAAAAAAGGTAGCAGACAGTACATTTTTGAGGCATATGAACCCTATACCAGTGCTACACCTCAGCCTTCAGAGTGGTTCTGCTATGGGAAATTTCTTCCTGAAAAATCAACCCACATATTCTTTACTCCCTCTATAAAAATAGCTGGGATGGTTTTGGGGTTAATGAGCAATGACCCACTGGATGGGAACACCTCTTCTTTTAAGAAACTCAGGAATTATGTGGAGCATAATTTAAGTCTGTGATCTCAGGGGAGATTTCTCGTGGAATCATTCATTCATCAGGTATTCACAGAGCACATGCTGTGTGCATCCATTGCTGTGCTGGGTGCTGGGGTTGCAGAGATAACATATGGTGGATGAGAGACATACAACAACAGTGCTGAGAGAATCATGGGGCAAGAACTAGGGGAGTCTGAAGAAGAGGGGTCCAGGAGGCCTCAAAAGTTGGGGATGGGGTTGAAAGGAGTAGGGAGACATTATTGAGATGGATACTTCTTGCCCCAGGGATGCGATGGAGGGTTGGTGAGAACCGTTCCAGGCAGAGTGACAAATGTGCTAGGACAGTGACATGTGAACAATTGAAGCATATATTTAATATGAGGATATGCAGATTGATTTTGTGGAGTTGGGAGTGAAGGGCAGGTGTGAGGGTGTGGCCAAGATGAGGTTAAACATGGAGGCAGATCCCCCCACCCAACCAGCCCAGGGTATGGAAATGTCAATGCTCTGTGTAGATTGCACGTGTACACTTCCATGACACCTATTGCAGCTTCCACAGACAGAGCCCTTGCTTTGCTTGAAGAGGTCTTGGGTAGATTTAAAGTCTCATCATGGCTATAGAGTTATTCATGTTTTCTAACCTGATAGGAAGAATCTAGATGGGTCAAATGGTGTGTGTGGTGATTTCTGGGTGAGAGTGCCAGGTTCTGTGATCCTGCTTTGGCTTGGAGTAGATGAAAGAATTTTTCAGCCGAAGGCACCTTGGAAGTCTGTCTGCAAAGAGAGGTCGATGAATGAAGCTGCCCTTGGGAGATGGGTTTTGTAGACAGCTAGCAGCTCTGGGCTCTGTTGGCCCATGATGAAGAAGGGATGCTCTTGGGAATAGACAGAGAAACATGATGCAGAGCTGTTTTGCTCCCTGTTCTGTCTTCTTATGCTTTTCATCAAATTCTCCAATATAGACTTGAAATGTTAGCAAACAAGAGGCTGTGGGATGTGTTATTGAATTTTACCTCTGTTGGTCATAATATAAATATTACTTAATTCCTTCATGTGCTCAGCAAACATTTATGGAGCACCAGGCTCTGGGCACAGGGGCTTCCATCTCTGCTATTGAGAAGTCCCTGGTCTGATGGGGGAGGTAGAATGAGTTGTTGAGGGATTTCTGACGAAGCGATGTGTAGGATGATGATGATGATGGTTGGCGTTTATTGAGTTTCTACTGTGCAACAAGGATTATCCTCGTGTCCATTTTATGAGGGGAGTACTGTTGCTTTCCATTTTGCTGATGAGGAAACTGAGGCATGGGAGGTTTCTAGTAAGTGAGGGAGCCACATTTCAGACCCAGGGAAGGTACTAAGCTCCAAGCTGCAGGGCACATAGGAGGACACAGTTTCATCTTGGGGGAAGGGGGCACCAAGACAGGTTTCTTAGAGCTGATGCCCCTCGAGTAGGTTCTGAAGGAGGAGCAGAGGTACCTGGAGAGAAGACATGAGGTAGAACATGCTTGGCTGAGGTCCCAGCTCTAGTGAAACATGACAGTGGATGAAGCTGGTTAGTGATCACTGATGCTTCAGTGGAAGGCAGGTTGGGCGAGTGAGATGGGAGTCAGAGAAGTTCACTGGAGCTGCCCTGGGAAGGCCTTGGCTGCTGGCCAGAGATGCTCTGTCTTCCTTTTAGGGGACTTAGGATGACCTGTGAATATAGTTCCATCGTATTGACAGCTGAGGGCATCTCTGGAGTCCCATTTCAATCCTTCTAAAGTAGGGTCCACAGGGGCAGCTCTGGAAGGTTTTGTGGAAGTGTGCACAATTCAGGGGCCCACTTTAAGAAAAAGAAGACAGCATTTCAGATACCAAATTAGCACCGGGCTTTGAAAGGGGCCCATGCAAGTGAGAGGACCCGAGGTGTCAGCTTCCCTAGTGGCATGCTCAGTACCCCCAGACAGTCTTTTTCATCAACATCATGTTTGTTTCTACACCACTGCAGAAGAACAATAGTTTATGTGTTTTGGGGTGATTTTTTTTTTTTTTGGTTCAGAAGTGAAGAGTCTTTATTTTGTCGTGACATCCACTAGTGTTTGGAGAGTGGCCTAATCACAATCTCATCCCAAGATATCTCCTGGAATTGGCTAACTGTGGTTATTCTGAACACAGAATCATCTTATGCATTCACATATGGCCTCCTTGAACATCTATTTTTTTCACTACATAGGGTCTAGAGATGGTTGATATTCAGGACATAATCCCCAAAGCATTCCTGCCTTGCTAAATTTCAGTTTGTATGTCTTTCGTCAAATATTTGGCTTAGCTGGGACTGGTTGGCATATTGTGTTAGCTCAAAGTGATTTATTGTCTCAGCGTCATCCATTCAATACAGAGAGGTAATATTTAGTGTGTCAGTGGGGATTATGTTGTAATCTCAAGAAAAATGTAGGAAGTTGGGTAGAGAAAAAAAGTCCAAGAAGAAGAACCAAGTAGTTATTAAAATCGACTTTTCTAATATATGCTCATTCGCTGAGAGTTACATCCACGACTTCATTTCTCATCAAAAACTCTCAAAGAGCCAATTTCCAGTAGTTCTTATCCCTCCTTGCAGCTGAATATTTGGGGGTATTTTAAAGTGATATCATAAAAAAGATTGAAAACGAAGTCCTATAAATGATCTTTAATCAACAGACTCTGTTGCTTTATGGAACAGAAAACAGTGAACAAAAGACTATGATTTTAATTCAAGGAAAGAGAGCTATTTATTTTAAGTATTTCTGCAGAATGGCAGAAGTAATTTATTCAGTTATAATTAGACACATTGTAAAATGGACGATTGTGAAAAGAGTGATTCTTGCTGGCTTTGGAGAGCTGGAGAAGGCTCTTCTGTGTGATTCTCTGTTATCTGGTCCCAGATCCTGGTGCCAGAAATTAATCTGTGAGCCAGGGCTGAACCAGATAAAAATGGAAGCTGAAAGTGTTCACATTCTCTTTTTCATCCTGAAAATGGGCTTTCCTTCTTTCTGTCTTGATAAGAAACTCCTGCAGCAAGTATTTAAATTGGAGAATTGCTTGGGTATGAGATGGTTTAACAGTATGTAATAGAAAAATCCTTGAGTTCTTCAGTCAAGGGGAAATTATGTGTGCATCTGAAGTGAATTGTGGCAACTTAAGAAGCCTATGCCATTTGGGGCTGCATTAATAGAGATATAGGAAACAGATCAGTGAAGGTGATTGATAGTTGGAAATTCTTGCTTTCTTTCAACAAGCTTGGAGTAGATGAAAGGATTACACATATAGGAAACCTTCAATAATCTACTTTATTCTAGTCAATAAATAAAGAAATAAGTAAATAAATACATAAATAAAGTAGATTATTGAGGGCTTCCTATGTGTCAGGACTAGGGAGACATTGGTGAACAACATAGACATGTTTCCTTGTTGATCAGACATTTTGGAAGGAGACAGATAAATGGGCAGAAAATTACAAAACAGCAGGAGATACCATGAGAGGAGAAGTCTAGTGTTTCATTAGAAGCAGAGGGTAGGGGTGAGGCAGAGGGAACAGCCTTTGCTGTGGCTCAGAGGTGAGCCAGCATGGCATGTTGTGGGAACAAAATGCCCAATGTGGCTGGAGCACAGAGTTGACAGGTATGCTGTAGCATCAGAGGTGAGGCCAGTGGGGTGAATGGTCAGATCCTGCAGATCCTGGGGGTAACTGATGACTGCATTCCCAGAGCAGTGGAAGCTGCTTATAAATTTTAAGCAGTGATGTGTTGTGACCAACTTTTCTTTTTGAAAACATCACTTTTTTTTTTAATTCAACGGTTTTTAGTATATTCAGAGTTGTGCAATCATCATCACAATCCATTTTAGAACGTTTTCACCACCCCCAAAAGAAACCAGGTACCCATTAGCATCATTCCCTGTATCACCCTACCTCCAGCCCCAGGCAACCGTTAACCTCCTTTCTGTCGCTATGGATTTGCCTATTCTGGACATTTCATAAAAATTGACTCATACATCACTTTTGATTCCATGCCAGGAAAATGGATAGAGTGGGTAAGGTGGTAGAAGTAAGACTAGTTAGGAAAACTTCCCTGAGAAAGATAATAATGCCAGGAGAGAGATGTTGGTGACCTTGTTGGGAGTCATTGCAGTGGGGATAGAAGGGATTAGGTGGCTGTATCTGAGAACCTGTTAGGAGGAAGAATGAATAGGAAGGTGATTATTTGTGTGTTTTGGGAAGAGAGATCAAGGATGGTGCCCAGTTGGGAATTGGGTAGGATCCATCCTCCAATGCAGTGTTTGGGTATATGGGGACAAGGCCACGAGCTCAGGTTTGCATGCATTCAGAGTGTGAGTGCTCAGGGATGTTGTGGTCAGGGTGTCTGGTGAGCAGTTGAGTATTTGAGTCTGAAGCTTGGATAGAGGCTGAAATTTTAGACCTTGGAGCCATTGGCACAAAGTTGATCACTGAATCGTGGAAGTGGATGGATATCTGTGCATTGAGAAGGGCCGAGGGCAGCCTGGTTGCACTGGAAGTATGGTGCCCCATCCTGGACCCTTGCTCTATGTAGCTGTGGATGGAAGAACCAGAACCCAAAAGTCCCAGCAGGCAGATGCTCACTTGGCAATGGGTTCCTTGGAAGGTGGAGAGTTTCCTGTTACCAGATGTAGCAGCACCTTGTGACCCTATAGAAGGCACTCATGCGTTAGGTGGGATTGCTGCTTATGTGAACTCTAGACACCATCCTGGTCTGGTCTTGTTTGCTCCAGTTGAATGGCCATTTTTGATGGAAGTGCCCACATCAAGCAAGGTCCCTTGGTTGATTCTGCTGTCTGTCTGCCTCTTTCTGTGTCTACTTGCTTCCCAGATCAGCTTGGATTCCATAGATATCATATCCACCATTCTCTTTTTTGGAATCCCAGTACCCTTTCCTTAGATCTCTATCTCAACCTTAACACCTGGACAAACACAGCTCTTTCTCTTTTCTTCCCTTTTATCAGGTGGCTAGATACTGCTAGAGAAAAGTCCCTCAGACCTAAAAAATGTGGCCTCTGTAAATGTGTGGTGCCCAGCCTTACCTGTGTAAACCTCTTCAGTATTACCTAGGTGCTGTCATGCTGGGCTTGGCATTTGGTGGGCACTTGGTAAGTTTTTGTTGAATGAATGAATGCACAAGTGTGTAAGTTTTAGATTTTATTCAAGGGCCGAGTTAGCAACCCTGTGAGCCCTTTAGGCAGTTAAAAAACCAGACCTGAGATTTAGAGCCAGTGAGCTGTTGAATTTTTATTAGATCAATTTGCTGAAGACTCTGGAAAGTTGAAGGGAGGAGGGAGAGGGATAGCAGAAATGGGCACCACTTACCTTTGTCTAAGAGTTTCAGGAAGATCAGGTAGGGGGATTGTTGGGAGTAACCCAGGGTGAAGAGGAGGGAGGCTTCTGATCACCACCCCTGAACATTGTCCTGCTCATCAACACCGTTCCTTATGGGGAGAAGAGGAGCCGTGGCAGGGCAGGGTCTCTTGGAAGGTGCCCCCGGTTTGAATCCAGCTCAGCCCCATGCTGCCTGTTGCTGTTAGACAAGTTCTCTGGGCCTCAGTTCACTTATTTGTAAGGTGGAGATGATGATGCTTACTTCAAGGGTAATTGTGGAGAGTCACTGAAATAATGTGTGCAAAGTCCAGCATGCAGTGCTCATGCTCATTCATAAAAGTTAAGTGCTCTCTTTCTGTTGGTAGAGGCAGCATCTGTAGCATTAATGATTGTGACCAGACTGTAAGACTCCACTGGGCAGTTACCATGCCTGGTATGGCCATGTCAACACGGCTTCTCCTGCCCCTTGGGTGGAATCTGGTACACCATAGGCACACAGTTGTCTTTGGGTAGATAATTGCAGCATGAATGCTAATTATTTAATGTAGGTGGGTTGACTGGAACAGGTTCTGCCATATGGCTGTTCAACAAATTGTAGCTATAGCTCTTGTTATTTACCTTGAAATATATGTGATGGGGGATGGTTTTTTCCTTCTGTAGACAGCAAGCAGCACGATTCTTCAGGCCCTTAATAGGGCCCTATAGATTCACATGCCTTTCTTAGGTCAGGCAGGGCTGTTTCCCCAGGAAAGACATGCCTGGGACTCACTCTTCTTTGAGGGGAGAGAATGTTTTGTGCAGATCCAAGACCTGGCTGCTTCCACAGAGGGTACAGAGAACATGCAGTTCTGCCATCTTCAACTTTCAAATCCTGCCCGGGGGACAGTCGTGTGCCCTGTGGCCAGGCTGGTTCTGTCTCCCACTTCTGTGTGCTGGCTCACAACCTTGTCTTTCCTTGGAGCCTCCTGCTCACATCTGTCATTTTTATTTGAGCATTCAAGTCCGTTTAGAACGTTGGGCATGATTCACTGTTTCAAGGTCTTTGCTGTGCTGTTCCAGGCACTTCCAGGTGCCTAGGGCATGGGCATATAGGATGATTCCTTTGAGTCCTCTTAGCAATTCTTAGATTGTTCCTGCTGTTCCTGCTGGCAAATGAGGGAGCAGATGGCATGTAGAAGAGCTGAAGTAATTTGCTTTGAGAGTTGAGGTTAGACTTGAGTCTTCTGTACTCCACGTCGCATGCTTTTTCTTCTGTGTGTCTGTGGTCTTAAGGAAAGCTGCTCGGAGGCTCACCACATCTGATCAAGGGTGCCTGAATGCTAACTTGTAGGATGGCTTGGAATGGTTCTGTGGATACTCAACCACGGGCACTAGAAGTCTCTCCAGGTGTTGCTTTTATGTGGATCCTGTTTCAAGAAACTGTTCTGGGAATAAAGAGAGTAATTGAGAGCTGTTCTATTTATTGCGAAGTCTTATACAAATACTATTTAGGTTTGATGAATTTATACACTGTTGATGTGATAAATGTAAAAATGGCCATTAATTCTTCCCCTTACCATCTGTCCATACCCTTGCAATGCAACACTGTACATTTTCCCATGAAGAGGTAGAGTCTATTTCTCTACCCTTTGAATCTGGGCTTGGACACGTGGCTCGTTTTGGCCAATGGGAGAGTAGCAAATGTGACACTGCCTGAGGTTTGAAAGGGACTTGTGTCTGGGGCTTGTTTACTTGCTATTCCTGGGGTCCCTGCTGACACCTCCATGTGAAGAAGCCCAGATCAGCCTGCTGGATGTTGACATACATGGCCCGGTTGCCCCAGTCACCCCAGCTGATAACCAGCCATCCCTAGAAGCAGAGCCACCTTGCTGAGCAGCTGCTGATCACAGATGCATAACTGAGCCTCGCCACGACCAGCAGAAGAGCTGCCCGACTGGGCCTAGCTCAGAGCATTGACCCACAGAATCATAAGGTAAATAAGTGGTGGCGATTTGAAGCCACTGAATGTTGGGGGTAGCTTGTTATACAGCCAGAGCTAACTGACATGGTTGAATTAATGACCAGTGATTTGTTTTTTGTTAGCCACGGAAATTTAAAAAATTATAAATGATTTTGCTTCAGGATTTCTTAAAAGTTAGCTCTTTATCAGGGACTGTGAAATATTATCGAGATTATCAGCCTGGCATTTGTGCTACAATTTTCCAGTGCACATGTGGCTTATTGAATGTGGATTTCTAAGTTTGGAGAGAGTCTTTGGCCTGAGTGTGAGTCCGAATATGTTGACTCACCAGACACCAGGATTAGTAGTGTCTGAGAATTCATGATCCAAGAAGTAAGAAATTTAGCCAGAAATGTTATCCTGAGCACAGCTCTGGTGGTTGGGAGTAATTGACTGAAAACTATAAACTGCTTGGATTCAGCATTGTAAAAGATAATTTCACACACAGTGGCTCTGTAAGGGCATTAAGTCTCAAAAAAGTAAACTGGCTTAAGAAGCCCTGGTGAATCTGAAACACTGAATGGGGGCATTAATAACCAAAAGTGTGGATGAAATTGAGGAACAACAGACTCAAAGAAAAGCAGATGAAGTGAAATAGGATGAGCTCCAATTTAGCTCTAATACTCTACAACTAGAAGATCTCAGCCCATTGTATTAATTAAAAAAACCCAAAACCACTTTACACTACATGCACACACATGCATGTACTTACACACACGTGCATGTATGTACACACACACACACACACACACACACACACACACACACACACACACACACACTACCCAGAGGTTTGCTAACTCTTGTCCATCTAAAAGTAGTTCTATTTCTAGGAATTTTATCTGATTTTGTGTGTGTGTGTGTTCATGTGCAGGAAATGTATGTACTGGGATGTTTATTGCAGCTTTACTCATACTTGCAAAAGGCTAGACATGAGGCAAATGTCCATGCTGTGAAATACCATTAAAGAGAAAGCACCAGTTCTCTAAGCATTAATGGAACAATATCCAAGATCGATGAATTGAAAAAAGCGAGGTACAGAATTTTGTCTTCTGGTTTATCAGTTGTAAAACAAAAGGATATGCACACACACATATTTAAATACATGTAGTTTTTTGCATAAATTATCACTGAGAGGAAATGCAAGAAACTGATTGTAATAAACGCTGGGGAAGGGGCCTGGGTGGCCTGTGGTCAGAAACAGGAAGGAGATTTCATTGCAAATCTTTTGTATTTCTTTTTCACTGTACTTCTGGATTATCTTCATGCAAATGTTCTAAAAAGCATTTAAAATATTGCTTCTGTTTTGTGGTAAGTCCCTTGGAGGCTTTTGTCTCCTTATCGTACAAGAAGCCTTTTGTCCCCTCATTCTGCAATGAGGCCCAGATGCCGATGCTGCTCCACTTCTAAATCCCTGGAGAAGGAGGAGAAAGGGCCCCACGTGGCAGAGCCATTGGGAACACCAACTTGGGGCTCTAATGTGCGTTCTAGGCCTGGGGTGACCGTTTTCCAGCTTGGGCCACCTTAGATACTTTACACTTGGGAGAGGAAGAACACCTCCCTCCCTCATAGGTAAATCAATAGCCCAGTGTCTGGCTTGGCTCCAGGGGACCCTCGGACACTGCCTTCTGTTGCTGTCGAGGGACGGGCCATTAGAAAATTAGAATTTTCCAGCCTCAGAATGCTGTGAACATGGGGTGGACTGCCACTGCGGGTGGCAAGTTCTTTGTTGTTAGAGTGTTCACACTGCGATGGGCAATACTAAACAAGGTCTGGTGTCCTGGAACGTGGTCTCCCAGGACTTGCACTGCTCGGAGCTTCTCCAAGGCCTTTAATTCTAATTCAGGAAAAATCAAACTGACCAAGAAGCCACAGAGAGTGAAGGCACAGGGAGTATGGAGGAGAGCTGGAAAAGCCCCATGGTTCCATGTAAGCGAAAACAGAAAAAAATCAAGATTTAACAACAATCGAGTGGGGAGAAGACACGTGCAAAAGAGACTGAGCACAAGACAGGGAGGAGGCCAGGACGATTGATAAAGTCACAGTCTCCAGCTGAGGCCTTTAGTGGTCTTGTTAGCAAAGCAACACTTCTTGCCTGTACCATGCGGTCTCTATTAGATTAAGTGGATGCATTTGGGTGGAAATTGACATTGGAGTTAGCCAGTTACATGGGGCGTCTTCATTAGGGCTTCATAGTAGAATCTCTGCAGTGTTTCTCAAGGTGGAAGGAACTTGAATATCTGATCTGAAGCCTGTTCTTTACAAATGATTGAGTTTGTGCCCAGAGAGGGTGAATGACTCTCCCATGGTCACACAGGAAGGAAACTGAGGAGCAAGGACTGAGTGTGACAGAGGCTCTGCATCCACCTGGTTGTGGTTTGGTTTCATGTTGACAAAATCATTTGATGTGGGAACAGGGTCAGTGGCAAGGTGTGGCCTTCCAGGTATGTGTGGCTGTGGCAGGGGACTGGTGGGGCGTGAGGCTAGGCTGGGAAGGGTAAGAGGGAGGCTCCACTTAGACTGAATCCCCGGGTAGAGTGGGCGGAGATGCGAGTGACCCCGTCACAGGTGAGGGGGTTCTGTGGTCAGACTGTGGAAGACATTCCCAGGCTGAACTATTACCGTGTTACATGACAGTGGCAGTGACTCACTTATGGAGGGGCCCACCTGTGCCCGGTACAAAGGTCCTCGGGTATTTTGTTTCACTCAGTCCTCACAGTAACCCTGTGGGGTAAATGCTGTTATCATGTGACAGATGAGGAAACTGAGGCTCATGGAGACAGGGTGGCCTGCCCAGGGTCGCATGGCTCATGTCTATCAGGACTGGGAAGGAGGAAGTCAAGGCTGCCTGCCTGCAGTGCTGGCTCCGAGCCACGCCGGCAGCCCGGGTGTTCCAGCCAAACAGGGCGGCCTGGGCCTCCTGGCTCTGGCCTACTCGGTTGGCTTTTAGCTTTGGGTTTCTGAGCTTTTGGAATAAAGAAGGCTGTTTCAGACCCTGTGTGTCAGAGGCTGTTCTGGACACTAGAATCATGCCTTGCATTGTCCAGAGAGCCCGGGCAATCCCTAGAGAGCCTCTTGCCAGTGCCCACTCAGCACTCACTCTGTGCCGGGCCCTATGCTTGGAGCTCTGCAAGCATCACTTCAGTGAATCCTCACAACAGAGGTCAGCTTTGGTTTATTGATGAGGAGCCACGGGCTGAGAAATTAGGTAACACCAGGTTACCCAGCTGGCGAGGGTGGTAGACAAAACTTGAACCCGGGGAAGTGAATTGAACTGCAAAAGGCTTCCTCCCTGAAGATGGGTCCCATACCTCTTGGTCTTCTGTGTGCTGTGGAGTTGAGAGGCTCTTTCATGGCAGCTTGAGTTTAATATTCCAGGCTGATTTATGGCAGCCATGTCACACTTGGAACTCAGCTTGCGTGTGCATGTGTGTGTGTACGCGCGTGTGTGTGTCTGAGTGCATGTGTGCATGTGTTGGCAGGGTCAGCCTAAGGTGCCTGCCAGCAGATAGGGCTGCAGTCTCTGCAAAGGAGAGAGGCCACTATAGCGTTGGGGGAAGAGGAGTCAGGGAAATGGTTGGTGCCGCCCCAGAGGATCTTCCCATTCCCCTGTGGAGCCGGCCTCCTGTGAGGAGAACAGCCAGAGGCTCAGTTGGTTTTCCATGGGGTGTTTGTGTCAGCCCTTTCCCATCCATCTTCCTGTTCTTTTGACCCTTCTAGAAGGAGTAGCTAACTTTTTCTGCAACTAGTAAGATAGCAAATATTTAAGGCTTGCAGTTCGTATGGCCTGTGTCACAACTACTCAGTCCTGTTGTTATAGCCCCAAATAGCCACAGGCAGTATGGAAATTAGTAGGCATGGCTGTGTTCAAATAAAACTTTATTTACAAAAAAAGGCAGAGGGCCAGATCTGGCCCACAGGCTGTAAATTGCTGATTCTTGCTCTGGAGAAAGAACACTGACATCTTGGGGGTCAGGAGACCTCTGTCATTGTCCCTGCATTGCTTCTCACTTACCATGTACCCATAACATGCTGCCTCACCCTTCTGGGCCCCAGTTTTCCCTTCTCCTCAGGAGGAGGTTGGACTAGATGTCTAAGGGTTGGTTAGGAAGGATTTGGAGTGACATTCTGGGGGACCTGAGTAGTCACAGGTAGAAGACCAGGAGACGGGAATGGAAGGAGATTGTTAGCTTAAAGTTAGCCTGGATTCTAGAATCTGGCATTAGTTCTCCTGCCAAACACTGGAGTGAATTGACAGGAAATGTCTGGAAGTAGCAGCAAAACCCACTGTGGGCTGCTGGGGACCCTGGGGAAGGCCACAAAGAAACGTCTTCAAATAAACTCGGGAGCCTTTGTGGGCAGAATAAAAATGTCCGCAGCTGGAGGGAATTCAGAAGCAGTTATAGACACAGACTTTACATATGCTGCCTCATGAATTTTAACTCTGAAAATTAATTCATTTTATTAGGAAGACAATGAGATCAAGCGCTTACTAGCTGAGGCACAGGGAGTAAACAGAAAATACACGTATCATTAGGTCCAAGGGTGTGGAGGTGTCTGAGGGTGTTGCAGAGTGCTCTGTGTGTGTGTGTGTTGCACATGTACTGTGCATGTGTGTAGTATGGGGGTAGATAGGTCTGTGTTAATACCTTCATTCACTCACCAAAAATACAGGTAAGCAGCATGTTACTGGAGTCTAAGGAAGCTGATAATTCAGGCCATTTGGTAGCCTTAGAAATAATAAATTTTCGTATTTATTAGAACATTTGTTCTTTTCTTGGAAGGCCAGAAATCAAGAAAGGGGCGGAAAACATGATTCAGTCATTTATTTAGCAAGCATTTATTGAGCACCTACTATGTGCTGGGCTTTCTTCTAGGCAGTAAAGCTACAGCATTGAAGGAGGCAACATGCAAATTTCTTTATGGGTTCCATGTTCTAGTGAAGGCGGAGATGAATTTACAGCAGACTATGGGAAAGTTTAAGATGGAAAGGAAACTGACATTTAGGCCAGATGCTACAGAATGATTCATAAAACTGGGTATTCTGGCTCGCCATTAATTACTTGTGCTAAAGCCGGGCTGCAGCTGCTCAGGTGAGCCATAGCAACAGGTGATTAAATAGCAGATAATTTATATTTGGCTTTGAAAAGCAGAAGAGCAAAACTCCAGTTGCCCAGAACCTTTGAGGCATGAGACTAGCTTAATAGCTGACTATTTCCACTTTGCTGTGGATTTAAGCACCAAGTGATTATTTTAAAAATTTTAGTTTAAACATTTGCCTGGCAGGAAAAACACCATTCTCTGTTTAGAGAGAAGGCATTCTAAAATTTATTCCATGTGACTCTGCCTTCTGAAACAGGGGAGATCAAGTGGAATTCAGATGCCTCAAGGTCAGAATCAGGAAAGACGAAAGCCCCCCACCGCCTCCAATACACTGTCAATGAACTTGCATTCTTTAATGCAGCATTTCCTTAAGGGCTGTGTGATATCTTGGTCACTACACTCAGTGGTCTCTTATTGTTGTACTTTGTAAGATCTTGTGTTTGCTTTGAAGGATCTTTCTGTTTCTTTCCCAACCAACAGTGTGTTTCTTTGTAACAGTCCCTTTATTCTTTGTTAGTTTTTATTTTATTTGTTTGTCTACATTGAATAGGAGGTAAATGTTCACATGGAGAGCTTTGAAAACTACAGACTGGAAGAGGAAAATTATTACCCACAATTCTAACCACCAGGAGACCATCAATGTGAATATTTTGACTCATCTCTCTTCTGAGTTTCTCTCTGTGTCTCTTTTATATCCAAACGGGGTCACCGCGTACATATTGCATGATCTGTTCCTTTTTTTCCCCACATACTATCATGAACATCTGTCAGAAACATGTTTCTACAGCATGATTTTATGTGTGTTCACGTTTTTGTAAACACTTTTCTTAAGAAGTGTTCAAACATATATTAAAACACAGAGAATAGACTAACGACACCCAGGTACACTCTGAACCCCACTTCGACAGTTGGCAGCATCGTGCCTTTCTAGCTGCATCTCATTTACTCTCACTCCCCATTGCTTTTCTCTGGAGTATTTTAAAACACAAAAAACCCCAGACATAACCCTTCACTTGCAAATCCTCCAGAAGATATACCTAACTCAGTGGTTCTCAACTGGGGGCAGTTTTGCACTCCCTCCCCAGGGGACATTTGATATTATCTGGAGACAGTTTGGGTGGTTGCAGCTGGGAATGGTGGCGGTGGGTGCTACTGGCGTGAACAGGTTGAGGCCAGGGATGCTGGTACGTGCCCTACAAGGCATTGGATAGTCCTCTACGTCAAAGAATTGTCTGGCCCCAAATGTCAACAGTGCTGAGGTTAATAAACCCTTAGTCTAACAGATCAGGATGTCAAAAAGGATAAACAGCATTCTATTATCACAGACAACAAAACTGACAACAATTCATTAATACCACCAAATTTTCTTTAACCTCCCAATTAGAAAATAGGTAGCTAGTTTGAATCAGCCCTGTTAAAGAAGAAAAAAATTCAGTGATACTTGTTAAAGCATAGTAAGACAGATTTTATTCAGGGCCATCATGATGGGTATAGGGACTACTGCAATGGGGTCTTGCAGTTGGGGAGAGAGCTTGGGCTCAACTCCGAATACAGCATGGGCAAGAGGAGATTTATAGCCAAGGAGCAGGGTGGGGATCAGTGGATAGAAAATTACCAGGAAGAAACATGAGGGGTAAGGGGAATTCTGGCTAAACTGACCTAAGAGGACTCTTCCTGAAGACACGCCAGGGTGATGGAGGACGAGAAACTTCAGATTTCAAGTGAGGGAGATCAGAGAGCAAAGGTGGGAAGTTCTTGCTAAACTGACCTAGCAGCACTCTTTCTTCAGCTGGATTTTACAAGGAAGTACACAGATGGGCCAAGGAAAAGGTTCAGAAGCCTGACTAAAGTTTGGCCAAGCAAAGAATCTTTGTCAGTATCTAAATTTGTCTTTTCACTTCTAAATAAATTAAACTGATCTATAACGGCTCCCCCTTCCTTTTCTTTGTTGTGTTTATTTGTTGGAGACTCTGGGTTATTTGTTCTGTAGATTTCCCATACTGGATTTGGCTGACTATATCTTTATGGTGGTGTTTATCATGTCCCTCTGTTCCTCCATGTCCCGTGGAATCGAAGCTCAGACTGATCCGTAAGTTCAGGTGTTTTCAGCCTGATTTACCCATTATAAATTTCAACATCAGTCTTTTTTCTAATGCAGGAGTTTTCAAAGTGTAGTGCCTGGACCAGCAGCACCATTATCACCTATCACCTGGGAACTTGTGAGAAATGCCAGTTCCCAGGCCCCCACCAGGTCTACTGAATCAGAAACTCTGTGAGTGGGAGCCAGCAATTTGTGTTTTAGCAAACCCTCTGACACTGATGCAGGCTAGCGTTTCAGAACCAGCACTCCAATACTATTTTTTTTTTTTTTTTTTGAGACAGAGTCTCGCTCTGTTGCCCAGGCTGGAGTGCAGTGGTGGGATCTTGGCTCACTGCAAGCTCCACCTCCCAGGTTCACGCCATTCTCCTGCCTCAGCCTCCCGGGTAGCTGGGACTACAAGGCGCCTGCCACCATGCCCGGCTAATGTTTTGTATTTTTAGTAGAGACGAGGTTTCACTGTGTGTTAGCCAGGATGGTCTCAATCTCCTGACCTCGTGATCCGCCTGCCTCGGCCTCCCAAAATGCTGGGATTACAGGCGTGAGCCACCGTGCCCGGCCAGCACTCTAATGCTTTTAACAACCATTGACATTGTCCAGATTACTTCAGTAGGAATTGCAAAATAACGAGTTTCTATTTCTTTCATCCCTTTTGTCTTTCTTAGCTGTAACTTGCATGAAGAAGAATTTTCCCTCAGTCCGAAGTCTTTCTTACCCTGAAATGTAGTCTTTATGGGAAAGGAAGTATAAATGCATGATTTATTTTCTTTATTATTTTTTCTTTTTTACTGAGGAATAGTTTATGCATGATAAATGCACAAATCTTAACTGTACAGCTCAGCGAATTTTACACATGTATACACCTACGAAACCACCATCTAGATTAAGATATAGAACATTTCCAGAACCCCCCATTGAGCTCCCTTTCAGTTGATGTCCGCCCCTCTTCCCCAGGCAAGCACCTGTATTTAAACTATTTATGCTATCTCTTTCTGCCCAGTTTATTTTTTATGTAATCAAAGTAGTTATTGGTTTCTCAACTTGGTTTCACGTTAAGAACCGCATTATCCAATCCAAGATGATAAAACACTTTACCTTTTCCTTTACTCATATATAATTATATGTCATATTATATCATATAAACTATATATAAAGCTTTTAAATCTTTTATCCAAGTTTTGCAAATAACTATCAAGTTGTCCTAACATCATCTATTGTATTCTCTCTATTCCCCTTACAGATTTGAAATACCTCTTCTAGCTTATATTAAATTTCCATATTGGCCTGTGTCTAGTTTGGTTATTTTATTCGGTTATATTTCCTTGTCTCTTCCTGCATTACAGCATTATGTTTTACTCTTTACAGGAGAAGTCTCCTCAAATCCTTAAAATAATCATATTTTTAGATTTTTCTGATTCTTCATGCTGTGTTTATTCTTCCAGATGAACTTTGGAGTCATATTGTCAAGGTTCATAAATTGAGACTTTTGATTGGGATTACGTCTGCAGTATCACAACATTGGATATTACAGAGTATCCAAGAACAACATATTCACTGAATTCAGTAGTTCCTTTTTGTCCTCTGATAAAACCCTCCAGGGTTACGGGTGATTTTGTAAAATTCATTCCTAAATATTTAGTTTTGTTTTTACTCTTTTGAGAAATATCTTTTTCCATTTTTTCTATTCTTGGCTTAAAAAGCAATTGATTTCTTATGTTTTTTTAAAATCCACCTACTGAAATCTTAGTTTTTCTATAAGCTTTTTAGTTGGTTCTTCTTCAAATATACAAGGATCTACATGTAAAGATAGTTTTACTATCTCTTTTTCATTATATTATTTTGTTCTTATCTAATTGCATTGAATAGCACTCAGAGTACAATGTTCAGTAACAATGGTGATAATGGGCATTCTTGCTTTTTTCCTTTCTCTAATGGGAACACTTCTAGCATTTTTCCCTTAAGTACTGTGCTGATTATTTTGTGGCATGGTTGTGACTGTGTGTGTGTGTGTGTGTAAATTTTTCATTGAGTTAAGCAAGAGTTCTATTTTATCAAGATGTGTTTTTTTTCTTATTAGCTCAGGCATAGATGAGGAATGAGTATATGCTTTTTTGGTATCTATTAAGTTTACTATAAAATGTTTACTCTTTAATTTACTAATATGGTGTTTATTTTGATAGCCTGTGTTTGGGGGATGAATCTTATTAAAGCATGATGCGTTATTTTAAAAAATGTTTTTCTAATTTCTATTTGCTAAGTGCTTAATTAGGATTTTTGTTTATGTTCATAAGTTACTTGATTTTGAGCTCTTTTTTCCTGGTCTTTGTCAAATGCTGGTATCAGTATTATGCTGGCTTTGTTTGAAAAATAAAAGCTTGTCTGAATAAATCACCTATGAATCCATCTAGGCCTGAATGTTTCTTTGAGGAATAATTCTTTGACAAGACAGAGGATACTTAAAAGAAATAGAAAGTAAGTAAGTAACTTTTTAAAAACAAATTTGGTCGAGGAAAATTCTGTTTTATTTTCTGTCAAGTCAGATTTTTCAAATTATTATAGAAATAATATATCATTATTACAGAAACATTTGAAAGTTCCAAAACGTGAAAACAGCATGAAAGTCATTTTACTAATGTCTGTTGCATACTGGGAAAAAGCAGATCTGCCCTGGAATTACCCAGCAGGGACAAGAGTGGAGGTGTGATTCCCAATTTTGGCATGAATGACTTTGAAGCTTGTCCTTGGAAGGATCCGAGGACACCTGTGCTTCCCTGAAGCTGTGTCAGGGCTCAGCACAGTGGTGTGGGGACCAAGTCTGATGGGAAGCTGTGGAGGGTGGATGCATGTGTGGTTGTATGAAACACCTCCTGGGGATGCCCAGGCATACTTGGGAGTACTTGTTAGAGGCTGGAGGTGCTAAATCAGCAATAGGACAGAAGCCAGTGTTATTGAATTGCTACTGTTAATGTGTTTCTACCTGCGTCCTGATAGGTGCAGACTGGTGACACATGGTCAAACTGTTGTAGGCGTCAGGTGGAGATCCTGGCTTCATTTGTATTTAGATGCTTAGCCAGCTGTCTCTGCACCAGTTGCTGAAGACTTGATCTTGTTATACTTTGGCTTGTTTCTGAGCTTTATTCCGTTTCATTGATTTTTTAAAAAGATATTGCTTTTAGTACCATACATACTTTTTCCTTTTTTTTTTTTTTTGAAAATCCTTCCTTATTTCACCAAATCTTGTTACATTTTCGTGTTTGCCTTATGTCTCCCAGTGACTCTCTGCACTGACTCTCAGAGCCCTTGGCCTCTTTTTCAGCATGACGAACAGATTTTTGAAATTTTCTTCTGGATTCTGTAGATTATTTTCAGAGGCATATACCTGCAGGGTATCTTCATGCAGTTCTCCACCCCAATTTTTTTTCAATATGTAAAAAATAAGTTCCTTTTTTTCTTTATTCTTCTGTGAACAGGATTGAATCTATTCAGAAGTCATGTTTATTGAGAAACGAGGCAATTGCATTGTTCGTGAGTGTGGTAGGTGAATGTTCTCTTGAATCCTGTGGCTGTTGTGTAGGTCATGGGTTTGGCCTTTAAACAGTTCCCCTTGAATTGGTACCAGGGGGTACCAATAAATATTGGCTTCTTTTTATTTCTGCTCCTACCTGGTGCACTTTATTCTGGGGGTAGGGGGTGGGGTAAGGGAAAAGACAATATGTTCCAGTGTTTTCTACTTTTCCCCAGTGTCTGTCTAATTTTCTGGGATTTGCCTCCTTCCATCTCAATAAAAGATAACACTTATAAACCCATAAACCCATGTGGTTCAGTCTCTGAATGACGGTTGTGTTTTAGGAGCACAAACAAATGAAGAGGGCATTCACTTATCCACTCACATCATCAAGACTATCAATGGGAATCCAAATATATATTTTCACAACATTCTTTTCTTTTTTTCTTCCTGCTCTTACCCACTTGTATAGTTTTTGTTACGTAGATCAACTTAGTTGTTTTGGCTTAAATTCTTTCCTTGTGTCTCCTGCCTCTTTAGTTCTAGGTCTCTCTGTGAATTCTTGATTCTGTGTTACAAAATCTCCCGAAAAGAACTCTTTGGGCTGGGCGCGGTGGCTCACGCCTGTAATCCCAGCACTTTGGGAGGCCGAGGCGGGCGGATCACGAGGTCAGGAGATCGAGACCATCCCGGCTAAAACGGTGAAACCCCGTCTCTACTAAAAATACAAAAAATTAGCCGGGCATAGTGGCGGGCGCCTGTAGTCCCAGCTACTTGGGAGGCTGAGGCAGGAGAATGGCGTGAACCCGGGAGGCGGAGCTTGCAGTGAGCCGAGATCCCGCCACTGCACTCCAGCCTGGGCGACAGAGCGAGACTCCGTCTCAAAAAAAAAAAAAAAAAAAAAAAGAACTCTTTGGAGTCGGGGAGGGGAGTGGAGCTGGAGGAGCAGCTGAGTCTAAAGGCAGCGTTCTGTTTGGTAAGAAGGGGAAGAGAGGAACTTGACAGAGGATCACACATCAGTCACTTTTTTCATCAGAGTATAAAAATTGTGGGCTCAGAAAGGGTGTGGCAGGCAGAGCTCACTAGCCACGCGATGTGCACAAACTGGAAAAAAGTACTCCCTCTTCACGGATGCAGCCCCTGGTAGCTAAATGTGGGGAGAGGGGCCTGTCAATTCGACTCTTGTCCTCGTGGCTTGGTGCTCCTTTGCAGGGCACACTGTGAAGGATCACAGGCGGTGGTCCTGACATATGGGATCAGGACTCTGCCTCCTTCCTCTTACAGTGATGGTTAGAGCCTACTTGAAATGCTGGGGAAGCCATTTATACCTCGGCCTCTATGCCCCCTACACCCCCTTGGGCAGAGTCAGGCTCTAAAACTAAAGGTCCAGTCATTAACTGAACTAATTTATGAATGACCTGGTGAGGGTTAGGGCTAGATGAGAGTGAATACAACAAGAAAACAAGCAGGACCCTCATGCAGGACCTTCAAGGAGCTTATAGCTTTGTAGGCCAGATGGATAGAAAACATATATACACACGCATGCATGTACTGTATACATATATGTGTGTATAACTTTATATGTACGAATAAATATAACTTTAAAATTGTGATGAAGGGTGATAGGTATAGTTTGAGAATGACTTGGGGCATCTTCCCTCAGCTTACAGTGTGGGCAGCTGTGGGAGAAGGATACAGATGACCTCCTAACTTTGAAACCCAGCCAGACAGAGTGGGCTAACAGCTGGTAGCCTGCTGTCTGATTTTTTGTTGTCTTTCAAATGTGCTGAAGGCCAGTGAAGCCAAGGGTTTGGCACCTCTGTAGTCCTAAAGCCCAAGTCCATTCGGCCAGGAGCAGTGGTAATAATGGGGAGACTGGTGCATCTCTGCATCCCTTCTTGATATTAGGAAACCTCTTCTCATTGCTGGAACTTTCTCATTTGGTGACCTACCCAGTGGAAGTGCTGTTCTGCCTTCTGTCCTTTTCACCTGACTATTTTGGGGCCCCCATAGTGGTTGTGCTGGGGCAGGCCAAAAGAATGGGTTGGTAACTCCAAGACTGTCAAGAGCAACAAATTGCTTATTTGTCGTAGGGACTTGAACCTTTCAGAGTTCTGCGTTTTGTAATATGAGATAGGATAGATGTAGCAATTGGTCCAAGACAAGACTGAGTGCAGATCAGTCAACAATTGGTCATTTATTCATCTTCCCTTATTAAAAATTTTCTGACGTTTCTTTGTATCTGTTTGTCCTTTTTTATGTCCGTAAGTGTTCAACTGAACATCTCCCAGTTGTCCAAATGGGGGCCTTGGGCTGGCTTCATCTGCCTCTAACATGTTTACTTCATGCAGACTTGCTCTGCTTCTCACCACTCTTACAGTGGGTATCTTTGTCTTCTTCCTGTAAGTTACATCTAACTAACCCTGCCTTCCCATGCTCATGGTTGGAGTATCACTCCAATCAAAGCCATAACCGCTACTATGGAAAGAGTAGCTTTTTGTTAAGCTCTTATTATTCCATGGCAGTTGTCACCATCAAAGAACTAGCAGTATCTCCAAGTATCCAGATTTGCAGCTATGGGAAGAAAATTGGGAAAATCGCTCAATCAAAATGCCATGCATCAAAACCAAGTGAAAGGTAGAGGTTAGCCTAAGTCTAGCATGGAAGGAATGGGCTTCACCCACCATCAGAAACAGCAAGGCCCTAGGCTCTCTTATTGTAGAAACTATACCCTCCTACTTTTCTTTTTGCAAATTCCTTCCAAAAAGAGTTTCTCTTTGGAATGCCCAGGTGGAGAAGGACATGTCCATGACTCACCAACCTGGGCTCTTTAACATCCCTCTGGGCCCAGGTTGGCCATAAGAAGCTGCGTCTGCACTGAGTTGTGCCTCAGTGTGATGGCCTGGGCTTTCTGTTGCATCTCCTTTTCTGGCTGGTGTTTGTGGCTGCAGGAACATGGCTAGAGGATGGCCAAGGAGCTTGCTGGGAGTTATTGAACCTCCGGGCTTCTCTGGCTCTTATTAATGTTAGCAGGTGCATTAGGGTGGTGATGTTTCCTGGCTGTGTTTTCTGATTAGCTATTTTTTTTTTTTTTTTTGAGATGGAGTCTCGCTCTGTTGCCCAGGCAGGAGTGCAGTGGCAAGATCTCGGCTCACTACAAGCTTCGCCTCCCAGGTTCACGCCATTCTCCTGCCTCAGCCTCCCGAGTAGCTGGGACTACAGGTGCCCACCACCACGCCCGGCTAATTTTTTGTATTTTTAGTAGAGATAGGGTTTCACCATGTTAGCCAGGATGGTCTCCATCTCCTGACCTTGTGATCCGCCCGCCTTTGCCTCCCAAAGTGCTGGGATTACAGGTGTGAGCCACCGCGCCCGGCCGCCATGTTTAGAGTTGCATTTTTTTTCTTGTTTAGGGATTAGGAGGAATCCAAAGAAGGGAAAAATAGCTTACAATCATAAGTAAATCTACCCCACAAATATTTCACCCTTGCCTTATTTCCATTTCCTGTGGCAATGAAAAGAAGAATTGGAAATAATAATCGTAAGTCTATTTCTTGTTCACGCAGAATCCAATGCAGTTGATTCCGTTTCGATGTTGCTTCTGGGCAGATGTCCTTCAAGGGATGATTCTGGGACCCAGGTTGAGAAGAAGCACTCTATGGATGTTTACTACTCCTGGGAAGCACCACCACTCTGTGCAGTGTTCCTGCTCTTCCTGCTACCACTATTACTATTACTATCACAAGGTGGCCTCGTCTCCTGAGGAGAGACTGAAAGGGATATTGGGGCTGGAGGGGGTGGTGTCATTCTCAAGAGAACAAAATTTTATTTTTCAATCTTTAAATAATATAGTAATTTTCAAGCCTGGGCTCTGACCTTTGTAACATCTTTTTGTATCTTTGGGAAGTCTTAGCATCTTTGTTGAAAAGGGACAGTTGAAGAAAACTACAGAGTTCAGGTGAAATCTTTTCTTGTGTGAACTCATCCACTGAAAATTATAAAGAGATAGCAGTGCAGGGATTGTTCAGTCAGGCATTGACTATAACAGTGGGCAAGTGCATTTTACAAGTATAACAAAACTTCCTTTTCTTCTTATTTGGACAGGTCCTACCAAATTCTCAATGACTTTCTTTTAATCTTTTTTTTTTCTTTCTTTTTTTTTTCTCTTTGAAACGAAGTCTTGCTCTGTTGCCCAGGCTAGAGTGCAATGGCGTGATGTTGGCTCACTGCAACCTCCATCTCCCAGGTTCAAGCGATTCTCCTGCCTCAGCCTCCCAAGTAGCTGGGATTACAGGCACCCACCATCATGCCCGGCTATTTTTTGTGTTTTTATAGAGACGGGGTTTCACCATGTTGGTCAGGCTGGTCTTAAACTCCTGACTTCAGGTGATCTGCCTGCCTCACAGCCTCCCAAAGTGCTGGGATTAAAGGGATGAGCCACCACACCCGGTCCTTTCTTTTCATCTTTAAGCAATACACAAACAGTGATTGGGTACACAGTTTTCAGTTGTTTAAATCCATTTTTGACAAACCTTCTCCCAAATGCCTTTCACTTTTAAAATCAATTACCTTATCCAGAATGCCTCTCTAACCTATTTGATTAAATTACCATCTTTCTGTGGCTTTCCTTTTCAACAACATAATTCGCCTTTAATAATTAATATAAAAGAATTCAAAATGTAATCAGCAAGTTCACTTAAAAGCTCTCTAATCAATTACCAGAATCTGTGGATTATGACAGAGGTCTCCCTGAGGGCTTCAGAATCCCCTTTGACCATGCTTACTTCTAATAGAAACTCAATTTAGAATGCATTCTCTTATAGTTGGCCAGTCCTGCAAAGACAAAGAATGGGTTTCAAATGAACAGTAATACACACAATTGCTTGAACATTTTTTCATAGTGAAAATAATGCTAGCATTTATCACATCAAAATTAAAATACAAGTTTTGCTCAAGCCAAGTCTAGATTTAAGCAAGTTGGATGCTTATAGATGCTAACGTCCAGTCTAGCTATAGAGCATTTCTTTAGTCTTAGCTTTATTTTCTGAGTTTGAGAGTCTCTTACATGGGGGGAGCTTATTAACAGGGATTTTTCTATTGTGCAGTCAGTGAGAAATGAGGTCAAAAGTGCTTGTGTACAGGTATTCATTCATTCAGTGTGGGTGGTAGAAAGAGGGTGGAATTTGGCACCAGGAAGGTCAGAGTTCAAATCCCAAATCTGGCCCAGCACGGTGGCTGACAACTGTAATCCCAGCACTTTGGGAGGCCGAGGTGGGTGGATCACTTGAGATCAGGAGTTTGAGACCAGCCTGACCAACATGATGAAACCTCATTTCTACTTAAAAAAAAAAAAAAAATCAGCTAGGTGTGGCGGCACATGCCTGTAATCCCAGCTACTTGGGAGGTTGGGGCAGGAGAATAGCTTGAACCTGGGAGGTGGAGGTTGCAGTGAGCTGAGATTGTGCCATTGCACTCCAGCCTGGGCAATAAGAGTGATATTCTGTCTCAAAAAAAAAAAAAATTTCCCAAATCTAACTTAGTTTCTAAGTTTGATCTTTGAGCTCTAATTTCCTTATTCATAAAATTAGGACAATGCTTATCTCAAAAATCTGTTTCTTTCCATAGCATTTATGACTTTCTAACACTCCAGTCTTTTCACACTCCACGTTTGCTCATGAACTTCAAATCTTTATTTCCTAAAGTCAGCCCAGTGTAATTTGCTTATTTCTGTCATGTATTGTTTATGGTTCATTGCACCCTATTCTCATCCTCTAGGAGGGTGACTGTATCTTTGTTTTCTACACGGATGTAGAAAGGTGCCTGGCACATAGTAGGCACTCAGTAGCTATCTGTTGGATCGTTGAATGCGTGAAAGATTGTCTCTGTTACCTACCCATTGTACAGCGTCTCTTTGAGTTGGATTGTGAGGTTTTATGTGCAGGTGATTTATCTTCTGAATTATGTTTTGTGTGACTACTCATTAAGTCTAGTCTCAGCACAGCCTGACTGATGGGTGAACTGGGGTCCAAATGCACAGCCAGGGAAAGCCAGCCCGGGATTATTTCCTGGCCTTGGTTCCTCCCGAGAAGAGACAAAGCCAGTGTGGAGATGTTGCCAGATTGTTATGTGTGCAGAATCTAATTTATAGTTGACTGGGGTCTCCTGAGAAGAACATGCATTTATATCATTACTAAACAGTAATTGATTACAAAGCTCGGTTGTGAAATTTACAATTATCGAATTACTCTGTTAGCTCATAAATTTCAAATCTTTATTTCTAAAAGTCAATTGATAGTCAGCCCAATAAATATTTAATTTGGATGTAATAATGGTGTTAGAGCAAAATTAAATTCCCATTTGGAAAATAAAGAATGACCTGGATGGAATTGGGAGAGGAGACTTGGCAGAGATGAGCAGAGAAGCTGTTGGTCCAGTTCAGTCCTTTCTCCTTAATTAGAAAAGACTTCTTATAAAAGGCCTTGTCCTACTTCATTTTCTCTTTTAAAAATTCCTTTGTTTGTCGGAAATAAAAGTCCTTCACAATTTCATAGGGCTCTGTATTTCATAAAGCATGTCTGAACAAGGTAATATTTGTGTCTCACAAAAGCCTTTCGAATCAATGGCAACACACATTTTTCTTCCTTTTTTACAGATGGGGAAACCGAGCCTCAGGAACTGAAGTGACTTGCCTTAAGATATACTACAAAAGAGGAAGGCTAAATCTCATCTGGTGGTCTTTCAGCTGGGTCATAGTGCCTGTAGGTACTAGTTAGGATAATGTCCAGCTGCATTAAAGAGAAGTTTCAAATTAACAGTAGTTTAAACAAGATAAAAATTGATTTCTGCCTCTTGTAAAACTTGTCACAGAAGAGGCAATGCAGCTGGTCTTGTGGCACTTTACAGTTGAAAGGGTCCCAGGCTCTTTCCAGTTTTCTCATCTACCATTCAGAGGGGTTGTGGCCCTGAACCTCATGGCCCAAGGTGGCTACTTGAGTTCTAGCAGCAGGAAGACATAGAAAAGGGCGTGTTCTCTCTCTTTTAAGAGGACTCCCTGGAAGATCTAACTCTGCTTGTATCTTATGGCTCAGAAAGTAGTCATGGTGCTTGTCACTCAATAAGAAAGGAAAGAGTAGATTCGAGGAGATGACTGACAGTTTCTGCCACAACATGCATTCTAAAAGACCTAGTGTGGAAAGTGTTTCAAGTGAGATAGGTCATGGGCATGTTTGCTCAAATGCAGTCAACCAGGCCAGGGAACAGTTTTACTCTTCCCCTTGTGTTGATTTATCCACCTCTTGTTTAAAAGAAAGTGGAAGAAATAAGTTGTATTAGGCCATTTTTGTGCTGCCATAAAGAAATACCAGGGGGCCGGGTGCAGTGGCTCACGCCTGTAATCCCAGCACTTTGGGAGGCCAAGGTGGGTGGATCACCTGAGGTCAGGAGTTTGTGACCAGCCTGACCAACATGATGAAACCCCATCTCTACTAAAAATACAAAATTAGCCAGGTGTGGTGGCTCACACCTGTAATCCCAGTTTACTTGGGAGGCTGAGGCAGGAGAATTGCTTGAACACAGGAGGTGGAGGCTGCAGTGAGCCGAGATTGCACCATTGCACTCCAGCCTGGGCAACAAGACCGAAACTCCATCTCAAAAACAACAACAACAACAAACAAAACAAAACAAAACCTGGGCCTGTGTAATGTATAAAGAAAAGAGGTTTAATTTGGCTCACAGTTATACAGGCTGTACAGGAAGCATGGTGCCAACATCTACTTTTGCGAGGACCTCAGGAAGCATACAATCATGTTGGAAGGTGAATGGGGAGCCAGTGTATCACATGGTGAGAATGGGAGCAAGAGAGAGAGAAGGGGGAGGCCCAAGGCACTTTTAAAACAACCAGATCTTGGATGAACTAACTGAGCGAGCACTCACTCGTTAACAAGTGGATGGCGCTAAACCATACATAAGGGATCTGCCCCCATGATCCAATCATCTCCCACTGGGACCCACCTCCAACACTGGGAATCACATTTCAACATGAGATTTGGAAGGGACAAACACCCAAACCGTATCATAAGTGGAGTTTCTTGCTCTCTTCATGTTTGTGGACAGGCCTTTCTAGGACTGAGAGGGGTTTCACTCACATTAGCTGACAGCTGTCACAGCGGCATGGCTCTGTGTGCCAGACAGAGGACCAAGAGGGAGTAGGAATCATTTAGTAATCAATCATTTATATGTCTGATACCTGCCAGGCACTGGACTGGGGCCTTTGGATACAGAGATAAGTGAGACCTGATTGCCACCTTTCAGAACAGTGGTTTTCATAGTGTGGTCCCTGGGCTGGCATCCTGGGAATCACCTGGGAACTTGTTAGAAATGCAAATTCCCAGGCCTAACCGCAGCCCTACTGAATCAGGAACCCTGAGGATGGGATCCTCCCGGGGATTCTAAAGCATGCTGAAGCCGGGGACTAGAATCCTATAATGCTGAGGAATAGCTAGGTGATCAAGAGCCTGGGTTTTGGAGTCCCCAGACAGAGTTTGAATTTTGGTTCAGCCACTTAGTAGCTGTTCAGTGTTGGGCAAGTTATTCAACCTCTCTGAACCTCAGTGTCCTCATAGAACACTTTATGTGAGATGACTCGGTAAATGACAGCTTTCATTAGTATTTTTCTAGCTTCTCTATGGATGGCATTATTATGAATTTGAAAAATTCAAGGAAATTCCTACTCAAGTTTAGCATCAAAACCAAAATCCAAAGACAAATTTAAAATATTTTTTCGAAACACCTATTATTTTTTATTTTCTCTGCCACTCCTTCTTGTCTTGGCATGAATAAATCAAGAATTGTCTCTAAAAAAAGAAAGCATTGTATCAAGAGATGTGAAGAGGCATTTTACCAGGGAGGATATTCAAATGGACACTAAGCATATGCACAGGTGCTGAATCTCATTAGTCACCAGGAAATGCAAATAAAAACTACACTGATATTTCAGTATGCATCCACCAGATTCATTAACTGATACAGACAAAATGCCTGTGTTGGTAAGGATGTGGAGCAACTGAAACTCTCATACATCGCTACTGGAAGGATAAATTTGGCAGATCTAATAAGCTAGATATATGCATAATTTATGAAGCATTATCTCATTCTTAGAGGTATAGCTAGCCGAAGTGGGTAAACATATTTACTCATGGGCATGTACACAAATGTTCTCAGCAGCATTTGTAAGAACCAAAGACTGGAAACAACCCCAAAGCCCATAGTAGAATGGATAAATTGTGATATATTTTATGCAAAGAAATACCATCCAGCAAAGATAATGAATAATGAACTACTTCTTGCAATGAAATGGGTGAATCTCAGTCAACTTTGGGTATAAAAGTGCCAGACACAGGTAACAACATAGCGTATGATACCATTAATGAGCATTTCAAAAACAGGCAATACTCATCTACAGTGATAGAAGTCAAGACAGCAATTATCCTGGGAGAAGGAGCCGGGAGATGTGGACTGGAAAGAACAATGAAGGGAGCTTCTGCGATGTTGGTAGCATGTTATTTCTTGACCTGGCTGGCAGTTATCGAAGTGTGTTTGTGAAAATTTACTCAGCAATCTATTTGTGATTTGTACATTTTTCTGTATGTATATTTACATATATTAATACAAAATTTCAATACAAAAATTTACTTAAAATACCTATGCAAAACATGAAAAATGTTTATGGAAAACCAAAAAGCTTGATTGAAGGAAGCAGTAAGACTGGCAGTGGCTGGAAGAATATGTCAGTCGTTTTCATGTAGACTTGACCCCTGTTGCTGCACAGCTGAATGAAACAAGGATCTATGGACACACACACGTGCAGCAACATGCACACACTGTCTTCCTCCAGTACAGAAGTAGATAACCAATTTCCAAGATAACAATGTTTTTTAAAAATCTGAATCTGGGCCGGGTGTGGTGGCTCACGCCTGCAATCCCAGCACTTTGGGAGACCGAGGCGGGCGGATCACGAGGTCAGGAGATCGAGACCATCCTGGCTAACATGGTGAAACCCCGTCTCTACTAAAAATACAAACAATTAGCCGGACGTGGTGGCGGGCACCTGTAGTCCCAGCTACTCGGGAGACTGAGGCAGGAGAATGGGGTGAACCCGGGAGGCGGAGCTTGCAGTGAGCCGAGGTCGCGCCACTGCACTCCAGCCTGGGCAACAGAGTGAGACTCCATTTAAAAAAAAAAAAACTGGATCTGGAAGTGGTAGGGACAGGAAGCACTCCCAGTATTATAATTGGCCATCATGGCAGAACACCCTTTATATATTTGATATAGTTTGTGATTTTCATTAGATCCTCGTAATTCTATTGTGGGTGTTGAAAGTGTGGTTACTACTCCTGGTTTAAGAATCAGGGTGCTGGACGGGTCTGGTATCTCACACCTATAATCCCAGCACTATGGGAGGCCAAGTTGGGAGGAAAGCTTGAGCCCAGGAGTATGAGGCTACAGTGAGCTATGATCACACCACTGAAACAAAAACCAACAACAAAAACCAAAAGAATAAAGTTGCTAAGCCCGAGGGTTTCAGGGACTTAACCAGGGTCAGTCAGCTCCCATGTGGCCTTGCTGGAGACTCAAGCCTGGTTCTTCTGGTACCTGATTTCCTGACATTGCTATTTATATGATGCCACTTAACAGGTGCTTGGAGGAAACTCCTGACTCATTGCTTACCTCTCAGGGCTATGTAAAAACCACACAGAATTTATTAAACACATCACAAGTGGTACTGGGATGTTATGCATTATATTAATGTTTGTTAAAAATTTTTTGGCAATAATCATAAAAAGGATGAATGTTGAAACCAGAAGGTTTCTTTTTACTCAACAGGGCTTGCAACCCAAGATGGGATTCAGGTGTATCTGTGCTCCTTGGGAACTGGGTCTGAACACTCAAAGGACCACTGCTTCACCCTTCTAAACACCAGTATAATCTGGGTCATGATGCATGTGAAGGATTATGCATAGGATTCTTCCTTGAATCCAGGGGATGGAATTGTTGCTTTTGAAGTGTTCACTTATGGACAACTTACTTATAAGAAAAGAATGAATAAAATAGAACAATAGAAGAAAAAATAGAAAACAAGGATAAATTGCATTTTAAAGACATACTTATCAGATTATAGAATTTTATGTATATTGAACACAGTTTGGCAAAACCAAGAGTTCAAAGAATAAAAATAAAACTACTTGCCGTCCCCAAACCAGGAGCTAAATGATGATAAACAAGGTGTCTTCTTCCAGAGCTTTTTATACATTTAATATAAGGGCTAAAACAACAGAGTCATGCCTTTGCCACTGTGTTGTTTTCTAGTTTTTTGAAAAACAACATTATGGCGAACATTTCCAATATCATTACATATTCTTATGAACATTATTTTCAAAGGTTATATTGTAATTTGCTCAAGCGTCCCTTTAATATTGGATATTTAGATTGTTGCAATATTTTACTATTGTAAAAAGGGCTTTAATGAACAGCTTACTCATAAATTTGAATTCATCACTGTTGACTTTCTTAGAATAAAATTAGCATTTTCTGGTCATTCTTTGTAACCATTTTAGGCTCAGGGTGCGTAATGATAACATCTATTATGATTCTTGAAAACTACTGAACCAACATTTACACAGGATTTGGTTGGAATCCCAGCTTTACCATGTACTAGCTGTGTGATCTTGGGTGGATCACTAAGTTCAGAAACCTTAGTATCTTCGTTTATAAAATGGGAATATATGGCCAGGTGCGGTGGCTCACGCCTGTAATCCCAGCACTTTGGGAGGTTGAGGCGGGTGGATCACGAGGTCAGGAGACCAAGACCATCCTGACCAACACGGTGAAACCCCGTCTCTACTAAAAATACAAAAATTAGCCGGGCATGGTGGCGTGTGCCTGTAGTCACAGCTGCTCAGGAGGCTGAGGCAGGAGAATCACTTGAACCTGGGAGGCGGAGGTTGCAGTGAGCCAAGATCGAGCCACTGTACACTCCAGCCTGGGTGACAGAGTGAGACTCATTCAAAAAACAAAAAATGGGAATATATTTTCCTATTTCATCGACCCGTGAGGAGGATTAAATGAAGTACCAGGTGTTCAGAGGCATTCCTTAAATCAGACTCTGCCAAAAAAATGACCTGAATTTTGTACATTTTCTTGGGCTTCTTGGAGGTATGGACCAATGTTCTAGAACATTAGGCAAATATTTACTCATTCTTTTAGCTCAAGGATCAACAAAATATGGCCCATGGGCTGAATCCATTCCACCTCCTGTTTTTGTGACTAAAGTTATATTGGAGCACGACCTCATGAGCCTTGCTCATTTGTTTACATACAGCTGGTAGCTGCTTTCACACTGCAGCGACAAGCTGAAAATGTTTATTATATGTCCCTTTACAGAAGAATTTTGCTGATCCCTGTTTCAAATCAACCACAAAATATTTATTTCTGAACTCATGAAAGGTAAGTGCATTGTACTTCTAAAAACAATTTTTTTTCCATGAAAGAGGATAGACCCAAGCTGTGTATGGCTGAGTTGACTCTACTGAATGTCGATGCTATCTAGTTACAAAAGGAACAAGAAGATTTAAGCCTTACACTTTGATTGACACACCAATCTTTTTAGACTTCCCTGGGAAAAAGTGAGGTTGACCTTAAATGAGAGCGAATTGCTTCCTATCTATGTTGTGTGTGTTTCAGAGCAAAACCTGGCATTGTCCAACTTGAAGCTTCACTGGGAATGTTTTGGAAGTGTTTGGTGTAAGAGTGCAGGACTGACTCTGAGACTCTTGCCGCTACAGTGCACTTGTTTTTCTGAAGTTGATTCTGGGCCACAATCCCTTGGACTCAGATCACAGAATGTCTGAGAGTTTCTGTTACCCTGTCCCTTTGGTGCGTGGATGAGGATGGAGCTTGGAGATATGGCTCAGTTCACCAGGCTGGCTCTTGGCTGTCCCCCACCCACCTGACCCCCACCTCCTACTCAAAAGTCTTTTGAGTATGTCACACTGCTTTCAAAATACTTCAAAACTAATGCTTGGAACAGGAAAATAAGATTGGAGGAAGGCTTTAGAAGTTGACTCCTGATAACAGATTATGGAATGGGATAAACATTCCATAAATATACACAAACTCTAGAAGTGTGTAAATGCAGCTTTCTGCGTTGGATCCAAGGATTCTCATGGTAGACTAGATTACTGTTTCCAATTCTTCACCCCTCCCTTTATCCACATAAGTTGACACCTATTCCCAGTAGAGATGCAGCATGTTTTTACCACCCATTGAGTTGCTGTCAAGCACGTGACTTGCTTAAGCCAATAAAATATAGGTGGAAGTGTCTGTACCCAGGCCGTAAGAAGCAGCGCATGTCTCTGCTTGCCCCTTTTGTGTTTTGGTCATTGCCATGAGAAACACACATTGGCTGGTTCACTGGTCCAAGGAGGATGAGAGTCATGTGGAACAGATCTGGACCCAACCTGAAGCCCAAGTTAAGCCCAGCTAAGCCACACCCTGGTCAGCTTGACCCCAGACAACATACAGACATCTGAGCACAGACGAATGTTTTTGTTTTGGGTCACTGGGCTTGGTGCCAGTGTTTTTTTGTTGCAAGAGCTATCTAATACAGCCATGCTTCAACCACATGGAGTCCACATTTGATGGATATTCAGTAGTGGTATGTGCTAACCTGTGCACCTGTTGCAAATGTAGACATGAACAAAAATATATTCCCTACCATTAGAAGTACCTACATTTGTGGTGGAAAAAGAAAAAGAGACAATTACAATAAAGTGGGAAAGCAGTGGTGATAGTGGTAAGCCTAGTGAGTTACTGAAACACAGAGGGGCAGCCAGTCCTGGGGTGAGGGCTCATCAGGTAGGATTTCTTATAGGTGATAATGTGTGAGCTAAGTCTTTAAGCCTGAGTAGACATTATGTGAATAAGTAAGGCAGGTGGAAAGGACATTGCTATTTTGCTATTATTTATTTTCACAAAGGTATGTCTGATAAATAACTCTTGGGCTTTGGTGTAGTCCTATGTTGTGTCATTAATTTCAGGATATTGATGGTAATAACACTGGTGAACACTGTCTAAGGCAAAGCCCTTGGGTGTTTTGCTTGCCTGATCTCATTTAATCCCCCACCACCTTGTGTATTCTGGTTTTTAATCCCCATTAAGATGTGATGGCTGCTTTTCCAGTGGTGGTATCTGAGAGTCAGTGGTATCTGAGAGTCAGTGGTTCCATGCGGCATTTGAGACTCATGATTCTGCAGGGCTGATCCTGTGTTTGACGTGCTTTGATTGTGTTGAGTGAGCTGCCGAATGTTATTACATGAAAAAGTGATTCTTGGGTGTCTTCATTTGTCCTGCTCAGTAGATTCGTATGTGGTGCTAATGAGGCCAAGGTTGTGAGTTCAGTCCCCTGCAAGGATCAATTAGATTTGTCTTTTGGAACTCATTACCCAAAGGTAAGGTTTTCAGTGAGTACCCAGAGTTGGCACCTACAGAAAAATGGAGATTCCACAGTGGCTTGCGAGGTTTATTTGAGGACAAAGTCATGGTGATAATTGCTGCAGTTTGCTGAGTTCGCAGTGCTGTGCAAGGGGATTTTCAGAGGACTTCCTCAGGCTCCTGGTTTGCAGATGAGAAAAGCAGAGCTCACTGATTGATTGTTAGTTGCCCAGGGCTATTCAACTGCTTGTAATAGAGCCCTGGACGGGGTGTCTGGACCCAAAGGCTGTGCTGTTTCTAAGTCACTCCACGGCAGTGTTTCATATTCTTGGCTGAAATTGGTAATTGAATTGACATTTTGGTTGGCAGTTTTTTGTTGTGGGCGCTGTTCTGTGTACTGTGGGATGTTTAGCAGCATTCCTGGTCTCTATACACTAGATGCTGGTAATACTTTTCTCTTCCTCAGCTGTGACAACCCAAAATGTCTCCAGACATTGCCAAGGGTCCACTGAGGGACAGAATAACCCCTGGTTGAGAACCATGGCTCTGTGGTATCATCGATGGGGTATCATTAAAGGAAACCAGAATTTTTGACTGGGGGGCTTGAACAAAGTGGAGAACTCCCAGAGAACGTTTCTTGATGGGCTTTGGATTTAAATGCCTGTGTGTTCTCTGACCTTGATGAACTATGCTGGACACACAGGCTCATGGGAAGACCTTGCTCCCCAGCTGAAGGTCTAAACCAGGCTTCATCCATCTGCTTGGTACCTGCTGTCTTCCAGGCACCTTCTCAGCTCCTGTGGGGCCTTCTAGGGCAGGAATATTGGAATTGGGCATCTTTTCCCAAGAAGGAGGAGGCCATGTCCTTCTCAGAGTACTGGCTACATGGGATAAGTAATTGGGGGGAAAGAAGTATAAGAGAGAGAGCTAATCCAGAGAGGAGAGGACCACCAGTATGAATGCCTTCCCACACATCTATATATGCAATGAAATGGCGCATGTAACCCACTGAGCACACTGCCTGGAATGTGGATAATGCTTAATAAATGCTGGCTATTATTACTGTTATTATTAATACTATTTATAACTACAGCTCTTTTTTTGGTAAAATAAATAAATAACTAGTTTTCAGAACATACTCCCTTAGGCTTCCCACTCCATTAATATTCAACTTACTTATTTAAATTTAATTTTTTCAAGGTCCTGTGTTTAATTTTTTAAAAACCTAGTGAATTATTAGGATTTTAATGAATAATGACATTTAATAAATAATAACACTGGTGAGGGCTCAGAACGTAAGCCATTTAATTTAGCACCATATCTATGTTTTCTCAAAAAAGCAACAGAAAAAAATGCCTATAAGAAATGCTACAGTGGCCAAATGTTCTCTATAATATGAGCTTCTAGCTTTTAAAAAATATTGTTATTAGTAGGATAATGGCCTTGCAGTGTCTCAAACTCTATGTATTTTATAGGGAGAAGTACCCAGCTAGAGTTTATTTTATTTAGAAGTTACCGACTATGTAGTAGGTGCTGCATTATTCCAGGGACTTTAGATATATTAATTCATTTAATCTTCTTAGCAAGAGTGTGAGGTAGGTACTATTTCATTCCCATTTTTTTTTAGATGAGAAAACTGGGGTACAAAAAGGTTATTGACTTGCCCAAAGGCACACAGCTAAGTAAGTGCGGAGCTGAGATTTGTACGCAGGCAGTTGGCTTCAGAATTCGTTTTCTAAACCATTACACATATAGCCTCTTCATGTACTAAGTCTTGGGGGTGGCATAGGAAACAGTCTCCCATGTTCCCTCCTGTGTTAGAGGAAAGTGGCGAGACTAACTGTGAAATAGGCTTATCTCATGTTAGATCTTAGAGAAGCAGAGTGGCTCACTGAACATAATCTATTCCCTTATAATACCTAGGGAAGAATAAAAATGCCTCTGAATAAACACATTTTATTTTTTGTGAAGTTTGTGTATGTGTGTAAGTGTGTTTATTGAATCCATAGTTTGATGTACATAGGCCTTTACATTAATATGTAATTTACATAGAAATTTCTAATGTCTGCAGAAATGCATATCATAAAGGCCATGCACATAAAATATCATTTGATCTTTTCACATTGTACTGTAGTGGCTCCAGTAGAAATTCTATACACAAATGAAATGTAACTCACTGCCTGTTGTTTCTTAAACAAGAGATTCGGGAATACCCTTGTTTGCATCAGTTATGAAAAAGTCATTCCTATAGGTGTGGTGGCATGTTTCCTTCCCTCCCTGCCAAATCCAGCCTCAGCAGTAACCCCAAGCCTTTGATCTTTCCACTGGGAGTTTTAAGTCTATCCTTGGTTCGTACTTGAGTTTTGCCTCTTGTTTAAGAAGGACATCAGAAGGACAGGGCTTCTGGTCCTCCCATACCTCATCCATTGGAGATTTTTTCAAAGACAGAAGGGTGCACTGTCTTGGCCATGTAGGTGACCCAGGATACTATTTCTGGGCTTTTCAATGATGACAGTTCTAAACTCTGTCACACAGAGATGGTAGAAGAGTAGAGGATCTAATAAAAATGTCATCAAATTAAAAACCAAGCAGGATCCAATGTGAACTGTTCTATAAATAACTTATGAAAAGTGAAAAGATGTTTCTGTTAGCAAAGTTAAAATAATTATTAAAATCCTTCATCAGATTGCGGCTAATTAGATTGAGAATTAAACAGCTTTGTATGAGTGTAGAGTTAATTAATAGCTCATTACTTTTTTAATAAGCCAAATTCATTTGGAAACAGAAGAAAGACAGCAAAGTTCATCATGGATGAGTTGTTAGATTGGGATTATTTCCCCTTCCCTTGATGAGAGAAGTAGTTAATTAAAAGAAGGAGACACGTTTATATCATGAATGAGTTACATGCAAAACCCCAGGAGGTACGTTTATATCATGAATGAGTTACATGCAAAACCCCAGGAGATACGTTTATATCATGAATGAGTTACATGCAAAACCCCAGGAGATACGTTTATATCATGAATGAGTTACATGCAAAACCCCAGGAGACACGTTTATATCATGAATGAGTTACATGCAAAACCCCAGGAGATACGTTTATATCATGAATGAGTTACACGCAAAACCCCAGGAGATACGTTTATATCATGAATGAGTTACATGCAAAACCCCACGAGATACGTTTATATCACGAATGAGTTACATGCAAAACCCCAACATCCAGGGCTGGAGAAAGCAGCAAGTGTCTCTGTTTTAAAAGTCTCCCTGGGCCATATGGGGTTAATAAAAATCGTGCTTGAATTTCCTTGTTCAACTTTTGAGTTTCGATTCAATCATGAAGTAAAACTTTTTGAAGCCGGGCAGATTCATTCAAACCAGAGGAACTTCCTTGCACTCCCTATTGATTTTATTTTCATTCCAAATGCACAAAGATCTTACTTTGAAAGCAATCTTCCATTTTCCTACCTTCCTTTCTTTTCACTCCATCCTTTCTTTCCACATAGTCTCAAATTTCATTATTTCCTCATCTAGTTTCCTGACCCTTAGATGCCCTTTATATTACGTAACATGCAACAGAATAGAATGGAATGAAATGAACAACCTCTGGTTTTGAAAGCAGGTACGTCTCATTATCCCATATGGAAATTTCCCATGCCATTGTTTACAAGCAAAGAGGATCCCATTTCTACAATGCAGTCCCTCATCAATAGTCCTTGGCACCCTTTAGAGTTGGATAGATTTATGAGTTTGACTTTTAGGGTGGGTGTGTGTTTATTGAACTACTTTGCCTTCTATCCAATCAAATAAAAATCTGAAAAGATGAGAAGGAGCTGTTAGATGTTACGTAATTGATAAGCCAATAGAATGCACTGTTCCTCGGATAGCACCCTGCTAAGTGTGGCTCTAGTTCCTGCTAAACCAATAGAGGTAATTTGGGTTTCTTTGTTGCATTGCTGTATACATATGAGGATATGTCCCACCCAAGTGGATTGGAGAATTCTCCCCTGGAGTGGGCGGGAGGTGAGAAGAGTGCCTTCTTCTGGGGAAATGTTAAATGTCCTGCCTAGTGATGAGATGATGCCCTCCTTGGCACTAAACCATGACATCCGAATGGGCTTTCAATTTTTAAACAAAAGCTGTGGTTGGCTCTGCTAAACATGAAAGTCTGATGACTGGCAGCTCATTTCAAAAGCTGACTTGCCCACTCCAGGAATAATTAACATGGCCTGTTTCCCAAAAGGTGATTAATTTTGAGTCACCCATTATACAAGTTTCTTTAAGGATCCATTTTTTTTCTTCCTTTCCAAATGAGGACTCCAGCTCTCTGCCTCTGAGACCTCACTTCTCACCAGATCATATTTTTTTCCTTTAAACAGTTCTGTTCTTTAAAACAGAACCTAGAACCCAGAGCCTTAGAGAAGATCTAAAGTGGATATACAAGTCCCATTATGTAACCATTCTTTTTTTTTTTTTTTTTTTTTTTCCTGAGACGGAGTCTCGCTCTGTCCCCCAGGCTAGAGTGCAGTGGCACGATCTCAGCTCACTGCAACCTCCACCTCCCAGGTTCAAGAGGTTCTCCTGCCTCAGCCTCCTGAGTAGCTAGGATTACAGGCATGTGCCACCACGCCCGGCTAATTTTTGTATTTTTTTTTTTAGCAGAGACGGGGTTTCACTTTGTTGGCCAGGCTGGTCTCAAACTCCTGACCTCGTGATCCGCCCTCCTTGGCCTCCCAAAGTGCTTGGATTACAGGCGTGAGCCACTGTGCCCAGCCTATGTGACCATTCTTGAGGAGTGATCAGACACAGTAGTATGAACAGAGACTTACTCCTATAGCTTGTGTGGGGACCCCCTTGTACCCAGACTACACGGAGGGTCTCAGGTGCCTGCCAACCTGCACCTTGGGCTGCTTGTCTATCCCCTACCCTTGGATCACCCTATCCACACGATAACTCATGTTTCCTTTCCCTTCCTAGCCTCTGGTTTCTTCTTTTCCAGCCATTTCCAGATGTAGTAGATGCATGATAAATATTGGATGGATTTGTTGTTGTCTGAGTTTCTCTCCCCCCACCCACATTGGACCTCATTCGAGTTGGTGCTGCCTCGTCACTGAGATGGTACTTGAGTCCCTGGAGCTAGCATAAGAGTGGAGGTCAGAAAAGAGGCTCACTGCATGTGAAGGCAGAACTACATGAAAATACAGGTGTCTCTTGACTTTCTCCATTTGCCTTCTCCTCCTCTGCTCCCAGCCCCACTCAAACCACCCTCACTTCTCACCCCGAGTGCCTACACTGGTTTTCTAACTAAGCTGTCTACCTCCCCACTTCCTGGGAGAAGCCAGAGTGATTTTTAATAAACGTTTTACTGAAAAAACCATATATACAGAAAAGGGCATATATCTTAAATATACAGCTTGACAGACTGTCAACAAACTGAAACCAGTCATGTACACAGTGCCCTGATGAAGAAATAGGATAGCGTCTTTACCCAGGAAGCCCCCCTCTGTCCCCTCCCTGTTACTGTTCTCCCCAAAGGTAACCTCTGTTAACTCTGGAGTGATGTTTAAAACTATCAGCCAGATTTAGTCACTTTCCTCCTTAAAACCCTCTCCTATCATTTGGATATGGTTAATTTGTCTCTACCAAATCCCATGTGGAAATTTGATCCACAGTGTTGGAGGAGGGCCTATTCTGAGGTGTTGGGTCATCGGGAACTTATGGGTGATCCCTCATGAATGGATTAATTGCCTCTCTCCAGGGTGAGAAGCTGTCACTCTATTAGTTCCCTCTGGGTATTAAAAAGAACCTGGCATTTCCTCACTTTCTCTCTTGCTTTCTTTCTTGCTGTGTGATCTCTGCATATGCCAGCTCCCCTTCACCTTCCATCATGAGTGGAAGCAGCCTGAGGCCTTCTCCTGATACAGATGCCCTATTTTGAACCTTCCAGGCATCCAAAATCATGAGTCAAGTAAACAATTTTTCTTTATAAGCTCAGATTTTCCTTTACAGCAACACAAAAAGGATTAAGATACCCTCCAATAACTTCCCATTGCTCCTGAGATAAAACGCTTTTTACCATTTTGTGTCAAACCTTTGCCTCTGTTCTTGACTCATCTCCCTCCTGTCTCTCCCCACTCTATTACACTGGTCCCCCTAAAAATTCCTAGAGCATGCCAAATTTCTTTTTGGCCCCAGGACCTTTGCACATACTTAGCTCTTTGCTTGGAGTGCTGTTTCTCCAACTCCTTTCCTCACTTTGGGTCTTAACTTACATGCTACCCCTTCAGCAGGATCTTCCTTGTCCACTTCTGTCATGTTCCCTATATTTTTCTATATTGGCTTATCATTGTCTATAATATCTTGAGTCTTTATTTCCTTTTTCTTGGTTGTTGCTTGTCTTTCCACTTGAATGTTCACTCAAATGAAGGAAGGGACCATGTCTGACTTGTTCGTCACCATATCCTCAGCCCCTAGCACAAGAGTAGCTAAATAAATATTAGATGTAAAAAATGAAAAAAATGTATACTGAGTGTGAATATCAAATCTTGAGGGACTAAAGGCTGGAAGTGAAGTCAGGTCTCACAACTAAGTGCTCAGAGTCGAGATCAGGCCCGGTTTTGGTGGGTGCCTGTGGTTCCTGAGTCTTGGAGGTGTTTGTGATCTTTGTATCTGGAGAGTTTCGAAAAGCACGCACTCCCAGTTTCCATCCAAGCAATCAGCAAGAGGACTCAGCCCTAAATCCACTTGGATGTGTGGGAGGTTCATCCAGCCACAGTCTACTGTCTTTATTATTTTCCTATTTATAATGAAGTCTGGTCCCTTTCCCATACAGTCCTGATATTATTGCTCACATGACTGCAATCACTGCATTATAGCACTTGCCGCCTATCCATTGCTTTATTGTGTCCTGGAGAGCAAGGAAAACAGCAGAGAAAGGGAAAGCGGGGAAAAAAAAATAGAAAATGGGAAAACTCAGTAAGGGCTTGAGCTCTCAGATAACTCCTTGGATGCAGCCATCCAATTATTATGGGGTAGTGGGGTCTGGTCTTAGAATTTAAGTGACTTCATTCTAGATTAGTGCTGAAGGCAATGCATTGGGTGAATGCATTTCTTATTACTTTAAACTAGGGACTTAAAGAGGATAAGGTTATTTGCATCTTTTCGAAGCCTTTTTTAAATTTCAGACCTTAAAATTTTATTTTGATTGTCCCATTGCGTGGCTCAGAGCAGTGATTTTAACACCCTTAAAATGGTATGTGTGGTGAGATGTTTATTTTGCTTTTCACATTATTGGCTTCAAATACATCCTCCCTCTATCCCCCACGCCAACCCTGCCTCTGTGCGATGCTAGGGAATTTGGAGTGCTTTATTTTTGAAGAGGTCCTTATAAGAAAATAAGGGCAACTCTGATTCAGAAGACCTTTGAGGGGCAGATTTCTTATCTGTCCTCAAGCCCCCGCCCCCAACCCTGTCTCGAGTCACATGTTTCAGTTCTCTATTGCTGCATAACAAATCGCCCAAAACATAATGACTTAACAATGTATTATTATCTCTCATGGTGCTGTGGGTTGACTGGACTCAGCTGGGCACTTCCTTCTCTGAGGTCTGTGATGAGAATATGGAAGGATAGCATTGGGATTGGCGTCTTCCAAAGGCTCAACTGGGCTGGCAGTTGATACTGGGCATCAGCTTGGCACGCAGCTGGAACTATCAACCAGATTGTCCACAAGTAGCTTCTCCATGTGGCTTCAGCTTCTCACAGTATGGCAGCTGAGTTCTGAGAGGGAACATCCTCAAAACTAGAGTTCCAAGAGGTGGAAAACAGAAGATGCCAGGCCAGTTAAGAGGTATGCCTGGAGCCAGCACATGACTTCTGCCATATCCTACTGGTCAAAGTGGTCGGAAGACCCACCCATCCTCAGGTGGATAGAGAGACTCTACCACTTGATGGGAGAGTGTCAAGATCACCTTGTAGAAGAAATGGAGATGGGAGATATTGTTGCAACCATCTTTGAAAAATACACTATGCAACATTTTCACTCCCATTTCTTCAGCTTTCCCTGCCTGCAGTTATTCCAAAAGTCAGTGTGCTTTGGGAATGATTCCCTACACGGAAGAATAACCCAACATTAATTCACTAATGATCTCTGACATTTTAAAGGTATTACCTAAGCAAATATTAAGCATGTCAGATTTAGATGCCATTTCTTTCCAAACTTGACACCTTCTTCGCCTCATCCCTCTTCACACACACAGCTATGTTACGAGTTTTAAATTGTTTTTCTGGACTCTGTTCAGGAACCGAGTTCCTGATGATTTTCCTCTTCTTGTGTTTAGATTACCCTAGTGTGTAAACCTGTTTTAATTTCTGCTGGCACTGTGTAATTGCGATATTGATCCTTTAAGCTGAGAACAAAGTGCCTGTTAACGTGGCTGACTCCATCTGCCTATTGAGACATTAACCAGGAGGCTGATCTTGATGTAAAATGACTGCCGTTTTTAATTTTTCGGTTACACCACTTAGTCTAAATTTTCTCAGCCCAGTGGAAGGTGATGTCTTGTATTTTATTTCATTCTTTCAACCAGAGGATGTGAAACTCTTCAAGTTGTATTGCCACTTTACTTTATGGGAGATATTAGTCAAGTGAATGGGTTAATGCTTATTTTTCTTCTTTTCCTTGCTGCCTTTTTCTTTCAGCAAACTTTTCTAAAGGTGGTGAATAGTTGGGAAGATGAAATGTCCATCCTCAGCCGACTAGCTGTCTGCCACACACCCCAGCTGCATATCAATCCGAGACTATTTTCTTCCTTATTTGACTCTGTTTGGAGGGTTTGGGTCATCTGGCATCTTCATTTCACTTGAAAATTCTTTAAAGCAGTTTATATTCTTTCATCTGTTTAAGTAGAAACAATTAGAAAAATGTTTAAGAAGTTAAAAATACTGGCCAGGTGCGGTGGCTCACACCTGTAATCCCAGCACTTTGGGAGGCCGAGGCGGGCGGATCACCTGAGATTGGGAGTTCTATACCAGCCTGACCAACATGGAGAAACCCCATCTCTACTAAAAATACAAAATTAGCTGGGCCTGGTGGTGCATGCCTGTATTCCCAGCTACTCGGGAGGCTGAGGTGGGAGGATGGCTTGAACCTGGGAGGCGGAGGTTGTGGTGAGTGAAGATCATGCCATTGCACTCTAGCCTAGGCAACAAGAGCGAAACTCCGTTTCAAAAAAAAAGAAAGTTAAAAATATTTTACTTAATTTTAATTAAATGTTTACTTTCCCACAAATACGTCTGTCTCCCCTCCCTCCCTCCCTCCCTTCCTTCTTTCCTTTGTTCCTTCATTCCTTTTTTTTTTTTTTTTTTTTCTTTTTTTGAGATGGAGTCTCGCTGTTGTCAGCCTGGGCTGGAGTGCAATGGCGCGATCCCGGCTCACTGCAACCTGTGCCTCCCATGTTCCAGCAATTCTCCTGCCTCAGCCTCCCGAGTAGCTGAGATTACAGGTGCCCGCCATCACGCCCAGCTAATTTTTGTATTTTTAGTAGAGATGGGGTTTCACCATGTTGGCCAGGTTGGTTCGAACTCCTGACCTCAGGTGCTCCACCCACCTTGGCCTCCCAAAGTGCTGGCATTACAGGTGTGAGCCACTGCACCCGGCCACATATGTCTCTTTCTAAACTGGAAGAAAACTGGATGGAGGAGCATTAACCCTTTACTTTCTTTTTGTTATTTTACTGAACATTTGCACTGAAAAGCATGGGGCTACAGGGCTCCTGGGAAACTCAGTCTAAACATTGATTTTACTGAAGAGGCTTAGAGAGGGCAGGTGGTTTGGGCAGAGGAACCCAGAAGTTAGGTAGCTGTCTGGGTCCAGAGGAGAGACCCTTTGACCTCTGGTTCATGCTGTTCCTACTGCACCAGTCTGCTGCAGTTGGTTGTTGCCTCATCTTTTGTTTGGTCTGGGGCAGCCTTGGCTTGTCCAGGCACAGTCTGTCTGGGGCTGCCTCCCCAGGCACCTGCCCCTCACCCCCTGAACCTGTTGCATCCTTGTGAATGATGGGCTTCAGTGCACACCATTCCTTGACAGTGGAAACTAGCACCTGGAGTGCCGAAGAGTGTATTAATCTGAGGGTGGACTTGCTTAACCACCCAAGAATGAAGAACTCCCACCAAGAGTCAAAGGAGAAGGGAACCAACTATAATTGAAATCCTGCCATGAGCCATGATTATATGCTGTCTTATTTAGTATTTATTTTTACTTTGCCCTTTGGCATTCCTTAGAGGCTGCAAACATGAAGAATTTTATGTGATGAGTCCATGAGAAAGAGCAGAGAAGGCTGGGTGCGGTGGCTCACACCTTTAATCCTAGCATTTTGGGAGGCTGAGGTGTGTGGATTACCTGAGCTCAGGAATTTGAGCCAGCCTGGGCAACATAGTGAAACTTTGTCTCTACTAAAAATACAAAAATTAGCCAGGTATGGTGGTGTGTGCCTGTAGACCCAGCTACTGGGGAGGCTGAGGCATGAGAAACACTCGAACCCAGGAGGTGGAGGTTGCAGTGAGCTGAGATTGTGCCATGGCACTCTAGCCTGGGTGACAGAGTGAGACTCTGTCTCAGAAAAAAAAAAGAGTATCAGAAGAGAATGAACTACTGATCTTCATGGAGTCGGTAAAGCTATTGGTCCCTATGAAGGGGGCTGGGGAAGTGGGGGAGAGATGAAGCTGGAAGCAGTGGAGTCCATATATATAGACCAATGGTGCAAACTTAGCATGCGTCAGAATCACCTAAAGGGTTTGTAAACGCAGATTGTAGACCCCTGTTACTGATTCAGTAGGTTTGAGGTAGGGCCTGAAAATTTGCGTTTCTAGTATGCTTCTACTACAGACCTAGCCTAAACGCTCTTTACCCATGACCTTGCTTACACTCTACCTTCCCCTGTCCATCTGGATGTGTTTCCAGACCTCAGAGGCCTGGGCTAAGTTTGCCTCACAATGCCTGCTTTTCTTCTTGGTAAGAGGACCTTGGAAACTAGGGGTCCCTTTGATATTTTGTACCCCAGATTGACCCGGTACTTGAAAACAATATTCTGTGTGAGAAACAATTGTAGGATAATTTGAGATAGGTTGTAATTAAGTCCACAGCAGTCACCACACTCTTTGTTGGGCATCTGCTGTGTGCATTATCTATTTAATACTCACCACAACCTTGCAAGGTAGATGTTATGTTGCCCACATTTTATAGATGAGGGAAATGAATTCTGCGAAGAGTCTGCTCTACTGAATTATGGAGCTGGGATTATACTTTTGTCAGTCTGTCTGCCATGTTAGTCTTCTCACTGACACTGTGCAACTGTTTTAGAAGTCTGCAGAGCAAAAGCATTCCCAATGTCAATGACAGGAGCAATCATGGAAAGTTCCATCTATTTAGCTCCAACTCTGTGCCTGGCACTGTGCTAAGCATTTTAATATGTCTCACCACATTTAAACCATATTATTACCTTGCAAGGAAGGCAGGTGTTATTTCTGTTTTTCAGGGGGGTTAAATAGCTTGCCTGGGGTCATAGTTGGTAAGTGGCAATATTGGGTTTGGAAGCTGGGTGTAGCCTGGACTCTTAGCTGCTTTGTTATGTTGATTGACTGGATCACACATACCCCAAGATTGTTGTCTGGGACCTCAGGGGGTGATGTTGTAGCTGGTGGCACTGGGGGTTCGGGAAGCAGAATAAGTTTGGGGGCAGAAATGGGTTCCATTTGAACATGGTGAAGTTAAGGAAGTTCATCAGAATCTTGCTGAAGGCCCTATTGTGTGCTGGGAGCTGCATTCGAGGTGATGAAGGGACAGGGCAAGACTCCAAATGTTGACATTTTTAGAGCTTCATTCTGTGATCCAGCATGAGTCATTCAATTAATAAGTCTTAGAATTTACTTGGAAGTAATGATCATCTTTCTTCTGTTGCCTCACTACAGAGCATTGGAGATTAAGATAACTTCTGGAATTTATGAAAGTGCTAGAAAAGTTACAAAGTGCAATTACTGTGGCAAGCGCGTGTGATGTTTAAAGCATCTGCTCTCCATGCATTACTTTGTGATATTTGTTTTCCACAGGATATTAGATGAGAGATAGAAGTTAAAATCTTATTGCGGTAGATGTTATTTCCTAAGAGGAGTTGAAAATGAATCCAGAACAGGATTTTCACATTATATCAGTGTTTTTTTGAGATTTTTTTCATTATTACTACCCTAAGGAATCTTTTTAGTTATTATTATTATTATTATTATTATTACTGATCTCCCCTCTCCATGAAATGAAATGAAATAAGATTTTGTTGTGCAGGGTTGAGCTTTGGAGGGTCACAAACCACGATAATATCTGAGATTATTTGGCTCTCCATCCTAAGAACAATTTTTGCCCCCTTGGGGGTGATATTGCCCCCATTGAGGATGCAGGATTTATATAAAGCATTGTAAAGTCAAAGAATAGAGGGTCCAAAGTGGGGTTTTATGGCAAGGGTGGTAATCCCTTATCATGGCTGCAGTTAGCTTTTGGTGTCATCTGAAAAGGGTCTCAGCCTCTCAGCAAGTTTCCTAAAATTTGTCTCTTGCATCTCTTGTAACACCACGTTCTTGGGAAAGAGATTTGTCTCAGCCAGGGGCTTTATCAAGAGTGTAGGTTCCTATTGTACTTACACTCTTGGGGTCTCTAACCTCACAGGGCCAGTTGTCTGACCGAAAATCCCCACCCATGATTTTGGAGGAAGGTGGGACCTGGAGGTGTTGGGTTGGGGAGTTGGAGCCATGGGGCTAGACTCTGTCCTCTGCATTGGCTGGTGGACCAGGTGACAAGGGGTGAGTGCTCACCAACGCCAGTGGGGACGGGGGATCTGAGAACATCTGGGGGCAGGTGCATGGGTTTTTGGGGTGTGTGGTTTGGCAGATGGCACGAGTTGGGTTGGCAGGTAGTAAACAGGGGCTTCCTGGTCATGGAAGCCTGACATTCATCTCTGGTCTTTTCCTTCCCCTACTTAATCTCATCTCTTTCCCTCCAGGTCTTCCTTGCCATCAGTTATAATGCTCCTCTTGCCTTCATTCTTTCTTTCTAAATTATTTTCTCATTTTTCTCTCTGTGTCTTAGTTTTGCATCCCCCAAAGTACACCTTGAGCCAAGGGTTTGGGTTTAAGTAGTTCATTCTGGAGGTGATCCCAAGAAACCACAGCTGGAGAGAGGGATTGTGAGACAAGGAAGTGAGGAAAAGCCCACAAAGAGGGTTAACCAGGGGCTCCTGCCATAGGTACCAGCGTGCAGTCCTGCTGGAACCTCCTGAGAGACTCATAATTGCCCACCAAGGTATAAGGAAGTAGGGATGATTCTCCACCATCTGTCACTTCCAGCCTGCTCTGCACCCACAGCCACAAATTGCCATCACTCTGGAGATGCAGGTCGCCCCTGGTGGTGGCAGGAGCTTTCTGCAGGCGCTAGGCTTTGGGGAGCACCAAAGGGAGGTGGGCGGCTCACTGACGCTGTCATACTCTGTTCTCTCTCTCTGACTTTTTACATCTTAATGTTGAAATAAAATAAATATTTTGGTGGATTTATTGAAAATACACTTATGTCTCCTATTCCCAATGTAAAAATTAGGTCAGCTGAATATTTTATTTTCCAAAACTAGTTGTACACATTTAAAAAGATGTCTGGGGTCTCCTCATAGGAAGTGTATGTGTGTGTGTGTGTGTGTGTGTGTGTGTGTGTGTGATGTGTGAGTGAAAGAGACAGAGAGAGAGAGAGAGATGTCCAGTGAAAAGCTGGTCTTATTTCAAATGTAAGTACATGAGACATATGCTATGGTCTGAATGTATGCCCCCTGTATTAATATGTTTAGACTTCATCAGCAATGTCATGATATGAGGCGGTGAAGCTCTACCCCCATGAATGGATTAGTGCCCTTCTAAAAAGGCTCAAGGGAATTAGCTAGGGCTCCATGCCCTTTTGCCCTTCTGTCCCTTCTGCCATGTAAGGACACCTAGATGGTGCCATCTATGATGAATAGGTCTTTACCAGATGCTGAACCTTGATCTTGGACTTCCCAGCCTCCAGAATTGTGAGAAATGAATTTCTGTTGTGTATAAATTATCCAGTCTCAGGCATTCTGTTATAGCAGCACAAATGGATGAAGATAATCAATAATCTGAGACATGCAGCTGACACCCTTGATTGTTTTTGCCCTCTTCAGAGAATTGCCCCTACTCCCATGACTGTGGGTGGCTGTCTCCCAGAGTCAGCCCCATGCCAGCAGCTGAATGGAATAATCAGACCCAGAACTCTTAGCCTGTCCCATATTGTGCCGTCTCCCTCCCACTACTTGTAACACCTGAGCATCTGTGGATTATGTAGATTGTGAACTCCATCTTCTGACCTTCCCTTGAAATATTAGACAAAATATTTGACAAGAGTAACATGATGCTAGTTATGCTGTATTGAGAATTTACTACCTGTACTGTGGTATTTCACCATATTACATCATTTAATCATTAGAGCTATGAGGTACGCATTAAAATCCTCATTGTACAGTTTAGGAGACTCAGGCTAAGAAAGGCTACATAGGTAGTGTTGCCTCAGATCATTGCAGTTGGGTGGAGCTGGGATTTGAACCCACATCCACAGACTCCAGTCCATGTTCCTGCCCATAATACTATGCTGATTCCCAGCGTGTGAGCTAAAAGTGATCAAGAGCTTGCTATTGTGGTTTTCATTGCAAAGAGTCTTTTACATACATCATCTCATGGAATCTCCCCCCAGCAAATCCTGCGAGGTCTGTATTTTACTTCCGTATTATTGTTAAGAAAACTGAGGTTCGGAGCACTTGAATTTTCTTATCTTTGTATGCTTCAGAGGTGATGCTATGTAAATCAGCTTTCAGCTTGGTAATGAGCATGTGTTTATGTGGCATTAAAGCATCCTGCTAAAAAGGAAAAGGTAGCCACATGTTTGTTTCTTTGTACCAGAAATTTCTTAAACGTGCCTATTATCTGAACTTTTGGAAAAATTATTCGGATAATTGGTGGAAACTTTTGCTTTGCCTGGGAATTTTAGTATTGTATTTTTTAACACCTTAGCTACTATTAATGCCATCCCAACACACAGCCCCACACATGTGCACAAGAGTGATAGACACGTTTATGTGTATTTGCATGGGAAATGTCATCTTCATAACGTAGCCTAGGTTCTCCCACCTGGGCACCTTCCCTCTTTGCGCTATTATGCCTGTCTGGGTGTCCCCCAGTGCTTTTATATTGTTCTGTCATTGTCTGGTTTTGTGTCTCTTTTCCCCATTAGGCTGTGAGGTCCATCATGGCAGGGCCTGGAGATGAGAGCCGTTTATGTCCCTGACCTCTAACACAGAGCTGGAAATGAAAGAGACATTTTGTGATAGTTATGGAATGAAAATTCTGTCTGGATACAGCCCTAGGGCTTGGGGGAATCCTTCAGGTTCTATGTCAAGGCCTAATGTTTTGATGATACTTGATCTTGCCTCCTTAGTGACTGTTCTTTTAATTCATAAACAGATTTGGCTGTTCCCTGAGTTTAAGGCAGCCCCTATACTGACTCGGTGCAGTGATTTTACATTGTGTGTATATCCTTTCTTTCTTTCTTTTTTTTAAATTGAGACAGAGTCACCCTGTTGCCCAGGCTGGAGTGTAGTGGCGCGATCTTAGCTCACTGCAACCCCTGCCTCTTGGGTTCAAGTAATTCTCCTGCCTGAGCCTCCAGAGTAGCGGGGATTACAGGCGTGTGTCATGATGCCCAGCTAGTTTTTGTATTTTTAGTAGAGATGGGGTTTTACCCTGGTTGGCCAGGCTTGTCTTGAGCTCCTGATCTCAAGTCATCCACCTGCCTCAGCTTCCCAAAGTGCTGGGATTACTGGCATGAGCCACTGTGCCCGACACATTGTGTCTATATTCTTGAATTTATAAAGGGGTTGTCCTTGCACAGGTAAACCTCCCTCTATGTAATACACATTGTGCTTCCTTCCAAGATTAATACAATGAATGCATGGATATTGATTGAGTCCCTACTAGATGTAGGTACCATGTGAGGTCTGTGGGAGCTCCCAAGGCAAGTGTACCCTGGTTCCTGCCCTCCAGGTACCCACTGGGCTAATAGAAGAGAAGTCCCAAGACCAGAAATGATGACCATGCGAGGAAGAATCAAGGGTTACAGGGATACAGAGAGGGGTGGCTTCTCCTGTGGCTGTTGCAGGCTGTGATGGCAGCATCAGAGAGTGTCCTGGATAAAGAGCTGTTAAAGATGGGCCTGAAAGACTGGCAGGATTGGAGGCACAAGAATGGAGATGAGGATTTTAGACAGAAGCAGAGACCCGGAGGTGCTGTGGGCAATGTGGGGCTGGGACGTGCCATTTGTAAAGGTGGAAATTAGGAGGTAGGGATGGAATACTTGTGTGGGCAAACTTGTGGATATCTTTGAAGAGGTGGGGCTGTCTGGGGGAAGCAAGTTGTCCTATCAATGTACCTTTCTGACACCTGCAAGAAGTAAGCTCAGAGCAAGGAGGAAAAAGGCCTTGAAGAGCATTAGCCCAGAGTACACAGACTTGTGTGTGGGGTCCATTCCTCCTCCTAATTTGCTGTGTGTCCTTCAGAAAATTGCTTCCTTACTCTGGTCCATGCTTCTTTGATCTGTGGCTAATGGGACACCATTCCTGACTTACTTATTACACAGGGTGCTGTGACATTCAAAGCAGATGGTGGATCTGAAATTATTTTGTGAACTATGAGATTCCACATAATATAGGAAATCATTATTATTCTTTTCTGAACCTGGGGTATAGGAGGAAGATTTAATCGTATTCCCCTGCTCATGATATAAAATACATTATTATTATGGTGAGATATCCAGGGTGTGTGTGTGTGTGTCTTGGGGGTGGAGGTGAGAATGCTGTCACACTGCCATCACCCGAGGTAGACATGGCACAAAGAGGGGGTTTGGACTGGCTGATTCAGGGATCTTTTGCAAGCCTGGCATAAATCCTGCATATGCTAGAGTCCAGACCAATGTGGTATACTGCAGGGCTGAAAATTTGTGGGCGGCAAGAGAAATACCTGTCAGAATGATTGAGGGCAGTTCCCACTACAGAGAGGGGAAAGGAATCAAAATAAGAACCACTTAAAAGTTTCTGAATGCTAGATATGCAATTATTGAGTGTCTAATGTGCCACTAAGCCCAGGGTCCTGGAGTGCGAATGCTTAAAACATGGCCTTTGTAGACAGTCACTGTGCTTAGCGTTTATTCTGGAGGTAATTTTTTGCTTTAACGTATAATTTGGTTTGCTTCAAACCATGGGGTCACTTTCCAACAGTATTGCATCGATTTTTTATCCTGGTAAGGACACATTCCATCAGGTCAGGGACACATGCTGGTTCTTCGGTGAAATCTTTGAAGATCCTAAGGAAGACCTCAAACAAAAAAAAAAAAAAGAAAAAAAAGAGTTGTCACCTTTTGAAGAGAGGGCTGGCTTATGAGGGAGCGCTTCTTATTTAACGAATACTTAGTTACCTGGCACTCTTAGGGGATTGGGTAATATTCTACGTACTCTGTTAATATGAATATTCCTAATGTACAAAATGATCCTGGGAAGTTCAGTTATATCCATTTTACAGATGAGGAAACTGAGGCAGAAGGGTTGAGTCACATGGCCAAGGTCTTTCAGCTGGGACCGGAACCTAGGCTGTCTGGCTCTAAGGTCTGTGCATTCAGCCAATATGCTGTGCTGCTGCTTCATGGCTTTAAGCAAAAAGAGTCTTAGCTGCAAATTAAATATTTGATGTTGGTAACCATGAGTCTGTGATAAAGTTCCAAATTTTAGCTTGTCATCAGTCCCCTTGGAGCTTCCTTCCATCTCTGGGGATGGCTGGGCCGGCTGGCTCTGTTTCTCTACTCAGAGTTCTGGAGGGACCTTGGTGTTCTGGCCTTCCTCACGTGGCTTCGGGGGATGGAAGCTGGCGAAGGGGACTGCCAAGGCATAGCCTGGGGGTCATCTTCGGAAGCCTCCCTGCTTGCTTTGTACAGCCCGCGCACTGTGCTGCACTTGCATCTTGCATCCATATTAATGTAAGCTGATTTTCATGTAACAAGAGAAGTTTTGGGGTTGTCAGAGCCACACAGAAGATACTTAAGATCATAAAGACCCCTGTGCTGTTTCCTCTAAGGAGCTGTGGCTGGTGTTCAGCTATCCTGTCACTGTCTGGAGGTGTCCTTTGCCCTCTGGGCTTAGGTGTCTCCCTCTTCCAAGAATATGGAAAAAATGATTCCTGTGTTCCTTTAGGCTCTCAAATTCTGAGAGTCAGGAGAGTGCAGTGTCTGTCACTGTGGAAGAGCCTGGCTGCCCAGGTTTGAATCCCAGTACTATCCATAACCAGCTATGTGACCTTAGGCAAGTTTCTCAGCATCTCTGTGCCTCAGCTTCTGCAACTGTGAACTGGGAACCATCATGGCATTTTATCACAGTATCATTCTAAGGACTGAAAGAGTAAACAGTGCCCGGCATAGAATGAGTGCCTTGTGTTAGCTCATTAATGTTCTGTGGCCATTAACTTCACTTTCCTATATCATCATCAACTTTGTTGTGATGGCCACCATTTTGTTGGGGCTTGTGGGGCAGGTACTCACAATGACTCTGGAAGGTCCATCTGGTTTAACCCGTTTTCTGAGTGGGGAAAAAGAGGGTTAGGGAGGTTAGGCGACCTTCCTGAGATTACACTGCCCAGAAATGACAGAGATGGGATTTGAGCATGAGTTTCTCTGATCCTGTAGCTCAGGCCCCTCGCCACTGTCCAAGTGTTCCATACTTCCACTTCCTGGCTCCCTTACTGTGCATTGCTTGGAAGCAGGGACTGTCCAGGCCCAAGTGTGGTTGAATTATGCCTTTGCAGAGGCCAACGCTCATCAGCAACTTAAATAAAACTGGTTTGGCCTCGTGTTCTGTGTGCTCCTCTGCAAGTAGATTTATGGTCGCTGAGGCCTTCTGGTGCTCAGAAGCTTTGGCTTTTTAATTTAATCTCCTCCAAACTTACCTCGGGCCTTCATCCTTGCAATCCTGCCTGTGTGCTGGGCCACAGGGAGCTGGACCCCACACCATTGGATTTATGCTGTCTGGAAGGGGAGCCTGGGGCCTCCAACCTCCTCAGCTGGCAGCCTGCCACCCACATCCCAGAGGGATCAGGGGCCTCCTCTGTCCCCACATGAGGACTGTGATGAGCTTCCCTGCTCCCTGCAATGCACTAGATTCCAGCCCTCTCCAGCCAGGCCCTTGGGGATGGGGGAGGTGAGGGATTGTCTGGCCTTCTCAGTGCATCTGGATCTGGAAGGGCCCTGTTTAGTATTCCAGGCAGGCATGCTGGGCTTCTGGCCTTACACAGGCAGAGCTGTGGATGGGGGGCGGGAGCCTGCTGAGCTGGGGAACCGGCCAGGAGTGGAGGAACCCCCTCTGTCAGGAGCCCCAGGAGGAGGAGGGGCCCAGCTGCTGAATGGGGCGCAGAGCTCCTGCATGAGGATTAGGCCTTACTTGCCAGCAGCCTCTTCCCAAAGCTGACTCCCCAAGGATGTTTCTATGCTCTCACTTGGGATCACCAGCCCTTCCTCACATGCTGGGCTCTCCTAAGAAAGGAGCCTGTGAGCCTACAGGTTCTGATACTGTTAAGAAGAGAAGGCAAATGATCCCATCCCTGTCTGAAGTCAGGTGGTGGGAAGTTTTCAATCTAAAGAGCCAAATAGGGTCGGAGAGAGAGGAAAAGAGGAGGGAGAGGGAGAAAAGGAAAACAGAGAGACAGAGAGAGTGAGGGAGCAAGGCGGGGAGATAGAGTAGAAGAAGGGGGAACAGGGAGAGGCAGAGAAGAGAGGGAGAGAGAGGAGAGATGGGGAGAGAGAGAGGGAAAGAGAAGGGAGAGAGGGAGAGAGGGAGAGAGGAGGCAGGTGGGAGGGGAGAAAGCGGGAGGAGAGAGGTGGGGAGAGAGGGGAAGAGAGAGAGAGGGAGGGTGGAAAGAGAGAAGGAGAGAGAGGGAAAGAGAAGGGAGAGAGGGAGAGAGAAGGCAGGTGGGAGGGGAGAAAGCGGGAGGAGAGAGGTGGGGAGAGAGGGGAAGAGAGAGAGAGGGAGGGTGGAAAGAGAGAAGGAGAGAAAGGGAGAGGGAGAGAGAGAGGGTGGGGGAGAGAAAGAGGGGGAGGAGAGAGGTGTGGAAGAGAGAGGAAAAGGGAGGGAGAGGTTGGAGAGAGAAGGAGAGGGAGAAAAGAGCAGAGAGAGAGAGAGAGGAAGAAACAGAGACAGAGAGAGGAAGCAGGGAGAGGGCAGGGAGAAGGGAGAGAGAAAGGGAAGAGAGGTGGGAGAGAGTCAGGGAGAGAGATCGGTGGGGGAGAGAGAGATGAGAGAGAAGAAAGAGAGGAGAGGGCAAGGAAGGAGAAAAGTAGGGTGAGAGATAGCCGGGGGGCTGGGAAAATTTGCAAGGTGGGTGGGGAGCCATGCAGACATGTCCAGCCACATGGGGCCTTCTGGTTTGAGTGTCCAGAAACACAAATGTTGTGGGCCCTAGGCCTTGGGTGTGATCACAGGTGCTGAATTCTGAACCCCATCTGGCCACTAACTCTGACGAGTCACTTAACCTCCACACTCTTTAGTTCTCAGCTGTAAAACTGAAAAATAATAATAGTGATTTACCTCTCAGTGCTGGTGGGAGAAATGACTAATGGCAGGTGACAGGGTGAAAGTACGAGGTATCACTGGGTGTGAAACTGCTTGATGAGAGGCCACCCTGCAAGTGGCACTCAGGAACCAGAGTCTGGGGTGCACCAACCCAGCTCCCAGATGGAAATGGGCTTTGTCTCTCCCAAGGCAGAGGTGGCTGGCATAAAAGCTCTCTCCAAGGCTCCCAAATGGGCATGACACTCAATATCCAAAATGCAGAAAGACCTCCCCAGACACTGGTCCTGCTCTTTTTGGTGGCTGGAGGCCTTTGCACACCTCTGTTTCCCTCGCTGCTCATGCCTTTCCCCCTGAACACCTGATCATCCCTCAACGTTCAGCTTAAGCATCCCCTTCTCTTAGAAATCTACCCTGGTAACCTGCTTCATCTTCTTCCATACTCTGTGCACACCCCTGTTAGCCCCTTTCCACAGCCTGTCTGTAATCCTTCGTCCATTTATTAGCACTCATTATGTGCCAGACACTCTTCTAAATGCTGGAGATGCAGCCATGTGTAGACAGATGAGGCCCTATAGAGCTCCCGTAGTAACAGGGAAGCCAAACAATAAACACCTAAGGTGATAAATAAAGAGAAGAGGCCGGGCATGGTGGCTCACACCTGTAATCCCAGCACTTTGGGAGGCTGAGGCGGGCAGATACTTGAGGTTGGGAGTTTGAGACCAGCCTGACCAACATGGAGAAACCTCATCTCTGCTAAAAATACAAAATTAGCTGGGTGTAGTGGCACATGCCTGTAATCCCAGCTACTCAGGAGGCTGAGGCAGGAGAATCACTTGAACCTGGGAGGTGGAGGTTGCGGTGAGCCGAGATCATGCTATTACACTCCAGCCTGTGCAACAAGAGCGAAACTCCGTCTGAAAAAAAAAAAAAAAAAAAAAAAAGAAAGAGGCCGGGTGCGGTGGCTCATGCCTGTAATCCCAGCACTTCGGGAGGCTGAGATGGGTGGATCACGAGGTCAAGAGATGGAGACCATCCTGGCCAACATGGTGAAACCCCGTCTCTACTAAAAAAACAAAAATTAGCTGGGCGTGATGGTGCAGGCCTGTAGCCCCAGCTACTCGGGAGGCTGAGGCAGGAGAATGGCGTGAACCCGGGAGGTGGACGTTGCAGTGAGCCTAGATCGCGCCACTGCACTCCTGCTTAGCGACAGGGCAAGACTCCGTCAAAAAAAAAAAAAAAAAGAAAGAAAGAAAGAAAAAAACAGAGAAGAAATAGGATTGTGATGAAGTGTCTGAAAGAAAGGAACAGGATAGTGGGAGAGAATGACGGGGATGGGGCTCATTTTTAATGGTGGCCTTTGGGGAGGGTTTCCCTGAAGAAGTGGAATTTAGGCTGAATCTTGAAGGTTGAGAAGGAAGAAGGCTTGTGGGAACCCCAGAGAACAGCATTCCAGGAAGGGGAAATGGTCAGCACAGGGGCCCAGACATGGAAAGAGTAGCTTGGTGTGTTCAGGGACCTGAGAGGAATATCGTCATGGCTGGTACATACTGGGTCAAGGGAAGAGTGGGACAGGGGCCAGATCACCTGCATCTCCAGGGCCATGGTTAGGGGTTTCGATTTCATTCCATAAGTGTAATGGGAAGCCAGTGGGGCATTGGAGCAGGGAATTGACATGAAGTGTTAACTTCCCGAGGATCACTCTGGCTGCTCTTGGAAAATAGATCAGAGGGATGTGGAAGAAATTGGAAGACTGGGCCCAGAAAGGACTTAACAGACCTGTTGTGTGTGTGCATGCGTGTGAGCATACACCTGTGCATTCACAAGGCTTCATGTTGGTAAGTTCTAGACACTGGATTTTCTCAAATTCTTTTCCCTTTTGGGAAACAATTCCTATTTGCAAAAGCTGAACAAGTTATTGGGAGACTTGGAAGAAGGGAGTAGAAACAGTCCAACGTACAACTAAAACTTTCTTGGATGTTTGGAAGACTTTGAATATATGCACATTGTAAAGTGGAAGTAAAGTTTTGGGTATTTGACACCCACCTGCCCTGATACCTGAAAAGAGATTTGTGTATTTTATGGGGTGGAAAAGGTACTGAAGTTTAGAGTTCATAAGCACGTGACATAACTGGGATGTCCACCAATCTCTCCTCCTCGATACAGCCCCTCACTTGAGGTTTTCTTTTAATGTTTGTTTTTGTGTAAATAATACATGCTTGTTATGTAAGATTTAAAAAGTGACCATCTAATAATGAACCTTCCTTGGGATTCTGTCAACCAAGGGCATACACTATTAGCACTTGATATCCCTTTTTTCTCTATATTTAGCTTTTTAAATGTACAGTGTAATCATTGTATATGTGTGTGTGTTAACTTTTCTAAACTTGTCTTCCCAAACAACATTATAAAGCATTGCCTCATTGTATCAGTCAGTATAGGCTAGGTTAGGCAGCAGTAACAAATAATCCCCAGATCTTAGAGCCTTTACACAAGGAAGGTTTTATTTCTCGTCAGTCTCATGTCTATTACAGTGAACTGGGCCTCTGCTGTGGGTCCTCTTTATTTGGCAACCCATGGAAATGGAACAACTGTTATCTGTTATGTTGCTGGAAAGGAAGAAGAAGGAGGAAAGAAAACTCTGGAGTGTCTTGCGTCAAAATTCACATGTTTTAACGTGGAAGTGAGATATCACTTTCACTTCAGTTTAGTGGGCAGAACTAGTCACATGGTTGCACTCAACCACATAGGGGCCAAAGAGTGTGATTCCATCGTATGTTTGGGAAGCTGAGAGCCAAAAACATTTGGCAAGCAGTGCTAATGTCTACATAGTATTTGTGTCTCTCCTTAACACAGTTACTATTACAAAATATTATGTATGTGGAAAATACAGTTCTAAATACTACAATGCATATTTCTCACTTTATATCCTGGGACTTTTCTGTATCTGGCATTTGGGAAGCCTCCTGCACAGACATTCTGATGTAATGGACATCTGGAAATGCCAGACCCATGGGGCAGCCCTTGGTCAATGGGGGATGGAAGCCGATGAGTACACATTCTCATCTTCCTTCTCCCAGGCAGATAATTCTCAGAGTGGGATGGAGTCTCGTTTGTCCCCTGTGGGGATCCACTGTGTGCTACACTCCTGGATTGATTTTTCTCTCCTTTGCTGTTCCACTCTTCCCAGTTTGCCATACTGTCACTTGGAATCACTTCCCCAAATAAACCACTTTCCCATGTGTCCTTGTTGTATGCTTTGTTTTTTGAGAAAACCCAGGCAAGACAGGGATGAATGTCTCTGCAGTGAGAACCGTACCCCATCCCAGAACTGTGATGAGATGAATTTGCTTTCTTGATCACTCCATCAGTTGCTAGACTCAGGGCATGTTATGTTTGATTTTGCTGGCCTGTGACCTTATTGTACAGCTTCTTATATTCTAATTGTCATTTGCTTTTCTTGTGAGTGGAGGAAGCGGATGTCTTCTTCACCGAATCATGAATATCTCACCGTTGTTCAATTGCACGCTGTGAAGTGCTCTCCTACCTTCCTCCTGGGACCATGAGCTCATCATCATCTTGGGGCTGCTCTTCTTGCGGTCCTGGAATTCTTCTCTTTCTAGAATCCCCAACCTTCTTTTATTCTTGTATTCCTTTTCATTTTGTCTCAGTCTATTCCTAATTAATATTTTATAAAATAATAGGTATGTGGAAAACTTTTTGTTCTTAAAGGCTGAAAAAATCTCTTTTTCATCCTCACATTCTGTATGTGTGTGTGTTTGTGTGTATGTGTGTGTGAGAGAGAGAGAGAGAGAAAGAGAGGGGGGAGAGAGAGAGAGAGAAATAGAGAGAGAGAGAGAGAGAAAGAGAGGGGGGAGAGAGAGAGAGAGAAATACAGAGAGAGAGAGAGAGAGACTCTAGAAAGCTAGAGTCAAAATAATTTTCTCCTTGACATTTCAAAGTACATCCAGTCGTCTTCTAACATTCAGTATTGCTAATTAGCTCAGTACTTAAAATCCCCATTCCTTCATGGATTACCTGTTTTGTCTGCACGCCACTTCTCTCAACACACATACATTGGAAGATTTCAGGGTTTGTTTTTTTTTTGAGATGGAATCTCCGTCGCCCAGGCTGGAGTGCAGTGGCGCCATCTTGGCTCACTGCAACCTCCGCTTTTCAGGTTCAAGCGATTCTCCTGTCTCAGCCTCCCCAGTAGCTGGGACTACAGGTGCCTGCCACCACATCGGCTACTTATTTTTGTATTTTTAGTAGAGATGGGGCTTCACCATGTTGGCCAGGTTGGTCTTGAACTCCTGACCTCAAGTGATCTGCCCGCCTCGGCCTCCCAAAGTTCTGGGATTACAGGCGTGAGCCACTGTGCCCAGCCAGGATTTTTTAAAAGGTATTTTTCATTTATCCTGTTCGGCACTTGATGGACACTTTGCATTTTCTTTCTTTCTTCATTTCTGTGAAGTATATATATATTTTTGGTAATTATTTCCTCCTGTTTATTTTGTCTATGATCTCTCTAGGAGCATCTAGTAGATGGATATTTGTTTCATGGTATGGTCTTTCATGTGTCTGTTATTTTGTCTATGTTTTCTAAATATTTCTCCTCGCTCTATATTCTAGGAAATTTCTTTAATTTTTTATTTCAGCTTTTCTATTGATATTTTTTCCTTTGGCGTTCATTTTAGCAGGCATGTTCTTAATTTCTGTAAATTTGTTACTTCTGAGTTTTAATTGCTTTTCAAAAATAGTCACCTGTGGCTGGGCGCGGTGGCTCACGACTGGAATCCCGGCACTTTGGGAGGCCAAGGCGGGTGGATCACGAGGTCAGAATATCAAGACCATCCTGGCTAAAACGGTGAAACCCTGTCTCTACTAAAAATACAAAAAAATTAGCCAGGCGTGGTGGCGGGCGCCTGTAGTCCCAACTACTCAGGAGGCTGAGGCAGGAGAATGGCATGAACCCGGGAGGCGGAGCTTGCAGTGAGCTGAGATGGCGCCACTGCACTCCAGCCTGGGCGACAGAACAAGACTCCATCTCAAAAAAAAAAAAAAATAGTCACCTGTTCTTGTTCTATGTGTATAAAATCTCCTTCAGTATCTTGGAAGATATTAATTAAGGGTTCTGTGAAAGTTCTTGTTTGTGTCTGGATTCTCTATTTTTCCTGGAGTCAGTTTTATGGGTTCAGCTTACTTCTTTCTTTGGTATTGTTTGCCTCCACCAGCATTAATGATTTGGATTGTTTATTCATTTTAGGAATGTAGAACTAGGTGGTGGCACAGATTGCTGAGTAGTTTTGTTTGTCCACGGGCAGGTGAGTTGATTGGCGGATTTCACTTGGACATTTGTGGAACAAAAGCAGGCAAGTTGTGCTGCTCCTCATGCTAAGCCAAAGAGGAACATATTTTGGGGTGATAATCCCCACTCTGGAAATTTAAGCACCTTCTTGGAAGATTGTTAAGGATCCTTAGTGGTTATATTTCCTGTTTCAGCCTGGGAAAATTCATTTGCTGCTCTTGGGGGAAGAGGTGAGAGGTGATTGTTGAGTAGACTGGGGGAGGCCAGCCCATGGACTCTTCCTGCAGACAGCCTTCACCATTGGTGCCCTTCCTCCAACTCCTGGTATCTGTATCCACCCATGCTGGTGCTTCCATGATGGGAAACAGCTTCTTTCTCCTCACCATTCCACCTCCCTCTCCTTCTCCATTTGCCCTGGTTCTGCTACCAGCACCACCTCACCTGGCTTCTGTTTTATCAGTTCACAGTGATTTTATGATATTGTCTCACTTGTAGTTATTTACTGGGATATCAGTGAGTTTTGGGAAGAAGTGGGAGGTGAACACATGTCTTCAGCTGGTCTTCACAGACTATTCTTTGCAGTCATGATTTGAAACCAGCCTGACCAACATGGAGGCAGTTTATATTAGCAATGCCTCATTGTTGGATGTTTAATTATTTTCTGATTTTCTCTTCTCAAACCATGAGGCGCCTCTGTGTGTATGAGTGACTTATTATTATTTCTTTGGGATTGATTGCCAGAAGTTGAATGAGGTTAAATATAACGATGAAGAGTTCACACCCTCAGTGAAGCATGTACTAGCTGGTGGTTTTGAGCAAGTGCTTAGTATCTCTGAGCCTCAATTCCTCATTTATTAGTTGGGGATAATAATAGTCTTACTCATAAGATTGGGTGCATGGATTAAAATCAATAAATAAGTAATGCATATTCTGTGGTATTTGGCCCTCAAATAAGCTTTCAATTAATAACAGCTGCTATTATTATTATCCATTATTTTATCCTCGCAGCAGGGAGGGATTAATAACTCTATTTTATGAGTGAGAAAAACCAGATTTAGAGAATTTATCACTTTCTCCAGCCATTGCTCCCCTCTCCTTGCCGAGCTACTTGCATAGGAGTCAGGATCTAGAATCTAGAACCTCTAGATTCTAGGAATGCTCTAGAATCACGACAGATTCAGAGTGAGAAGTTCTTCCCTGGATGATGACAGTTCGAGACTTAAATTATTATTCAGAGGTGAGCATTTTTCCAGGATGGATGTTCTGAAAGTTTCGCAGATCCACTGGTAACAAGCAAGGTGTGCAGACCACAAAAGATGGGCCCGGCAGAGTGTGCTGGAGGATGGGTTGGGCAGAGGGTTTGAGCACCTGGGTCATCAAGCTCTGTTTGGGTGACCCTGCTGGGGAATCTCTAGGGCAGTAGAGTCAGAGTTAAAGGGCCAAAAGTGGGAATTTGATTTCAGAACCATCTCAACCCAGAGTCTGTACTTTCCTGATGGTGTTTAGAAGTTGAATCATTCCTAGCAGTGAACTTGGTGTAGCCACACAGGGCACTCAGTAAATATTTGTACAATGAGGAGGTGCAGGAGTGGATTCACGATGATGTTGGAAACTCCACTTTTAGAAATGCTTTCAGAGCCAGTTTTCAACACACACACACACACACACACACACACACACACACACACACACACCCCAAAGCAAAACAAAACCTAACACAATATAACATTTTGGGAGTCTTTTTCTGAGAAATTTTCTCAGTGAGATTGTTTTACTCTTGAACTAAGATGGTATTATTCATGTTGACTACTGATCAGATTGCAGTTCAGTCAAGTTGAACCAACAGGTTTAAATTTTTTTAATTGGCACATAATAACTGTACATATTTATGGAGCACATAGTGATGTTTCAGTATAATGTGTAGTGGTTGGATCCAGGTAATTAGCATATCCATCGTCTCAACATTGATCATTTATTTGTGTTGGAAATGTTCCGTATCCTCCTTCTAACTCTTCGAAACTAGAATATTTTAGTTAAGTACAGCCATCTTACAGTGGTATGGAGTAGAACTTACTCCTCTTATCTAGCTGTAATTTTGTAACCTTTAATGAATCTCGCTCCCATCCATTCTTCCCCTTCCCAGCCTTCAGTGTCCTCTGTGTTGTGCCCCCACTGAGTACCCTGCCCTGTGCTTGGGCCACAGAGCTCCATAGGCCAGTGTTTGTGTCCTGGAGTAAAAGCTCATAGGTTAGAGCTTTGCTTTTAAAACCATCGCCCTCCCTTTTGAAAGATGAAGATTCGTCCCTCCTTTAATATATGAAGAAGGTATTGAGTGGCTCAGAGGCCCCTGAAAAGAACAATGTGGGCAAGGTGCAGTGGCTCACACCTGTAAACCCAGCACTTTGGGAGGCCGAGGCAGGCAGATCACTTGAGGTCAGGAGTTTGAGACCAGCCTGGCCAACATGGTGAAAGGCTCTCTCTTCTAAAAATGCAAACATTAGCTGGGCATGGTGGCACATGCCTGTAATCCCAGCCTCTCGAGAGGCTGATGTGGGAGGATCACTTGAATCTGAGAGGTGGAGGTTGCAGTGAGCCAAGAGCACACCACTGCATTCAGCCTGGGCGACCCTGTTTCGGAGAAAAAAAAAAAAAAAAAAAAAAAAAGGACGGACAGTGTGAACAGTGACGAAGAACCTGGTGGGTGTGAGGCCACCAGCACCATTTTGAAGTCTCGGTTCAATATTGGTTAACAAACAAAATCAATGCAATGACATGGATAGCTCTTAAAAGATTAAGTGAAAGAAGCCAGAGTCAAAAGCTACAGACTGTATGATTCCATTTCTGTGACATTCTGGAAAAGAAAAAACTATAGAGACAGAAATTAGATTCATAATTCTGGAAAAGACAAAACTGTATGGACAGAAATTAGATTCATGGTTGCCAGGGACTGGGGAAATGGGGAGGGGCATTTCCCTGCAAAGGGGCATGAATTTAAGAAAGTGATGGGAACATTTTATATCTTGATTATGGTGGTGCCCACACAATTGTATATGTTTGTCAAGATTCATAGAACTGTACATCTATAAAGGGTGAATTTTGCTGTATCCAATAAACCCAGAATAAATTAAAATAAAACCAGTGACATTCCTTAATAGGCACATCTCTTATACCCAGTTCTGCTGGCATTTACCTACATTTACTATTAGAAGAGCAATTCTTCCCTCCCAGCCCCCGGTTATAACAGTAGGATTAGTAAGCTCTAAGCCTGCTAGGTTTTATTCAATAACTTTGTATGGATATGACAACACAGAGTCGTGGTCCTTATTCACAGATTTAAAGTGTTTCTAGGCATTTTTGAATCCTCAAAGGAAGATTATGTTCAAAATGGTTTTAAGGTTGAATGTACTTTGTTAGTTTTTGGTCTTTTGAAAATTAGTAATTCACGCTTGGTGGCTTGGATGACTCCCTATTACTGAGTGCAAATTATTCATCAGGCCAAAATACCCAGTCCCCTCTAGTTAAAGGTTTTGCTTTGGCTGTCGATGTTAAAGTCATTTCTGAAGTAATTCAACACAGTACGTGTGATCTTTAGCATAAAACGGTGGCATATGATGTGCAGTTAAGTTATTCTTTTGTAAAATGTTGCATTCTTAAAAGGATGTAGGGTGGGCTTACACATGCAGTGTCATGGTGTAGAAGAAACATGACTCTGGTTGGGACTTCTTAGTTTTTTCTCGTTTTGGATGAGTTGAGTGAGGGCGCCCTTGCCTCATTCTATTTGGACTTCAGTTGCCTGAGGCACCTATTCACAGCGGGTTGGTTGGCCCTTGTATGCCTGTCTAGACAGAGGCAAGAAGTTTGGTGGTGACAGAGAATAAAGATCAGGGAAAGATCATTTGAGAGGGAAAATGGGTGCAGGGAAGGGAAGCTCTTCCTTTGGTCTTGCCCTTTAGATGCTTGTCTTGGGCCATCGTGTAATTCCTGGACCTCTGGTTCCATGTTCAATGATACCCAAAACTGGCAAGTGACTGTTTCCTTGAAATGTCTTTCCTCTTTCAGTTGTGGGGGGGTGGGGAAGACAACTCTTTTCCAAACTCCTACAAGCCCTTCTGTGTGTTTGTCCCTTAGGATCCTTAGCGCTCTGTACTTTGGGTAGAGTGTTTGTTCTTAGATTGTAAGCTTAAGGGGACACAGCAAGATGCCTGATATGGTTTGGCTGTATTCCCACCCAAATCTCATCTTGAATTGTAGCTCCTGTAATTCTCACATGTCGGGGAAGGACCTGGTGGAAGGTAATTGAATCATGGGGGAGGGTTTTTCGCGTGCTGTTCTTGTGATAGTCGATAAGTCTCATGAGAACTGATGGTTTTATAAAAGGGGAGTTCCCCTGCACCTGCTCTATCTTGCCTGCTGGCATGTAAGATGTGACTGCTCCTCATTCACCTTCTGCCATGATTGTGAGGCCTCCCAAGCCATGTGGAACTGTGAGTCAATTAAACCTCTTTATAAATTTCCCAGTCTCGGGTATGTCTTTATTAGGAGCTGAGAACAGACTAATACAATGCTTTTCACATAGTTGGGGCTCAGATAATACTTGTTGGATGAATGTGCTTCGGCAAGATTCCCAGATTATATGCTAATAGAGTAGCATATAAACAGTTTTTTGTGATGGGGTGGCTTTGTCATCACTAGCCAAACACAAAACTACTTGAATGCCATACACCTTGTAGAGTTTGGTGTAGGAGCAAAGGATGGTTGTAAAAGAATGAGATGTTTCTGAATAGCCTTGATGCTGGCCCAGGAAGCACTGTGAGAGGAATGCGGTGACAGCTGTGCATCCATGCCTCCTAGCTGCTTTGAGGAAGGGCCCTGGAAGCTCTGCAGTTCTTCTCTGGAGTTTAATAAAACCAACAGTTACCCTGCGAGTCAATCTGGAGGCAAGTAATTTCTTCAGTAATTCAACAATGTATGTATGATCTTTAGCAGAAGGGAAGCTTTGGTATCTAATCATCACTACTGGGAAATGTTAAGGTAGTTAAAGTTAGATTATACTAGCTGTAAAACACCTCATGGTATGTTATTACTTTATTAAAATGAATTTGTTTATAAAAGCAAATACCTGTTGCTTATCAAAGAGAAAAATACAGAAAGGTAGAAAGAAGAAAAACCCATAATCCTGTCATCTAGAGACAGCCATATTTAATATTTTGTTGTATTTCCTTCTGATATTTTTGTTCTTTTTTCTCCCTTAAGATATGGTATATACATAAATTTCATATACTTATCTACATGCTTATTTTTTTCTGATTATAAATATAGTAAGTGCACCCACTAGAATGGATGTAACAACAAGAAGAACAATAACAAACGATGATTAAAAGCATGTGTTGGCAAATGATATGGTTTGGCTCTGTGTCCCCTCCAAATCTCATTTGGAATTGTAATCCGCACATGTTGAGGGAGGGACCTGGTGGCAGGTGATTGGATCATGGGGGCGGTTTCCCCCATGCTGTTCTCATGATAGTGAGTGAGTTCTCATGAGATCTGATGCTTTAAAAGTGTTTGGCAGTTTCCCCATTGCTTGCTCTGTCTCCTACCATCATATGAAGAAGGTTCTTGCTTCTCCTTTGCCTTCTGCCATGATTGTAAGTTTCCTGAGCCCTTCCCAGCCATGCAGAATTGTGAGTCAATTAAACCTCTTTCCTTTATAAATTACCCCATCTCAGGTATGTCTTCATAGCAATGTGAAAATGGACTAATACAGCAAAGATGTGGAGAAAGTGGAACCCTCACACAGGGCTGGTGAGGATGTACAATGGCATGGCCACTTTGGAAAAACAGTTCGGCAGTCACTTAGAAGAGTTAAATATAAATTTACCATATTACTCAACAGTTTTACTCCTAGGCATCTACCCAAGAGTAATGAAAACCTACGTCCACAGGAAGACACAGGTACACAACAGTGGAAACAGTCCAAATATCCATCAGCTGGCAAATGGATAAGCAAAACATGGCACATCCATCCAATGCAATACGATTCAGCAAGGAAATGAAATGGATGGTGACACATGCAGCCACATGTATGAACCTCAGAAACATCATGCTAAGTGAAACAAGTCAGAAAAGACCACATCTTGGATATTTCCATGTATAGGTCATTTCCAGAAAAGGTGAATCCATAGAAACAGAAGGTAGATTACTGATTGCCTGGGGTAGGGGTGGGAACAGGGATGGCTGTGAACAGGGATGACTGTGAACAGGCATGAAGGATCTTTTTGGAGTGATGGAGATATTCTAAAAACTGTATTGTGGTGATGGTGTGATTGTTGTACAACTCCGTAAATAATAATCATTAAATTATACATTTAAGGCTGGGTGCGGTGGCTCATGCCTGTAATCTCATCACTTTGGGAGGCCAAGGTGGGCAGATCACTTGAGGTCAGGAGTTTGAGACCAGCCTGCCGAACATGGTGAAACCCCGTCCCTATTAAAATACAAAAATGAGCCAGGCAGGTGTTGCGTGACTGTAATCCCAGCTACTTGGGAGGCTGAGGCAGGAGAAGTGCTTGAACCCAGGAGGCAGAGGTTGCAGTGAGCCAAGATCGTGACACTGCACTACAGCCTGGGCCACAGAGCGAGACTCTGTCTCAAAAAATGTATATATATATATATATATATATATATATATATATATATATATATATATACATTTGAAGTGGGTGAATCTTATGGTATATAAATTATACCTCAAAAAAGCATTCAAAATAATAGCATTCATAGAATCAGTATTCTAAATAACTCACAATGAGCAATAAACAAAAAATAATAAGAAATGAGAAGGATAATTTGTTACTGAAACACCAGGGGTTCAGTCTAGGTCCTGCTGTTCGCTGCACAGACAGCCCACCAGTGATACAATGAGTATTGCCAGGGAAGAGGGCTTTATTCGGGCGCTGCAGCTGAGAAGATGGGAGATCAGTCTCAAATCCATCTCCCTGACCGACTAAAATTAGGGGTTTATATAGCAGGAAAGAAATCTGACTATATGGGGAAAAATACGAATTAGGGAAGGGTGAAGAAGAAGAGTGGGTCAGCAGGAAGCAGGTGGTCGGTTAGGCCATCATGATGAGTGAGGGGTCTGGCATCTCATTGTCCAGGTGTTATCTGATGAGTTTCAGCTCTTTGATACTATCTGGGAGGCCTGATAGTTGTTTCCTGAGAGAGGAACTCAGATAAGACAACTGCAACTTTGTTAATTTCAAGACTTGGGGGGGTCAATTTCTATGTTTATTCAAAAAAACCCATAAGCATTAGTTTCATGGCACAATTGGGCTGGTTTTAAATTCTGGTTTGAATCAATGTGGTAAACAAAGCATGGTCTCCTGGTCTCTTCCTCTGCTCAGGGTTCTGGAGATGTCTGAAAAAACAGGGGGAGGGAGTGACCCATAACCAACCTGGAACTAAATTTCCAGACAATGCTAACATGAGAAATGAAGTTTGTGTGTGTGAGTGTGTGTGAAAGATCACAGGTAGAGGAAAGCAGTCCAAGGGTTGTGTCTTGCTGTGGGGAGGATATAGTCATGAATAGTCTTTAGATATTAAAGGAATAAACAAATATAAATATAGGCCTTACTTAAGCTAAGGGCAACCATGGAAATCATAAAAATATACTTTGTTAAGCTAAAACTAAGAAAATAATATATTCAGTGAGAGATCAGAAAATAAAAAAAGCATAGTAAATAGAAAACACAAAATAGGGTGAGGAAATCAAACCTGCAGTATCAGTGGTTACAGAATAAATGGTTAATCTCACTGATTAAGATGCACGTACTCTTAGATTACGTTACAGAAAAGATCAGGCAATATGTGATTTTAAGACAGTCACATAAACAAAGACACAGGTTGAAAATAAAGGGATAAAATGGCATTCTAGGAAAATAACCACAATAACACCAGGCTAGCAGTTTCAATACCAGATGAAGTAGAATTTAAGGTGAACATCAAAAAAGATGAAAAATGGTTTTTTCTGGGAATGCCACAATACCACAATATTCCAGGAAGATATAATAGTGATGACAAAAACATAACCAACAACATAGCCTCAAACTATATAAAGTAATAATTGGAGGAATTATAGTGGTAAATAGATAATCTCCATTGTAGATGGAGATTTGAATATAATTTTCTTGGAAACAGAACAAACTGGGAAAAAAGACAAAGAAGGATTTGAAAAACACAATTAACAATCCCACACTCAGAAAACACTAAATGCATGTTATTTTGGGGCACACATGGTATTTTCACAAAAATGGATTATATTCTAGGTCAGAAAGTCAGTCTTGGACTAAGAACTGATATCATTCAGACCATATTCTCTGAGTCAATGAAGGATTAAAATAATAAGGTAGAGTAAAAATCAATAAAAGGGGGATGGAAAAATAATAATGATTAGAATAACCAAATGTTCTTTGAAAAAATTAGGAAGATGGATTTGCCTCTAGAGAGACTGATCAAGGAATAAAAAGAGAGAAGGTGCATATGAAATAATCATAGCTATAGAAGCAATTTAGATATCATAAGAGATTTGGTTCAGCAACTGTATATAAACAAATGTATAGCTGTGAAATGTGAAATGTGAAAACTCTTATGAAATGAATAGATTTGTAGAAAAAATATGAAATTCCAATGTTGGCCAATTGATAAATGGAAAACTTGACTAGAACAATCACTGCTGAAGAAATGGAAATGATGGCAAAAACTTTCTCCTCCTCCCAAAATCATTAGGGCCATGCAGTTTTATATAAGTAGATAATCCCTGCCTGGTTCAAGTTGCTCCAGAGATTTATAAAAAGGAGAAAGCTGCTCTTGTTATTTTCTGAAGTGTAATACCAAATTTATATCCTCAGTATCAAAACTGAATGAGGATAGTACCAAAGAAGACAAATGACAAGCCAGCTTCAGCTAAAAGTTAAATAAAATGATAACATTCTAAATCTAACATCGTATTAAAAAATCATATATCACTGGATTTATCCCTGAAGTGCAAGGATGGTGTATTAGGGTAACACTGGTTGCTCTAACAAATAAGCACCTGTATACAACAGGTTTATTTCTTGCTCATGGAATGGTGCCGTGGTTGGCAGGTGATCCATGTGATGACTGAAGGACCCAGGCTCCCTCCATCTTGTGGTTCGACTTCTCACTAAGGCCCCATGTCCTGCATTTCCAGCCAGCAGAAAAATAAAGAATGTGAGAATCTCTAACTGCTTTGTAAGAGCTCTGGACCTGCATGTGACATGTCACTTCTGCTCATGCCCTGTTGGTGGTAACTAGTTGCATGGCCACCTCTACATGCAAGAAGAGCTGGAGAGTGTAGCTACAGGCTGGGCAGCCATTTCCCAGTGAAAATACCACACTGTGGGAGGAAGAGCACTAGTATTTTTGATGGACAGCTAATGTCTGCTACAAATTTAACCTCTGAAATCATTACATTAACAGACAAAAGGAGAATAACCATACAGTGATCTCAATGGGTGTAGTAAAGGCAGCTATTATGACAAAAGCCCAGAGAAAAATAAAAATAGGTTGTATATCAGTCAGCTTTTGCTACATTATGCTGTAGCAGTAACTCCAAAATGTCAGTGGCTTATGATAACAAAGGTTGATTTCCTGTACATGTTGCATGTTGGTTGTAGGTTGGCTGTGTTTCTGCTCTCTGTAGTCGTCACTGCAGGAGCCAGGCTGGAGGAGCAGCCCCTGCCTGGGATGTGGTGGTACAGTAGCAGACAGGAAAAATCAATAGAAGCACCATGTAATGGCTCCAAGTGTCAGCTTGGACTTGACATATGTCACCTCCTTTCATAGTTCATTGGTCAAAGCAAGTCACATGGCCAAGTCTGATGTCAGTGTAGTGGCTCCATACTTTGCCCAATGTGAGGGGCCCCATGGAGGTAGGCCTGGTAGAGAGAGGCAGCAAATAATTGAGAACAATAATATAATCTATTATGGAAGGAAATGTTCTCAATCTAATAAAGGCTTTTCTCCGAAAGCCTACTGCAAACATTATGGTTAGTTAATAAATTTTAGAAGCATTTTCTTTTAAGGTTAGAAAGAAATAGGAATACACATGATGATTGCTACTACTCTAAACTAAAGCTTCTGGCTAATGCATTAAAGCAGATAGAAAGTTAAAAGGATTGGAAGGGAAAAGAAAAATGGTTTATTTGCGTATAACATCATTTACTTAGAGAAAAAAATAATTAACCGACCAACCCTTAGCAGTAGAGGGTTCAACAAATTTGTTGGATAATATAAACATATGAAAATTAATAACTTTCTTTTGTACCACAATAATAAATTAAGAATATATAATAGAAGATGTTTATTCACAATAGCAACCACTGTAATACATCTAGGATTTAACCTAACCAAAATTGTATGCAGTTTGCCTGGAGAAACTCTAAAGGGTATGAAAGAAGGCAGAGAGATATACCATGTTTATGGATAGGAAGGAAGACTTAGTGTTGTAGATATGGTATTCATTACAAATTAGCCTATATATTTAACATAGGTGCAATAATATCACAGCATTTCCAGAGGGATTTGGTTGAAGACATCCTAACATTTGTATTGAAGGAAAATATTCATGAGTAACTACTTAAAGAAAAAATAACAATGGATCAAAGTGGGAATTTTTCCTACAGCCTGCAACGTGGGTGTAGCATCCTGAGAGTTGACTGAAGGTGAGGCAGAAGAACAGAAATGGTGCTTATCATAATTGGTTCCAGGTTAATGGTAGAGGACAGGGGGGAGAGAGAAATAGAGAGGGAGAGAGGGGGCTGGGGGGGGGGAGGGAGAGAGAGAGAGAGAAAGGGAGAGAGAAAAAAGAAAAAGGAAAGAAAGGTTATGAGTGAGCAACTAAATAGAGGTGGTGGTCGTGCTTAAAAAGTGACTCTTAATTTCCAGGGAATATCTGGGTTCAAAGTATACAAAAATGGCACAAAGTGAAAAATGGGTCTAGAACAGAACTGTAGAGCACTCTGCAATGATGGAAATATGATGTGGGGGAAGCAGAGTGGCATGTGTATTTATGTGTGTCTGGTGCTAGCAGCAGGATGGTGAGAGAGCAGCCGGCAAGAAGAGCAGCTTCCTTAGATCATTTGGAAGCAGAGTTTATTTCCTGATTGTTGGCTCTGCCTTTTCTCTGCCACTCAAACTTTATTGGGAAATGGATTCTTTTGCCAGAAAAGTATGATTAATATTGCAACTGGTTGTGGGCTTAACAACAGATTGATGGTTACATTTTTAAAGGGGCAGCCTGCTGACAGTGTATGCTGCCATGGCATGTTGTATTTATCATCTCTAAGTGGAAAGCGTTTGTTTGAGTTAGATTTTTGTTGCTTTCCCTATGGCATTTGTTGTTTCCCAGCCCTCCGTGCCACCTTGCATTTGTTGTTTCATTTTAGAGAGTGAGTGTGCGTGAAACAGGAGCTATCAAACCAAAATTTATGTGCCTAGTAATGTCTATAAGTAATGCAGTGACCACTCCTGGACACAGTTTTCTGGGTGCAAGGGATGAGAGAGAAATATTAGAGAAAAAAAATCACCTGGATGCCCAAGCTGGGCTGTGTTCGGTCACCAATATCTATTCAGAGATATCTATTCCTTATCTTCACAGGTGCCAGACTCATTCATTCAGGGCTGGCTGAGTGGTCAGCTTCAAGGAGACTGCTTCCCTGACCAAGTTCACAAGACACTGGTGCCAAAACCAGATGCTGAACTTACTAATTTATAATGACAAATCTAACTGTTAAGAAGGCTAAAATTATTGCTTGTTCATTCATTTGTTCAAGGACTGATTGGTCATTTACTCTGTGCCAGGAACTGTACTGAGCAATAGACACAGTTTCTGCTATGATGAAGCTTGTAACCGAGATGGAGAGAGATACATTAAGTAACTACAAAAGCAAAGGTAAAAATTATAATGGCATTGGGTGCTGTGATGAAGAACATGCTGGGAGCATCTAATGGTGTATCTGATATACTCAGGGAGGGTGTCCCTGAAGAAATGATGTTCCCACTTGATATAGAAGGATGGTATAGTCATTAATTAGGACAAATAGTGAGGGTTGTGGACAGTTAGGGTTGGTCTAGAAAAAGAGAACAGCATGAGCAAAGGTCCTGAGGTCTACTGCTTTGTAAATTCTCATTTTCATAGATTGTTCCACACCACAAGCCAGCAGGGATTAGAATGGTGCTTGATGAGCAGTGGACTCCACAAAAGGGGTTACTGGGAGTTGGGATCCTTCAGTATCCTTTTTCCCTCTGCATATACCCAGGGATGATTGGGAAAGGTAACTGAAGCCGGTGTGTTTTTAGATTATGAGCATGGGATGTGCCTGGCTTTTTCTACTCTCTCTGGAACTCAGAACTCCTGATGTCTTCTGAACCCTCTGAAAGCTGAGCTCTTAGCTTCAATAAGGGGCTCTCTTTTGCACATTTTAGGGGCTTTGGCTGAAGTGAGTATCATGATCAGTACCTGGTGGGTATTTGCAACAAAATTTTGATCCACACCGCTATACTCCAGGTCACCCAGGCTCCCTATGTTGACAGTGTGTGGAATGCAGTGTGGTATATACATAAGGATGTGGACATTGCCATTTCCACTTGGATTCAGCTTCATCCTTTGTCACTTCATGAGCTGTGCAGCCTGTTTTCAGATTGACAAGTGGGGGACCTAATAAGACCTGCCTTGTTGAGAAGATTGAGATAATGCACATGAAGCCCTTGGCACAACCCTTAGGAGATTATGCAGTTTGTAGTGTTGGGTGTCATGATTGCCACAATCTTACACTCTTTTTTTCTTGACCCAAATCTGTTTATTCATCAAATTCCACTGAATGCTACCATTAATTGAGTGGAGGTGAAATTAAAAAGTGGGCTGGGGCCAGATCACATTGGTCCTTTTAGCCATGCTTGATATTCTGAACCTTCTTTGGCAATGAGGACCAATTCATGTTTTCTGAGCAGGAACTGGTGTGATCCCATTTGTAGTTTAGAACCAGCACTCTGGAGACACTTGGGAGGCAGGACAAGAAGTCCCATTGGGAGCTGGTTGGAAATCCAGCTGAGATGCACAGAAGACCTGAGAGAAGGGTATGACTTGAGGAGGGGAGGGAAAGGGAGAGGAAAGAATGGTGTTTAGAAATGCTTTAATAGAGACCCAGGGACCTTTGGTTGTAGGAGGTAAGGGAAAGAGAGGAATCAAAGCTCTCCTGAAAGCCTTTACCTTGGGTGACCCTGTGGGCAGCAGCACCATCATGGGATAAGGACCAGAGGACAGTGGGTAGAGGTGGGGGTAATGGGTGGTATGGACTTTTGCTTCCTCTTTGCTCCAACTAGTAGGTGGCCTCTGAGTTCCGGAGTTGAGAACATGTTGCTTGGAATCTTTTTTGGGGAACTGAGAAGGCTCTTGGGAATATTTTTTCTCTCCTCCAATTAAGGACCACATATCTACAGTAAAAGGTCAGTTGAAGACCACATCAAAGTAAAAAGCAGGCTCATTAGGCTTCTTCTTTTCCTGAAGTATTTTTTTTTTTGGTTTCATTTGGCTTGCATTAAAAATAAAGGAAGAGAAGATCAAATCCTATTAAATATATTGCATGGTAGTATTTTATTTTAGTTTCATGTTGTACATAATTAAGGCGACTTACCGTGTTCCAGATGAATCACAGAATTTAGTGTTAGACTCCAGGAGTCTTAGCAGTGGACACTAGGAATCATGAGAAACTGGGAAGGTAGAGATTTTGCTGGAAAAATGAGAAGAAAAGACACGCACAGAAGGAAAAGGCACTATCTGCCCACCCAACAGGGGAAACAATTTAGTTATACTGTGGTCACTATTATGTTTAAAAAAATCCCAAACCAATAATTATTATCTTCTTCTAATTATAGTAGTGGGAATGATTTTTAAGTAGGAGATTTAAGATTCTTGACAGACATGCATGTTTAGAAAAATTTGATAAAATTAAGCCTCTGACCAGGGGTTCTTTAACTCTGTAAGGCATAGAATTCTGGAGTTTTGGCAAGCAAAAAAGAGGTTTCGACCCTTTGAAACCTGGGAACTCACATTTCCTGCTTTGAAAGGGAGCATACAGCTCTCACTACTACTTTATGCAAAAGCTTTAGAAATTCTAACTGTGTGCACACCTGTTCTGTTAGCAGTTTAGTTTCTTCACATTTATTTTTATTCCAAATTCTAAGACATGCTCTCCATTTCAGATTTTATTTGCTGTTAGTTCTTCCATCGGTCCATGCAGATTTAGCCCACAACATAGCTGTAGGTTAGTCAGGGGAATGGTCTAAGTTGCCTAACCAAAGTCAGGGAAGATTTATTCTGCTTTTACCTTTAAATGGAAGAGTTCATGTTAAATGAGAATGATGTCTAGTTGGGTAACACATTTCACTTGGGATGCTGCTGGGGCCCATATGTGCAGGAATCCCAGCTCCATCCTCGAGATGCAACAACAACCTGTGGGATGGAACCTGACGAGTGCTTATTAGAGCATAGCCTGGCTGCATAATGAATCACAGTAGAAGAAAAGCAACTGCCATCCAGCGCGTGCCAGCGCATGCCTCATTCCAGCGCTCTGCGGAGCTCTCGACGGCTGGGTGTGCATCTCCGCAGGAGAGGACTCTTCACCGTGCCAGGTAGATGGAGAAAGATAAAACAGGCCATATGCACTTGAAACGCTGCCATGCAACGCTACCTTCTAAACTCAGTGTGTTCTTTCAGCTTGGGGATGCTCAACACTTTCGTGAGAAATCCCACCAGGACTCATAGTTCTTAAAACTTTCTTTTAATTAGACAGTAGTCTTTTGATGCAGATACATCTCTGCTGTTTAGTGCCGGAAAGCAGGACGATGGCCTGGAGAAAAACAAAACACTGTTCATGAAGGGCTGGATGTTTATGTTCTGCATCCATGCAGAGATCTCCCCAGAGGCTCTGTCCGGGGAATGAGCCTATGCAAAAGCTCTGGGAAGGGGCAGAATGAGATGTGTGCTTTCGCAGTTGAAGTAAGCACATCAGCACATTCTTTCTGGAAAGCTTTGGCTCTGTGGGCAGAATCTCAAGAGTGCGGATATATTTCTTCCAAAATGTTGGAGGAGTAAAAGGAAGATCGATATCCTTCCATTTTCTAGTGGTCTTAACATTGTGGTGTTTGACCCATGAACCTAAACATCTAGCTACTCGATTAAATGAACTCTTGAAATGGCAAGACCCAATTAGAAATCTAGTTCAACTCTCTCTTTTTACAGATAGAGAAACTAAGTACTAGAAAGTTCCAAGAGTGACTTCATTAAGGTTCTGTGGGAGTGTGGAAAGCAGACTGACATTAGGACCAAATTTAGGCTCTGCCACTGAATAAATGTGTGACTCTGAGCAAGTCACATAACTTCTCAGAACCTAAATAAATGTTTGAATAAATGCACGAGCAAACTTCATGGTGTGTGCCAAGGATTACATGAGGACTTATTCAATGTTACTTTCCATCCTGCAGAGTCGAATTAAATGATGGACATATGGAAGCTTGGGAGCCCAGTACAGATTGCCAACAAGTAGATCAGTTTCATTTTAATGAAATGGAATGCTGAGATTGTTGGAGATCCAGACATTAGGGAAACTGATCTTTTTACACTGAAAAAGAACGTATGATCATTAATAGACGTTATAAAATTTTGTTTTTGCTTTTAAGTCTGACATCAAGTAATAAGTGTGTGTCGGCAGATTTTATTAAAAGAATTGGTTAAGTCAATTATATTATAGTCATCTACTGCACAGTTTTTCAACCTTTTTTCATTACATCCCCCTTAAGAAGTCTTTTAGACATTTTTTCCTCCTAATTGCCACTCGGCCCATAACATTTATTTAATACCACAGAGATACTATATGTTTGTATATAAAGCACAGGTGGGCCAGGCATGGTGGCTCACAGTTGTAATCCCAGCACTTTGGGAGATTGATGTGAGAGGATCCCTTGAGCCCAGGAGTTCGAGACCAGCCTGGGTAACATAGTGAGACCCTGTCTCTACAAAATAATTTTAAAAAATTAGCTGGGCCTGGTGACATATGCCTATAGTTTTAGCTACTGGGAGGCTGAGGTGGGAGGATCTCTTCAGCCCAGGAGTTCAAGATTACAGTGAGCTGTAATTGTGCCATGCACTCCAGCGTAGGCAACAGAGTGAGACCCTGGCTCTGCTTGGATCATGTATCTCTCCCTTCCCACCAGCCAAACAATTGTAACCTAGAGGGTAGCCAGGATTTCCAAGGAGACACCTTTGAATAAAGTGGTAATTAAATATGTAATATGTATCTATAAGGTTGGTGCAAAAGTAATTGTGGTTTTTACCATTGAAAGTAATGGCAAAAACAGCAATTACTTTTGCACCAACCTAATATATTTATATATATAAAAAACACATGTGCTATATACACACCTATGTATATATATACACACGTGTGTATAGCACACGTGTGTGTGTGTGTATATATATATATTCCTGTGCTTTCTACATAAAGAGTAAGCTATATTTTGCCACTCATTTCCCCCTAAAGATTTGAGGATGCATGATTAGAGTAACAGCCCAGAAGGGTCTGAAAGGCAAATTTACCAAGATAACGGAGCACATTGAAATAAGAGACAGACGTATGGAAACAGTTTTGAAAATATGGGAAAACATGTACACATACACAGAATGTGATCTACAATGTAATACATCCATTGTATATTTAACAGTTAAAACATGGAGGAAGAGAGTCTATCTCTAGGTAGCTGATTGCATTTTCTCCTTTATATTATTTTGTATTTTTTCCTTCATGAGCGTGTGGTCCCCTTATGATAAGAGAGCTAGTATTTTGCAGTGTAAGCAAGTCCTCTTTGACCCTGTCTCTTTTGTGGACTTGCAAGGGACTTTAGTTGGTGGCCATAAGGCTGCTTGGAAGTCTTTTTGAGCACACAGATGGTCTTTTATTCCTCCTGACTTCTTCAAATCAGCTTCTGCCTTGATCTTATGGTAAAGGACCACACCTGGACCAGTTTTTGAGCTTGGTGGAAACTTAAAAGGATGTGAGCTTAAGAAGATACAAATTCCAGAATTAAGTACTAATTAAGTTCTTGGACACAAATCACTTCACACACTCCACTTAGAGGATTTGTTTAATTGACTGAGGAAATAGTTTGAAGGGGAAGAGCATTTCTTTTCATTAGTGTTCAAATGAAGTGCAAATTATAGAACTTGGGCTCCATATTTTCTAAAGATAGAAGCTTTGGAGAAAGGAAGAAAAATTAGGAACGGAACTTAGTTTAAAATCAGAAACAAATGCAGTTTGGGTAGAAAAGTTTGGGCAATTTTCTACATGGGTAATTTGCAAGCAGCTAGCACTGGGTTGGAAATGAGTTTTTTTTTCTTTTTTCCAGAGCTAAGGTTTGCAGCCAGATTTTATTTTGTGTTTATTTCACATTCAGCTTGATTCTTTAATAAAGAATGTCTCTCTGAGCTAAGAAGACAATGAGAATATTTGAACCAAGTGTTAGAGGCCTGCAAACCTACTTTGAGGAATTAGATGTTAAATAAGTAAAGATGGCACTTGCAATTACATGGACTGGGATAAAATTACAAGGGTTATTAATCTGCAGGCTTCAGGCCTTAGGATGGCTATCAGGTGAACCAGCAACCAATTTCTCTTGCATATTACATCTTTGCACTATTATAGCCAATGCATGACTATGATGTCTATAAGGCCATTATATTAATTTGTTGCAGGGATTGTTTCTTGGCTTCTTAATTGCATTAATTTTGCCTTCGAGTCTCAGAAGTGTTGGCCACTTTCAAGAGACAGGGTTGGTGCAGTTTGGTTTGACTCGGTAGACATTGATGAGTGCCATGTGCCAGGCTGTGAGGATACAAATATGAGAAAGGCAAGTGCTGATTTCAAGAGGCTCACAGTCTAGAGAGCTAGATCATATGTCTAGAATGGCCCACATAGACCAGGCAGTATGCCTGAGATAGGCTGGGTGCAAACCAATGGAAAACAATGGTGACTGACTGTTTAAGTGGGGCAGCAGCTCTTCCAGGCCAAGTGCATTGCCTCCCTGTGGGAAAGAAGCCGTTTTCAAGAGGTGCTGGACAGAGCAGATTCTTTTGAAAATGTGAACTTTCCTGTCTTTTGTTTGTTTTATTTGAGATGGAGTTTTGCTCTTGTTGCCCAGGCTGGAGTGCAATGGCACGATCTTGGCTCACTGCAATCTCCACCTCCTGGGTTCAAGCGATTCTCCTGACTCAGCCTCCCGAGTAGCTGGGATTACAGGCATGTGCCACCACGCCCAGCTAATTTTGTATTTTTAGTAGAGACGGGGTTTCTCCATGTTGGTCAGGCCGGTCTCGAACTCCCAACCTCATGTCATCCACCTGCATCGGCCCCCTCAAAGTGCTGGGATTACAGGCATGAGCCACCGCGCCTGGCCTGAACTTTCCTGTCTTGAACTGGGTTCCCTGAAGCAGAACTGGAGCTGGGGGCCCATGTAAATGCAGTTTAATTGAGGCTGCACTCTGAGGCTGCAGTTCTCAAACTCGAGCATCCATGAGAAGCACCTGGAGAGCTTGTTCAACCACAAATGGCTGGGCCCCATCCCCAGAGTTTCCAATCCAGAAAGCCTGGAGTGGGGCTTGAGATTTGCATATCTAACGAGCCCCAGGTGATACTAATGTTGTTAGTGTAGGGACGACATTTTGAGAACCCTGCTCTAAGGAGAAAGTAGAGAAGGAGGCAAGACAGCCAGGGATAGGAGCTCCGCAAGGATGTGGCCTTGGCTGGTGTCCAGCTTCAGCCTGATGCCTCAAGGAACCCCGGACTGCAAACTGCACCAGATTTGGTCCCTCCTTGCCTTGCCTTTGTCATCACCATACCCTTGTGTTGGTCAGTCATTGGCCACTGCTCTGTGGTAGAGGTAAGTGGCCCTGGTTTGGTTGAGGGCAGTTCTTTTTTTTTTTTTTTTTTTAATTATACTTTAAGTTCTAGGGTACATGTGCACAATGTGCAGGTTTGTTACATATGTATACATGTGCCATGTTGGTGTGCTGCACCCATTAACTCGTCATTTACATTAGGTGTATCTCCTAATGCTTTCCTTCCCCCCACCCCACAACAGGCCCCAGTGTGTGATGTTCCCCTTCCTGAGTCCAAGTGTTTTCATTGTTCAATTCCCACCTATGAGTGAGAACATGCAGTGTTTGGTTTTTTATCCTTGCGAGAGTTTGCCGAGAATGATGGTTTCCAGCTTCATCCATGTCCCTACAAAGGACATGAACTCATCCTCTTTTATGGCTGCATAGTATTCCATGGTGTATATGTGCCACATTTTCTTAATCCAGTCTATCATTGATGGACATTTGGATTGGTTCCAAGTCTTTGCTATTGTGAATAGTGCCACAATAAACATACATGTGCATGTGTTTTTATAGCAGCATGATTTGTAATCCTTTGGGTATATACTCAATAATGGGATGGCTGGGTCAAATGGTATTTCTAGTTCTAGATCCCTGAGGAATCACCACAGTGTCTTCCACAATGGTTGAACTAGTTTACAGTCCCACCAACAGTGTAAAAGTGTTCCTGTTTCTCCACATCCTCTCCAGCACCTGTTGTTTCCTGACTTTTTAATGATCGCCATTCTAATTGGTGTGAGATGGTATCTCATTGTGGTTTTGATTTGCATTTCTTTGGAGAAGGAGGAAGCTGTGAGCCCACAGCATCTGGGGCTGGTCACCTGCTGGTCAAGACTATCCGGACTGTGCACCAGCAGCATGCACTGCATCTTGAAAGTTTGGAGAGTTGGGAGCAGATTCAGATGTTTAAAAAAAAATAACCCACAAAGGAAGTATTCTGGGCCATTGAAATACATCTGTAGGTCAGATTTGGCTCATAGGCTGCCTGTCTGTGACTTTTGGGCAAAAGCGTTTTCTAAAAGGGCATATTAGGGGGCTGGTGGATTTATCACCTGAAGTTAGCTTGAAGCACCTGCCTTATAGGAGCCCGTGGGCTTGGTTTTCCAGGACATCTTTCCTGGCAAAATAGGATGCTTTTCCAATTGATATTGTATAAATCACAGGAAGGCTGTCCAAAGCCTTCTCAACTGGAGTAACCACTATGCAAGCTGTCATACATGACTAACCCATTAGTACGGCTCCCAAGAAGCTGAGGGACTCCCACCTCATTTCTGGGGAAGCCCATTTCACAGCTGAATTGCTCTTATATAAAAAAGCCGACTCAGTCCTCATTATAAACTTGCCTTTGCTAAAAGATACCTCACCGCTTCTTGTCAAGCAACGCCCCCCTCCCCAGCAAAGTCTCTTCCTTGTCATACCAGAAATAATGATTTCTCCTCCATGGTGCTTACCTCTTTGGTTTAATATTATAAAGGATAGATCAGGGATGAATAAATATAATGGGTTTATATTATTTATTACAGCCTTTTTGGATTCCCACTTAAGGTAATAATGGCAAGTTGGATTCATTCTGTTTCTAAGGAATTAATTTGCTGTTATACTCTGAATGTCATCATTTTGATGTTAATGTAACATTGTAGAAGATTTGTTATTGCAGATGGAGATGGTTATAGCACTGACCAGTTAGTAGCTGCTGGTGTTGGAAGACCTTGAGTAGTAGTAACATCAAGGCATGGCTACGAAGTGTCCCAGCTGGATGCGCGCGTTAACCGAGGGACCCAAGCATATGCTGGGTGTGCTAGTGTTAGAGACATCCTATCTGAATTTTGGGAAGGGAGCTCAGCCTTTGGACCTAGGGCCATGGCTGGGATCAAACATGTATTGGATGCTGTCTGTGCTGTCCTTCCAAGCTTGGGGCTGAGGGTCAGAGGAGAGCAGAGCTCACATCTTTGGAATCTCACTTCCTTTGGGTTCTAGACTGCATGCATTTATCTGCATGCATGACCTCATTATTCATGACCTCACTTATCCAGCAACCTAAGCTGCTCAGAAGAAAAGATGAGAACCAGGTAGTAGGTTTTGAGCTCTACTGCTACCCTGCAACTCCAGTGACCTTTCATCAGGTTTTCTTCCTCTGTCTCCTCCTCCATGCTTTTGGAGCATTTGGTGCCACTGACTGTACCCTTTCCATGGCTATCTTTTCACCTGGCTTCCTTCTGACCCTCTTCTTATACCTTCTTTGATATTACTTCAGGCTGTGCTTTATCCGACTGCCCTGTAGTTATTGGGATTTTCTAACATGTCCAATTCTTTCTCCTTTCTTCTCTCATGGCAATACTGCCTCCCTAAGTATGATTCCTGCATCACTAGCTCTGTCCTTGATCTTGCTCTTAAATCTCAGTCCCACACTGATAACTCCCTGTTGTTATACCCCCAGTTGTCCCACAGGTATACAAACTCAGTGTGTCCCAAACTGAGCTCCCCTTCCCTAATTGGCTTTTTTTTTTTTTTTTTTTTGAGACAGAGTCTCTCTCTGTTGCCCAGGCTGGAGTGCAGTGGCGCGGTCTCGGCTACTGCAACCTCCGCCTCCCGGGTTCACGCCATTCTTCTGCCTCAGCCTCCTGAGTAGCTGGGACTACAGGTTCCCCGCCACCATGCCCGGCTAATTTTTTAGTGTTTTTAGTAGATAAGGGGTTTCACCGTGTTAGCCAGGATAGTCTCGATCTCCTGACCTCGTGATCCGCCTGCCTCGGCCTCCCAAAGTGCTGGGATTACAGGCATGAGCCACTGCGCCTGGCCCCTAATTCGTTTTAAAAATCAATCTCCCCCTCTCCTCCTCTCCTTCCTTCCCTCCCTCCTTCCTTCCTTTTCTCTCTTCCTTCCTCCCTCCCTTCCTCCCTTCTTTCCTTCCCTCCCTCCCCTTCCTTCCTCCCCTCCCTCCCCTTCCTTCCTCCCCTCCCTTCCTCCCCTCCCTTCCTCCCCTCCCTTCCTCCTCTTCCTTCCTCCCCTCCCTCCCCTTCCTTCCTCCCCTCCCTTCCTTCCCTCCCTTCCTCTCCCTTCCCCTCCCCTCCCCTCATCACCCAGGCTGGAATGCAGTGGCATGATTATAGCTCACTGCAGCATTGAAATCCTGACACAAGTATTCCTCTTGCCTCAGCCTCTTGAGTAGCTGGGTCTACAGGTGGGTGCCACCATACCCAGCTATTTTTTAAAAAGTTTTATGTAGAGATGGGGGTTTCCCTCTGTTGCCCAGGCTGGTCTTGAACTCCTGGGCTCAAGTGATCCTCCTGTCTTGGCCTCCCAAAGTGCTGGGATTGCAGATGTGAGCCACTGTGCCTTGCCCTTTGTTTCTAATTTGTTGCCACCCTCTTCTCAGGTACCCAACAGTCATCCGAGGACTTCCCTTCCTGTAAGCATTACTTGGTTCTTGCCTGAAAGTACATCTCAGATCATATCACTCCTCTGCTCCAAAATCTCCAGGGACTGACTCCTTTCTTTTAAAAAATTACATATTTTTTGAGTTAAAAAATGTATTGAGGTTAAATTCACATAATATAAAATAACCATCTTAAAGTGAGCAATTTAGTGGCATTTGGTGCATTCACAATGTTCTATAAGTACCACCTTGATACAGTTCCAAAACCTTTTATTACCCTAAAAGGAAATCCTGTACCCATTAAACAGTCACTCTCCAACCCCCACTCCCCATTCCCTGGCAACCACCCGTCTGCGTTCTGTCTCTATGGATTTACCTATTCTGGATATTTCATATACATTAAATTATACAAAATGTGATTTTTGTGTGTCTGGCTTCTCTCACTTAGCATAATTTTCAAGGCTCATCCATACTGTAGCATGTGTCGGTACTTCCTTTTTATGGCAGAAGAATATTTCATATGGCTATGCCACAATTCATTCACCCATTGACCCACATTTGGGCTGTTTCCACCTTTTGGCTATAGCAAATAATGCTGCTATGAATATTTGTTTGAAAGAAAACTGGTTCTTTATTCCTGCAGAACAGGGCTCAGCAAACATTTCTATAAAGGGCCAGAGAGCAAATATTTTAGGCTTTGTGGGCCACAGGGTCTCTGTCATAATTAATCAACTCTGCCATTGTAGCACAAAAAGTGCCAGAGAAAATATGTGAACAACTGAGCTTGGCTGTGGGCTGTGTTCCAACAAAACCTCATTTACGAAAAGAGAGGGTGGGTTAGATTTGACCCATCAAGTTTGCTGAGCCCTGCTGTAGAACAAAGATGAAGCCACTCTCCCAGGAATTCAGAGTTTGCCTTGATGGTGCCACCTTCCCTACCCTTCCACCACTCCGTGCTATGCCCCACAGTTCAGGTTGGAACAGGGTAGAGGTGACCTAAGGTGAGGTAGGTGTGGAGAACAAGGGAGAATGGGTGGATGGGGGGAAGTGCAATTCGGTTGGAATACACAGGAATGTAGCCAGAAATAACTGTTTGTCTCTCGTACTTCTTCAGATGAGGCCTGGGTTTCTAGGCTTTCTCAGATTCAGAAAAGCATACCGACTTATTCCTGCACCAGTGTTAGGGAGTCTGAGAAATGCTTATCACTGGGAGCCTCTGCAATGTTCTTGGGTTAATCTCATTTTAAAAGACGGAAGGAAAGAAGTTCATTGTCTGGAACATACCCTCTAGAAGATTATAATTCACAGAGCTTGCAGAGAAGTGCTCCCGTAGGTGACAGAAAGGCCTCCGGGGACAAATGAAGACACATTTATGGATGAAAACCGAGCCAAGTCCTTCTTGCATGAGCAGGAAGCCATCTGGGTGACACAGACTGGTGGGTGTGTGAGAGCCTTTGTCCTTGTACCTCATACAGGCACCTGCCACGTGTATAGTTTATGTAAATTTGGAAGGAGAGAGAGAGAGAGTTGGGAAGAGCAAAATACCAGGGTGGAAGACATGGTTTCTGGAAATCTTTTGTCTGAGAGAATAAACTGGCTGGTAGCTATTTTTTTTAAGGCCTAGACTTTTGCAGATATAGGGGTATATACAGAGCTGACAAGGTGGACTGGGAGTGATAGAGTCAGGGACAGGAGTTCCAGTCCTGGTTCTCTTGCTTGCTAGATGTGCAACTTGCAAATTGCTTTAACTCTATGGACACCTTTTTTTCCCCAACTGTAAAATGAGAGGTCTGCCTACTCTGAGCTCTTTGACTCTGTAGGAAACCAGAAGTCAGCCTGGTTCAACCAGCGTGAATCTATGAGGCAACATCACCTTGTCTTCCCTCTTAGACCTTTCCTGGTCTCTTTCATGTACATGTGAGCCTCTCCTTTCAGATAACTTGCTCTCACCTCATGTGAGGTCCCACCTTACCTGAACCTCTGGCTGGTGTACATCATCTGATTCATTGTGCTAAGGTAGCAGATCTCCTTTGCATAGTTCTGGGAAATTTCATTTTCCTACCAACAGATCTCTGGGTCATGTCCTTACAAGCTGGCTAACTGCCTTCTGTGAGACACTCCCTCCCCCACTGGGTCACATACAGTGGAGAGGTCACCAAAATCCATTTCCTCTTTCCTTTTAAGCTCTAGTGAGAATACTTTACTAGGCCCTTTTGTCATTAGGTATGGGCCTATTTTGAGTTCTGGCCAGTGAAATGTGAGTGAAAGTTATGTACAAATACCACTTTCAGGCCTGGCTCTTGTAAATCCTTACTACATGTGATTTGCATTCTCCTCCCTTGACTACGGAAGACTCTGATGCCACAGAGTTTGGTGGAATTATAGGATCCTAGATCTGTGAATCTATATTGGACTGTGGCATGAACGCAGAGAAAACGTTCATTGTTTTAAGCCACCAAAATATCAAGATTTTTGCTGTAGCAGTTATCCTGTGCTGATGAGTGCACCTCTTGTGTGCTTGGGGCAGGAGATGCAAAGGGGAAGGAGATGGTTTCTTCTTTTGGAGTTTCCTTCAGTTTAGAGCATGACCCTTTAAGAGTGTGGGTTGGAAGAGAGGAAGTTTTGACCATGGATAGAAGGATCATCATCACCGATGAGGGCAAGCCATGTCCACAACAGAGGAAAGGGCAAATGTAAAGACAGGAGGGGTCAGGGTAATATAAGCTAGCATCCAGAATCATGACTAAGTCTAGAAATAAGCTCTGTTTTCTCAACCAAGGGTTGGGATTTATCGGCCTGTTGGATCTTGACACTTTCCATTAACCTTTTCTTTGGGAGACAGTGGAAAAAGCTGTACTCAGAACCTCATGATAAGCAGGTGGTGGATAATTGAAGTGTTACCAGAGGTGGCTTGAGACATGTGGGCTTCCTCCTTGACATCAGCCAGCTCCTGTCAGCTCTTGACTTCCAGAAGACTTCTTTGAACTTGATGTTTGTTGAGAGGAGGGGATGAGGACACCCACAGGCAGTTCACAACTTGAAGCAGCTGTGACTGAAGCAGTCAGGCTGACTTGTGAGATTTGATCTAAAAGTATTTGTCTTGCATAAGCTAGGTGTTAACGTTCTTTTGTTGTTGTTTTTTAATTTGAAATCATTTAATGGAGTTTTTGAGAGGATGACCATAGAGGAGGGTATGCGAGTCAAGACAGGCTAACTCTTATAACAACCTCAACATTTCATTGTCTTAATATAATAAAGATTTGTTTTCTCCATCACTCCAGTGTGACTGGCAGAGGACTATACTCTTCAGTCATTCAGGACTAAAGATTTCCCATCTTGTGGCTCTGTCTTCCTATAGGTCTGTGAAATTCAACTGGTGATGGGAAACTAGAGGGTGGAGGATGGGGTAGGAGGTTTTCATGGACCAGGCCTAAGAATTGCCATTATCATATAAAGTCTACCTTTCATCTGCTAGAATTCAGTTGTAAATTTAGGAATTAACTGCAAGGGATCCTGGGAAATGTGGTCTCACTCTGTTCCCAAGAAGAAGAGGAAATTGGGTAGGATGAATAGGTAGTAGTCTGTGCCATAGAAGGGAACTTTTTTTTTTTTAAGAAAAGTTGTTTGGGTCTCATGGAAAGTCCACGGGTAAATATAAGGAAAGTCAAATCATAAACGTACCATGCTATTAGCAAATTTTATTTCCTGAGGAGTCCAAGTAGGACTGGAAGCTAGTTTTTACTCTCTGAGACCTCTGAACTCATGTTGAGTCCATCAACTGATGAACTTGGTTTCATGTGAACTCAGAATGGAGCCTAACACCTGGGAACTTGCAGAGCTGCTTTTTGGGTTGAGGAGCTGTATTTCAGTGGTTCCTGTCTAGGCAATGACTGTTTCCTCTTTTCTTTGGAGCTTCCTTAAGTCTTTAGAAGGCTCTCAATTCTCCAGCACTCACTATGAAGCCAGAACATTTAGGAATTTCTTCCAAAAGGGAGATGACTCATGACACTGAGTTGATCTGTGCTAAGACCGAGAGCACACTGGAATGCCACCAGCATGGCATTTAGCAGGAGAAGTTGGCTCTTTGTTTGGAGGTTCTATCAGGGGAGCGCAGATATTGGTATACCCTTTACTGAAGACTGGTCCTACTCTCTCGGGGATGGTCATCCTCTTTGACCCACTGCGCAGCTTCAGGAGGGACGCACATCACATGGAGTGGTGATGGAGGAAGGGGACACCCACCTAGCCAGCCAGATCAGCTGAATCAATCCTGGCAATCAATGGGATGACAGATGTCGCAGCCAGATTGCCCTCACATCCCGAAGTTGGCTCTTTGGATGACTAACAGTGGAACAAGGATGTTCCCCAAATGAAGGATGGTTGGAGGAATTTACTGAAAGATGGGTTGACTAACATGTTTGCAACTTTGAGGCCACTTCTACCTAGTCCCTTTCATTCATTTTCACATACGATTTGCCATTATTGTTTAATCTTTTGTGACCTCACACTGAGTCTTAGTTCCACCAAGAACCCTGAAAATTTCTAATTCACCTTTGCTTGAGCTTTGGATAAATTATTTATAAGCCTAAATAGAGCTGAACAGTTTTCCACAAAGCAATTTTCTGAGTGTGGAGGTAAGTGACCAAAAAACAAAGAGATGAGCTCACAGATTTTAGCTTGAAAACGACCCAAACCAGATTGCTATACATTTGAAATTTGCCATGCTGACCCCATGTCATATCCCTTGAGAAAGACACTCTTAGGAAAAAGTAATACAAAGGGATTAGAGAGTCCAGGATTCTTTTCCCCTCAATGACCTTATTAGAGAAATTACACCCTGTGTAACAATATAGTAGAAAACTCCCATGGAGTTACCTAGGCAGAAAATCTGATTCCTTGGAAAGAAAATAGTAACTGTCAACCATGTTCAGGTTTGAATTAATCCAAGATTTCATGGCCCATATTCATATATAAACATGAATTCTTTCATCTACATACATTTGGTATTCATTCTTGATTATTCTTCTAGCATAGCGTTAACGTGATTGCATGCTGCAAAAGAGTGTGTGTTGGTTTTCAGGGAGAGCTAATAGTAAGGAACATTTAGCAGTTCAAGATCTCCCAGCGAAGTGAAGTAGAGAATTGAAGCTGTTACTCAGATTATTATTTCTCATTATTATTAATTAACAGTAATAACAGAAGCTGCGATTTATTGAAAGCCTGGTTTTCCCCCAGGTGTTTGGCATGTATTATCTCCAACCCTGACAACAGCCTGAAACTAAGGCTCAGATCTGTTAAGTGGCTTGCCCTAGGTTACCCAGCCAGGAAAAGACAAAGCGAGATTGAAAGCTAGAGCTGTTGGCTCAGAAGGCTTTTCTTTGTTTTTGCATAAACATATCAGCTTTAGTCACATCCAATAAAATGTACACATTTTAAGTGCAGAGTTTTGGTTTTGACCAATGTGCATACCCAGCTAATCACCACCCTGATCAAGGCATAGAACATTTTCATTACCTAGAAATGGCTCTCCTTCCTCTTTGCAGTCCTTCCTTCCACCCTAAGCCCCAGGCAACCAGTGACCTGATTTTGGTCACTATAGATTAGATTGATCTTTTCTAGAAATGGAAACATGCAGTATGTACTGTTTTGTGTTCATCTGCTTTTGCTCAGCGTAATGTTTTTAAGCTTCACCCATTGTTGTATCAGTCAATTGTTCCTTCAAAACTCCACTGTCATGTTTTAAATTGAACTCCTGCTTTGTATGTTAGGCAAGAGTTGTTCTGCCTGAGTCACAGCAATTCGATTATAACGATGGGTGGGATAAAGGTGTGGAGATGAGATTTGCAGATGGGATTTAATGGGGTCTGAAAAGACCCTGAGATAAAGAGTTACCTTGAAATTCTGTTGGATCAGATCTGTAAAATGGGAAGGACATAGACTTCTTTGATTTATTGTGGAGGCTAAAGGAGTGAAAACATGTTGTATCTAGAACAGTGCTAGACATGGAGTAAGTGCTCAGTAGATATTGGCAATTACTATGCACCAAACCACAGGCATGAGCTCCAGATGGTGGACACCACTTCATAGCAGTAGAGCTGCCCAGAGCCCATTCGTTGAGGACACATACTTAAAAGATGACATCTAGAGGCCCATCTGGGCTCACGGTCCAAGGAGATTTTGAAGAATTGAAGGTGACTAGTACAGTGAAGGACTTAAAGGTGCTCAACATGAGGCCGAGCACATTTGATACTCAAGACCGTTGAGTTCTGTTATAAGGAGGCAGTGGGCAGATGTCATCCACCTGGCCTCTTGAGTCGGAGTATCAGGGACCAGGATTCAGGCACATAGAAGGAAGCACTTTTAGAACTGGCTGTGCCACCCTACAGTTGAGTAGATTGTTTCTGGAGGAGCGAGAGTAGTGACGGAAAGGAGTTAAGAGGAATTAATTTTGATTCTGGAACTTCAGAAATACTTGTGGAATGCTTATTGTGAGCCTCATGCTGAAGTAGGTACCCTGACTGACCATCCATCCATCCATCCATCCATCCATCCATCCATTCATTTATCCGCCCATCCACTCACCCACCCTCCTACTTACCCACCTACCTACAGATCTGGCTATCTAGATATCTAGCTATCTATTTTAAATTTTTTATTGAGGTATAATTTAAATACTGTAAAGTATGTAGATCTTAAATATATGGGTTAGAAAGTTTTGGCTAATGCATGCACTCCTGTAACACCTATAATCTTACCAAAATACACAACCTGTCACCCCAGAAAGTACCCTTGTGCCCTTTAGTTCTCCTCCTCCCAAACAAGTCTAATTCTTACTAGGCACATTTTATTGATTGTAGAACGTCATATGAATGGTCCTACAGTGTGCAACATTTTGTGTTGAGCTTCTGGATGAAGAGCTCTCTGGAAGAGAACACAGAGGTCCTTGTTTAGTGCTAAATGCATGGTGGGCACTGTGCTAGTAGCCACATTTGTATAAATTATTTCATTCAATCTTCACAATAACCATGCAAAGTATGTATTGTTGTGCCTGTATTGCAGATAATAAAGCCGAATTAAAAATATTAACTTGCTCATAGTCACATAGATGAAAAGTGACTGCTATAGACTGAATGTTTATGTTCCCATACAATTTGTTTATTGACATCTAACCCCTGATGTGTGTTACTTGGAGGTGGGGCCTTTGGGAGATGATTAGGCCAGGAAAGAAAGCTCTTATAAATCAGTGCTCTTATAAAAGGGACTTCAGAAAGCCCCCTTGTCCCTCACACCATGTGAGGAAACAGCAAGAGGAAGACCATCCATGTTCCAGGACGCAGGTCCTCACCAGACACAGAACTTCTTGTAGCCTTGAATTTGGACTTCCCAGGCTCCAGAACAGTGAGAAATAAATTTATGTTGTTGATAAGTCACTTAGTCTATGGTGTTCTGTCACAGCAGCTCAAATGGACTAAGATAAAAATTGGTACCGAGAAATGGGGGTGCTCCTGTGCCAAACACCTGAAAATGTGGAACAGGCTTTGGAACTGGATAATGAGGCTGGAAGAGTTTTGAGGTACGTGCTAGAAAAAGCCTACACTGCCTTGAACAGACATAATAATAACAAAAATAAAATAATGTATTTTTTTTTTTTTAGACAAAGTCTCACTCTGTCTCAGAATACATTGCACTCCCAGGCTGGAGTACAATGGCACAATCTCAGCTCACTGCAACTTCCCCCTCCTGGGTTCAAGCAGTTCTCATGACTCAGCCTCCTGAGTAGCTGGGATTATAGACGTGTACCACCATGCCCAGGTAATTTTTGTATTTTTAGTAGAGGCAGGGTTTCACCATGTTGGCCAGGCTGGTCTTGAACTCCTGACATCAGTTGATCTGCCCACCTCAGTCTCCCAAAATGCTGGGATTACAGGCATGAGTCACTGGGCCTGGCTGTTGAACAGACCTTTAAAGGTGATTCTGGTGAGGGCTCAGAAGAGGAAGAAAGCTCAAGAGAAAGCCTCCACCTCCTGAGAGAATACCTAAGTAATGCTGAGTAGAATGTTGGTAGAAATACGGATGGTAAAGGCCATTCTGCTGAGGTCTCAGTTGGAGATGAGAGCCACGTTATTGGGCAATGGAGAAAAGACAATCTCTTATCAAGCGGCAAAGCTTTTAGCTGAATGAATTGTCTTCATGTTCTAGTGTTTTGTGGAAGGTAAAACTTGTGAATGATAAAATTGGATATTTAGCTGAAGCTCTTTCTAAGCAAAATGTTGAAGGTATGCCTTGGCTCCTCCTCACTGCTCAGAGTAAAATGCAAGGAAGAGAGAAATGACTCAAAAATGAAATTGTTAAGCAAAAAGGAATCAAAACTTAGAGATTTGAAAAATTCTCAGCCTATACATATTGAAAAAAAGAACATTAAGGCTATGTCCAAGCAACTGTTTGATAAGGAGATTAGTATGAATCAGCAGTCTTAACGGAAGCCAGGAGCTATTCTCCAAGACAGTGGAAGAATGACCCTAAAGTTGATTCTGAGATCGTCAGACCTGCCCCTGCCATCATAGGCTCAGAGTGCAAGGGCTAGGTGCAGGGTGCAGACTGGTTTCAAAGGAAGAGCTCCCAGTGGCTGCAGGACCTTGACATGCCCTACCTGGCGCCACCTCACATTGAAGACTCTGCTCCCCACACTCTGATGCTATACTCATTGGTCACCCGAGGTGGTCTCCAGTGGGCCCCAGTGCAGCTTGGGCCGCAGTGGCTGCAAAGAAGATAGCAGAGCCTGAATTCAAATTTGAATCTGTTGCTCTCTCTGTAAGACTGAAAAAAAAATAAGGTTTTCTTAGTCTTGGTGTATTGCATTTCACATTATATTATGTTGTACTGAAAACTGCAGCACCTTCTGAACAGACAAAAGGAGCCACTGATCAGTCTGATAATTGGAGCATGGAGAGATGTGGAGCACAATTTCCCTTGGTTATTCCTGGTTTCCATCTCACTGATGACCACTTTGTTATTTTGCATGAAGCGTTTATTGCTTAATGACATATTGTTCACATTACAATACCATTTCTGAGCAATTAGAGCAGTTACAGAGGCCTGGGCCTATGGTGTGGGGCCGTGTTAAAATTTGGAATCCATTTGTTCAATGTCATTTTCCATGTTGGGGCAGATTTTCTCTTGCCTTCCCTCTCTCCTTTCCTTCCATCCTCTTTTCTCTCTCTCTCTTCCTCTCTCCTTCTTTCTTTCTCTGGCTCTCTTTCTCTCTTCTCTCCTTCCCTCTCTCTCTTCATTGTTCTCTCTCCCCACTCACTTTCTCTTCCTCCCTCTTTCTTGCCCTCTTTCACCCGATCTCTCTCACTACTTTCCTCATATCTCTTTGTCTCTCTGTCTCATTTCTCTCTCTGTGTCTGCTCTTTTTTTCCTCCCCTCTTACTTTTTTTATTATGTAAGATAAAGCAACTACCAGGGATCTAAGTTGAGAGGCATATGGCACTAAGAAAAGGTCACTGGGCACTCTGGAAGCCCTGATGGTTTTTGTACCTGTCCTGCTTCTCTCCAGCTGTGTGCACAAGGGCAAGGCATGGAAACCTCTGCACACCACTGCCTCTGTAAAGCGTGAGTGATACTTCCTTCCTTGCCTGTTCCCCTTCTTGTTTTTTTGTTCATCTCACACATATATACTGGGTGCTTTCTATGTACTAAGCACTGGGTTAGGCATTGAGTGGGGGAACAAAACTGACTTGGCTCCTGACCTCCAGGCATTTATAGTCTAGAAGGAAGACAAAGAATAAACAAATAATCATGTGACTAATGGCAAAGGTCCTGTGAGTAGCCCCTGAACTCTCTGCAGTTATCATATTCATGTTGCCCAATCTGGAAGTACAAGGCATATTTCCCAACTCAGAACCTGGTGGTCCAGGGCCTTTGCCATCACTTTAAAGAATTCTAAGTTTTTATTTTGAAATACTTTCAGATGTACAAGAAGTTGCAAACATAGTACAGAGTTCCTTGTACCATTCACCCAGCTTTCTCTAAAGGTAATATTTTACATAATCATAGTAATATTGTCAAAACCAGGAAATTGTTAACTTAGAGATCTACCTTATTTGGACTTCACTAGTTTTCACATGCACTTTCTTTTTTAGTTTTTTTCTTCCCTTTCATTCCCTTTTCCTTTTTCCTTTCCTTTCAACCCTCCTTTTCCTTCCTCCCCTCTCTTCCCCTCCCCTCCTTCCCTCCTTCCTTCTTTTCCTCCTTTCCTTCCCTTCCTTCCCTACCTCCCTGCCCTTCCTTCCTTTCTCCCCTCCCCTCCTTCTCCCCTTCCCCCCTCCTCCTCCATTCCTTCCCCCCTCCCCTCCCCTTCCCCCCCTTCCTCCTTCCTTCATTCCCCACCCTCCCAACCCCCATGAACTTTCATCATGTGTGTAGATTCAAGTGACTATCCCCACAGTCAGGAGGCAGAACTGACCCATGACCACAAAGAAACTCTCCTGTGTTACTGTTTAAGAGACACACTCTTCCCCACCCAAGCCCCTGGCAACTACTGATCTGTTTTCTATCACTACAATTTTGTCATGTCAAGAATGTTATATAAGTAGAATCAGACAGTAGAAAGGCCCTTGAGATTGGCCTTTTTTCCCTCAGCACAATGCCCTGGAGATTCATCAAGGTTGTTGCATGCATCGATAGTTCATTTGCCATCACTTTTAAGATAAAAGGAAGCAGGAATAAGGACGCTTGAGGAAAAATTTCCTTTGCAAAAATACTTTGTTTTCAAGACTAGCCTTTACTTGGGTTTTGTTCCCCCTCAGAAACCTGGAACAATTAATCCGTTTGAGTCTGCTGAGCAAGTTGGCAAATTGATAAATTATCATTTTTATTATTTGATTTGTTAATGTTTTCCCACTGTTATAACAAGGTTCTTTTTATGGGCTTTCAGTTTTGCTTTGGGCTCAATGTGTCTGAGATCTTTTCCACTATAAAGTTGTTCCTGGTATTTGTTAGGTTAATAGCAGGTGCTGTAATGAATAACACCCCCCCAGAAAAATTTTAATAGATTCACGCAATAAAATTTTATATCTTGCTTCAGCAACAGACCGTGTGTGTATGCCTCATCTTAAAAGACTTTGTTCCCTCAGGTGATTTGAAGATCTAGGTTCACTATCTCCTATGATCTTAAACTTCCCTGTACCCAGCCATTAGATAGGGCAAGGCAAGGAGAAGCTCTGGATTTGAGGTTTGCATGGGTCACGCCCAGAAGTGGCATCATACAGCACTTTCATACCCATTTCATTGGCTAGGATGCATTCCTGTGGCTGGACTCAGCTGCAAGGTAGTGGGATGAGAGTGGGTGGAAGGATGCGAAGATGTAGTTCCTGGTAGGTAGCCACGTCCCAGAGCCAGCACTGTGCCATGAAAGAGGGACACCACAATTCTTTGGTGGATGGTTGTCTCTGCCTCCATTCCCATTACAGCCCCCATTTCAGGTTGACAATATCCATGGTAGTATAATGAATGGGACCCAAGAGTTCAGGTTTTGGATTTGACTCTTCTTGTTCATCCAAGACAAATCATTTCCTCTCTGTGGACTTCAGTTTTCTTTTAGGTAATTAGTGGTTTAAATTAGATAATTCCAAAGATTTCTGTCTAATATAATAGTTTTACATTGTGCTAAGTTTACTGGTTTCGGACACATGGAGAACTCTCTCAGATCTTGGCCAAAGGTGGATTCAGTAAGTCTGGGCTGGTCTCTTCAGCTGATCCCCTGGTTTACTGTTACCCATTCATTTTTAACCTAGAAGCTAGGGGAAACCTAAGCATCTTGGGGATCACACAGTACAACTGCTATTGTAAATGGCAGGGTTTTGACAGTTTAGTCAGGAAAGCAGTAAATTCAGCTCCTGATAAATAATTTACTTTGAGAACCAGGAAGCTGGTCTCACTGTCTTGCCTAGCTTGCTGTTTGAGGAATGCAGACAATTCTGGTCATGCTAGGAAGAAAACAAATAAAATTTATCTTCCTAATTCCCTCAACTGTCTATTCTTTGTGCTTCCACTACCGTTTCAGAGAAAGCCACAGATTTCTGTTTGCTAGAGCAGTGGATACCTCATTTCCAGTTTGCTTTGTCTTGGCCCAGCCCACAATCACTAGAAGCTCTACCTGTCAGAGTCCCAGGAAAGACTTAATATTGGTGAACAGCATGCTGATGGATGCTGTTTATAACCAGGGTGAAAGGGGAGGAGAAGATAAAGCCCAGATGTTTCCTCGACGTTTTCCTGCCCCCTTAGTTGACAGGAACTGAAGGAGGCCAAGCTAAACTTATGTGCTTCCAATCAGGCTTCATTCTGGGTTGTACGTATCATTTCTTTCATGTTTCTGAAGTTGATTCCTGCATGCCTGGGGACCAGAGTAGTTCAGCAATGAATTTAGTTCTCTGTTTTCTGGGTTTTCAGGGGTCGGTGCAACTTGGATGCTCATTAAGATTACTGAGCCTCATCATTTTTAATGTTAGGCCCAAGGTAATATTTAATGAGGCTGAAAAGTATATTAATAAAATTGCTTGTAGTAATTAGTGGGAAATTGTAATGGTAGGGTGATGGGGAGATTTTAGAAATCAGGAGTGATCAAGACCAATCTCAAATGTCACTATTTATTATTTTTTGCTTTCAATCATCATGAACAACACCTTTGCATTTTTATCTTTGAAAATAAATTCTTTGATTGGGCTCACGCATATTGCTATTATTTCATGCTATTTTGTCCTCTACCAAGTATCATAGAGAGTTAGAACTAGATGGGTCTTTAGAAAAATCTGTAAACCTTCCTGCTGTCTTTGCTGCTCCCCCCACCCCCACTGGAGGCAAATGGATTATCTATGATTTTGCCTTTATGTGTCTTACCTGAAAAGAGGTGCTGTCAGGGACTACAGAGTCCACAAGAGCTTCTCCAAACAAGAGATCAGAAAGAAAAGATCAGTGTGTTCAGGATTCCAGAAAATAGAAATGAAGGAAAAAGCCTAAAAGCTCAGATTTGGGAGGTAGAGATCAGGGACCAAGGTTGTTTTTTTTTTTTTTTTTCCCCTTCTTTTTTTGGAGACAGGGTTTCACTCTGTTGTACAGACTGAAGTATAGTGGTACAATCTTGGCCCACTGCCGCCTTGACGTTCTGGGCTCAAACCATCCTCCAACCTCAGCCTCCCAAGTACCTGGGACTATATGCAGATGCCACCATGCCTGGCTAATTTTTGTATTTTTTGTAGAGACGAAGTTTCGCCGTGTTGCCCAGGCTGGTCTTGAACTCCTGGATTCAAGCCATCTGCCCACCTCAGCCTCCGAAAGTGCTGGGATTACAGGTGTGAGCCATTGTGCCTGGCTGGGAACCAAGGTTTTAAGATCAAGGTCCTAAAACCTTTGTAATGTCTCCATTTTGATGCTTCTATTAACTCTTCTCTACCAGTCCCTATTTTGTTTCTCAAGTAGATTGGAGGTGAAGCTTCTAAAATGAACAAGACTCCAGGAAGGCAGGACTTCCTATTCTTACCCTGGTTTGGGACTTGAGCTGAGGCTTCTTGTGGTTTCTCTATTGTTGCTATTGTTTTCAACTCTGGAGTTTGATTTTGTCCCTTATGAGACTAGGCGAGTCTGAGGAAAAAAAGCTTAAGGAGGCCAAGATGTTTTCAATATCTGAGACAATAGTTATTTGTTGGTTGATAAATAGGTGCCTAAGTTATTGAGAAATATGTATTAATTTCTTAGAAATATGTATTAACTTCTTCCTCCATTTCTTCTGTTCCTTTCTCCCTCATTTTCATTGGGAAAATGTGCAAGGCAGGCTTGGTGCTAGTTCATGGGGTTATAGCGGTGAGCAGATACAGCTCCTGGTTTTTAGCAGTAGTTAATTAAACAGTCCTCAAACACTGTGGAGAGCAATCGCCAGGGTGGTGGCCAGCTCAGTATTGGAGAAGGAGTGAACTGTCTGGAAGACAGAGCAGTATTTCTAGGTAGGAAAGACAAAGGCAGGAATCCAGGCGGAGCACAAACAGAGGCAGGAACAGAAGTGGGTAGTGAAGAGTGCAGGATCCAGGGAACTTCATCATGCTGGATGGCTCCATGTCTGTTATATGAATGATGGGTGCTGGTACCTGGGAGTTTGTGTGTGATGGGGATTGCTTTAATTCAGTGGATGATGGTGGATGGAGCTGCCACTCATGGGTTGTAATCAGCTCTGCCAGATTTGTGTTTAGAGAAACCACCCGGGTAGCTGGTGCATGGGGTAGGTTGGAGGGGAAAGCCCAGGGGCAAGGGACCAAAGAGGAGTCAGCCGCCATGATCCAGATATGAGCACTGATGCTGGCATCCAGAACAGTGGATCTGGGGACAGAGTGGAGGGGGTGGATGTGAGATCACAGAGGATGGGTGAGTGATGGGGAAGAGAGAGAAGGAACACAAGAAGAGAACTTTCAGGCCAAGGGAATACATATAAATGGAATTAAGTCATACGTGTTTTGGGGCTAGTTTCTTTCAATTAGCATATTTTCAAGGCTCACCCGTGTTGTAGCCTGTGTTAGTACTTCACTCCTTTTTTTTTTTATGTCTGAGGCATATTCCATCATATGGATATGCCATATCCACCTTTGCCTATTGTGAACAGTGCTGCTATGAACGTTTCAGGTACAGTGTTTTGTTTGAACATCTTTACATTTTCACATCTTTGGGGTCTATACCTAAGAATGTAACTGCCAGGTTATCTGGTAATTCTATGTTGAACTTAGCAAAGAAATGCCAGAAGAGACAAATCTGTGGAGATAGAAAGTGTGTTAGTGATTACTTAAAGCTGGGAGCATTTGGGGAGATTGAAGGATGCTTAGTAAAGGATATGGTTTCTTTTTGTGGTGATGAAAATGCTCTATAATTGGCTGTGGCAATGGTTGCATAGATCTGTGATTACGCCAGAAACTACTGAGTTCTACATTTTAAGCTGGTGAATCATATGGTATCTGAATTATATCTTAATAAACCTATTTTTTTAAAAGGGAAATAGAATGACCTCATCCTATATGAAGTTTTTCACAAAGCATTAATAAACTTGTAGATTCAAATGTAAACACACCCATTGAAGTTCAGAATTGTGCAATTATTTGCACACTTTTTGTTGCACAAACAAGATTGAAAGCTCCCTGAGGGCAGGGGCCACACCTAGCTTTTTGCTGTGTTCCCAACCCTTGCATGGTACATGGCACACACCAAATAGCCAATAAACATCTGTTGAGTAAGTGAACTGCTTTTGTAGTCCAGAGAACTGGCTTATTATAGATAGCACGTGATATTTTGTTTTACACAATAGCCAGGTGGGTTCAGTAAACATGTTTCTTTGTTCATTTATGCTGAATTTTGAATCATTACCCCTGTTGTGTTGCTGTGTTTCCTGCCAAGTCTACCACTATAAAGGCAATCGCTTTTACCTCATGCCAGTATGGGAAGCTGGGCTGCCAAAGCCTGGGCTGTCTTCAGGGACATTGGGAATCCCATGACGAGAGCCCAGGATTCTTCTATTACATGTGCTGTGTCCAACTCATCTTTTATTATTTTGTTTCCGTGAGACCATTAGTTCAAGTATCAAAAGTAGTTCCAGGAATTTTTCATTCATTCACATTTATTCTTTAAAATATAAAATCAAAATTACCTTTAAAAGTTTAGCTTTTTAAAATTTGCTACATTTTCAAGTAATTTTTTTTGATAATTGTTTTCATTTTGGTTCCCTTGGAGGCATATAGTTTCAATTTGGTGAAAAAAGTTATTAGTGAAATAGGATTTTACTTATCTACCTCGCTATATAGTTTTTTCCTTTAACGGTTTAGTTGTTTAAAGCTTGCTGAATTTTTGAGTAAAATATTGTCTTTGATGAGATTTTTTTCCTAGAGAGATACAGCTGCGGTTCAATAAGTTGCATTTGAAACACAGGAATTTGATTTATAAAATAATATAGAATAATGTAGATTTTTTTTTTTTTTTTTTTTTTTTACAGTTACAGAGTGTGGCTGGAAGGACCATAAGTGACCAAAATCTGGGGCAGCTTCCTGAAATGGGTGGATTGGAGCAGAGTTTTAAATAGATGATTTGGCCAAATGTTTGTGTCTTACTCTTATAACTGAATGATTTAGATTTGTTTAAGAACATTTTATGGCAGTAAGTTTCTACAAATATTCTGTAGTTATTACAGATTCACATCTGCCTAGGACAAGAGACCTAGAACTAAGGGAAGGGAAAGAGCATTGATTGAAATGCACAGAATGCATTCAATTCAGTTTTACTTAACTGGGACTTATTTAATCTTTGTAGCTAACTTACTTACCAGGCTTTAGACAGGACCTTTGTGGCAAGAGACCCAATTCAAACTGGAGTTAGCAAAAGAAGGGCAATATTATTGGCACATATATGTAGGAAGTCTAAGGAGTGGTCCAGATTTCAGGTATAGCTTGATCCAAGAACTCAAAGACTTTCGCTAGAACATGCAAACATGCTTTCAGCCTCTCTCCACCTCTCCATATCTTGGTTCTATTATACTTTGCTTTCTCTCTATTGAGCTCATTCTCTAGAATGTTCTATATATTCAGATGCTCTAGATTTGTGTCACTTGTACAATTTGTCATTCCAGAGAATAGAGCCACTTTCTTCTGATAGCTTCAAAAAACTGCCTTGGGAGGATTCAGATTGAGGGAGGTTGGGTCACTTTCTCATCTTAGAACCTATCAGTGCACCCAGGAGATGGGATATGCTTTGATTGGTCAAGCTTGAGGCCTGTGCTCCTTCCAGTGGGAATGGAGGACAGAGATCAGGCCCATCTGTATCCCATGGGATGAGTTTCCCACCAGAGAGGGAGGTTCTGTTATCAGGAAAGGGGTGAATGGAAAGTTTGCTATGCACACCAACATTTGGGTTATAATAGTCACATGATTCCCATGTTTCAGATGAGGCTCAGAGAAGTGAAGTGGCCTGCCCAAAATTATTCATCTGTGAAGAGGTAGACCCAGGATCAGAGCTTATGTTTACCCAGTGTCAAAGGTTAGGCCATTACTGGTTTCCTGTAACGGATTTGGACCTTGTGGTATGAGCAGAAAGCCACTGGCCCAGGGCTGGGTCTGTCAATGAGCAGAGACGCCGTATGAGGGAGAGCTGGTGGTAGATGGCCTGTGAACGCCCTGCCTGGGTGGCCGTGGCCTTGCTCAGCACCAATCCGGGCCTTTAGTAGCTAAGCTGGCCAGACCTTTGTCCTTGCAGTGCCCTCTCCCTGGAGCTCCCTTCCCGTCTTCTTGTCCAGCTGAAATTCTGCCTAAACCAAGTGAACTAGCCCAATACCATCACCACCAGTCGTGTGTCCCAATGCCACAGCCCTCCTTCCAGGCAGTGCCCATGCTCTTGTCTCTCCCTGTTTTCCAACAGGGTCAATGCAGTGCCTGCACCATAGTGAGTGCTGAATGAACCAGCCTTGCTACAAGCTGCATGTTCCCTTCCTTGGTAACCTGTGTGGTGCCCTGGAGCTCAGAGACCATGTTGAGGATGCTTGTGGTCAGCCACCCAGCACTCCCACTGACAGCCTCCACTTCCTTCCCTTTGAAATGGGCACCATAAAACACTGGAAGGATTGGCTGAAATAATCCATGTAAAATGCTTAACATAAAGTTGATAGTACCCCAGCAGCTCAGGAAATATTAGCAATTGTTCTTACTGATAGCCACTGGCTCAGGGAGATCCCATAATTAGTCTAATTTCTATAGTCAAATTGTGACACAGCAGGTCCTTGAGCCTAGGTCTTCTAGCTCCTATCTCATTTAGGATATATGAGCAGGGCAGGGATGAACAGGCCTCATGCTGTTAACTAAAGCATATTTAGAGCTGAAAGAGGATGCCAGTTGCCCCCAGGAAAGCTTATTTGTCGGAGTGATTTCCCCGGGAAATACTTGGGCAGGAGAACTGAAAGCCTCATGTTAATGGTATCATTTAGGGTTTAAACACAAAGCCAGTCTGCACTTGTCTGTCTGGTCACATAGGCTCAGCAGGAATTGAGTTGTATGCAAGGAATGGATTCTCCAAAGCCTTGGGTCTACCTGTGTCTGAGATGTTTGGATTGAAGATGATAATCAGGTTTTATACTTTTTTTCCTCTTGTTTATACTCCTTTTTACTGTCTTCTTCTTGGGAAATACATTGGCAAGATAGTATTTTTCAGATGTTGAAGTAGAGAGATGGCTTTGTGTTTTGAGCTTTCAAAGTAAGTGTGTCTACGTATGTATGCATGTATGTATGTATGTATGTATGTATGTTTTACATGGCCTTTTATGAATTCAAGAGATCATACATTAGATATATAAATTGGGTCTGCTTTATCCAAAGGATATACACTTTTTCTTATTAAAAGCACTGACAGAATGCTGCGACTGTTTGAATTTGAATGTTAATCTCCACAATCTGCTCTACCACCATGGACCTGGATCTAGAATGGTGGGGCTGAGAGGTGATTGGTGTTCTTTTCTTCTGTTCCTGGGATTGAAGGAGAGATGGAGAACAGGGTAACAGCCTCTGAAGCAGAACCAGCTGCTGAATATTCATTTCGTTCTCTTGTTTAGCTGTCAGGTTATCTGTGTTGACCGCTTCATCTGACACCCCTGCTGCTCTTGGGAGTCAGGCCAAGGGTGTTGTGGGGAAGAGCAGGGCAGATGTGTTACCTGTGATGGAGGGTGGCTGGGCAGAGGCGAGCAGGTGTCTTCGTGAGGGTCACTTGCAGGAAGACTGCTGTTGGTCAGCCACCTCTCTCCCCCCACAGGCCCAAGGACAGGACAGGGCTTCTCTCCATGTCATAAACTTTGTTAATCCTATTTGCCTCTCTGTTGTGGAGCAGATGGCAAAAATACATTAGAAATTCACTATCGCCAGAAAAATAAAAGCAGAAACATTTTTTCCCCAGGAGAATTTAGAAAAATAATGGCCAATATTCTTAGACTTCTCTATGAGGGCCACCAACAGCGATCATTTCTCTCCCCTTAGCCTCTCTCAAATATCTGCTGTTTCCCACCCCCTTGGCCCACTGCCTGGGGCCAAGCCCACATCTGCTCATGCTTGCTTAGATGTCTATCAAACATCTTTCTAGGTGGGCCCCCTGAACCTCTCTCTATATTGCCAAATCCGGGTTGCCATGGGGCCATGTCTAAGATTCCATGACTGGTTGTGCCACCCTGTTGTGCACCCCCTTCCCTGGCTCCCTAGGACCCATAGTTAGCCTGCCAGAAAGGGACTTAATAACCACTGGACCCCTGACAGTCTCCCCAGCCAGGGCTCGTGGACTGTCTATCCACCAACCCCTGGCACCAGCCTCTTCCATATATCTGCATTTCTCAGGCATGGTCCATCCTCCTGAGCGACCCCTTCCTCTCTTTTTCATCTCTCTGGAAGCCCTTTTCTCCTGGACCCCACCCCCTCTGCCCAGCCAACTCCCAGGAGTTCTTTACCTCCTTCTGGAAGTGGATCTTTATGCATTCTCTGCTTCCAGGCTGAGCAGAGACCCCACCTTTGTACTCCCATGTTCTTTTCTATGGCTTTTCCAAATGATCCATGCAGTTGATTACCTGCCTGTTTTGCCCACTGCTAAGGTGAGATCCTTGAGGCACGGCTGTACCTCATTTGCCTTTGTAACCCTGAGACAAGGCTGCAGTGTGTCATGGTGGTGATGAGAGAGTCCTGAGTTCAAATTCCACTTACATTGGTGTGACTTTGGGTAATTTGTTTAACTTTTCTCAGCCTCTGTTCTGCAGTAGGGACAAAAGAACCCCTATTTTATGGAGTTCTGTGGGGATTAATTGAGGTAATTATTGCAGAGCTCTACCTGGCACAGAGTGAGTAAGCTGAATAAAATGTTAGCTGCTGTTATCATCATTGTCATCGGTGTCATCATCATCATCATCATCATTAGTATGATTAGCATGACTAGGTCCTGGAAAATGTTAAATACTAAATAAGTTGTTGAATATAATGACTAAATGGATGAGTGATATGAGTTATTTTGTTGAATTCCTACTTTATTGGAAATGGAGTTAATAGAAAACATTAATTTTCTCATGTCTCTTTTCTCCCTGAACTTTATTTTCCTGCCCCCCAAGAGTGAATGTCTCTCAGACATTAGCAAAACACTTTACTTGCTTAAGCGACCCAAGAACCAAGAACACTTGGAAGAGAGCCACTTTGCCCAATAAGCTAATAGCTGAAGTCAGGATTCACCTCCCTGCTGGTTGAGTGACACCCCATTTCCCCCTCTTAAAAGAACTAAATGGCCTATATTTCTTTTTTAAATTAAAGTGAATGAAAATGAATTTCAAAACTCCCCTGGAGATGACTGGAGACACACTGGGACGTCAAATAAAAAAGTTGGGAGTTGCTGAGCTCAAGCGCAGCACTGTGGGTTCTCAGGAAAGATGAAACATGAGAAGCATCAGGCATGGAGGAGGATGGGGGAGAAAGGCAGAGGGCGAATCGGGGAAAACAGATTATGAGGCATAGATCTGAGGGGAAGAGGGAGGAGGGAGGGGAAGGGAGGGCGGTATTGAAAAGAAACTGGCGTGAATGATCTTTAACTTGATGAAAATAAGCAAAACCAGTCCAAGAGATGCTGAATAATTGCCGAAGAATTATTCCTGGCCGCCCTATGAAAGATTCTCACCCTGCAAAAATATTGAAAGCAGAAGGGAAATTATTCTTTGGAGCTCAGAAATTTCTCAGTTCTCTGACTTTGCTAACAAGATTTGAACCCATTATCCTTGTCTCACTGTGAGCCTTCATCAATAGCAGAGCTTGTATCTCTCGAGGGATTGCCTACTGAGTTCATTTTAGTTGAACAAGTGTTCATTGAAACCCAGGGTGTCTCTAGGGCCAGTCTCGGAACTGTGCAGGATGCTGGTGTTGGGATGGCTGGTTCCTTGGGTCCAGGGAGATTCCTGGTGAGATGAGGCGAAGCCACTGGAGAACTGCATGCCCCCACCACAGCCCGACCTCAGTCCCGCTGTCCAAGCCATCTTAGCCCACGGGGAAGCTTTCAGTAACCATTTTTTTTTTTTTTGAGACAGAGACTCGCTCTGTTACCCAGGCTCACTGCAAGCTCCGCCTCCCGGGTTCACGCCATTCTCCTGCCTCAGCCTCCCCTAGTAGCTGGGACTACAGGCGCGCTCCACCACACCCAGCTAATTTTTTCTATTTTTAGTAGAGACAGGGTTTCACGGTGTTAGCCAGGATGGTCTCGATCTGACCTCATGATCCGCCTGCCTCAGCCTCCCAAAGTGCTGGGATTACAGGTGCGAGCCACCGCGCCTGGCCTCAGTAGCCTTTTTAGGCCTTGGATGGGACTGATGTAACAGCTGCATTAGTCTGGGTCCCTGAGTGCCTCTCTCTGAGTTCCCACCACTGCTGGCCGCCTTCGTTGCCAACTACAGTGATTGTCTTAATTCATAAGACAGAACATGTTACCCTCATGGCTCTCTGCTGCATCTGGCTTCCTTTTGCACTTGCAATAAAATCTTAGTGTGGCCTGCGAGATGCTGCATGATTCTACCCCTACTCACCTCTTATCCCTCCCCTGTGTTAGCCCATTTCTTGGCCTTTGCATTCACTCTTCCATCTCTTTGGAATGCCCATTCCTGAACTCTGCATGACTTAGTCCTTGTGAGTTTCCAAGTTTTGGCTCAGTAGACATTTCTTAGCTATGGAATCTAAATTCGGTTCCCCTGCCTCCTTTCATCCCTTTTCACCTTTGTCATCTGTAATTGCTGTTTGGAATCATTATTTGTATTCTTATGCGTGTCCTTCTTCTCCCAGGAGATTATAAACTCAAAAGGGTAGGGATTGTCCAGGTGTGGTGGCTCACACCTGTAATTCTGGCACATTGGGGGGCTGAGGCAGGAGGATTGATTGAGCCCGGGAGTTTGAGACCAGCCTGGGCAACATAGTGAGACCCTGTCTTTACAAAAAAAAAAAAAATAGAAAAATTAGCTGGACATGGTGGTGCATGCCTTGTAGTCCTAGCTACTTGGGAGGCTGAGGTAGGAGGATCACTTGAGCCCAGGAGGTTGAGATAAGAGTGAGCTGAGATAACACTGCTGGACTCCAGCCTAGGTGACAGAGCGAGACTGTGACTCAAAAAAAAAAAAAAAATGAAAAAAAGAAAAAGAAAAAAGTTAGAGTTTAGAGTTCTTGTCCGTCTTGCTTGGTGCTTTGCCCCAATGCCTGGCACAAAGTAGTTGCTCAATAAACAAATAAAGATTGGGTTATTGTATCTGATCCGCCCATGGAGGCTGTGTCAGTACCAGTTAGCTCTAATGAAATTAACTGAAGGGAGGAATTTTAGGGAGAAGAGGTATTATGGAAGGAATGCTACTAACTCAGGGGATCTGGGCCAAATCCTCTACCCTTTGGACTTGGGTGCTCTGTTTCTAAAAGAAATTATCCTCAAGGATCCTCCCTCCTGGATCTCAACATTTGTTTGGGTGTAAAACTCTGAAACATAATAATCTCTTGATTGACAGCTCTTTGGCCCAAGCCTGGCCCAGAAATGTTTTCCTGAGGAGATGTTCCTTCCTGCCTGCCCGTCTTACAGTGACATTTTAAGGCTTAATTAGAGGCTGTTACCCCATCTTAAGTAGTCATATGCCAGACCTGCCAAATAACCTTAGCGTTGAGTGCAGGGATAGGAGAGTGGAATACCAATTTGATTTTGAGTAGTTAAAAGCAAAAAGCCTTTACACTGCAGCTGCACACTTCCTTGCTTTAACAAGTTAAATGAATTCTGTGTGAAAGTTTTAATCTGTTCAATAATATTTTATTGAGTTGTCTGCACCGTGCACTACACTGGCTGTCTACTACTTAGGATGAGAAGAACCCTGTGCTGAGCGTCTTACACACCTTGGTGCATTTAATCCTCCTGACAGTGCTTTGAGGTAGGTGCTATCAGTGTCCCCGTTTTACAGGTGGAGTGGCACAGGCTTGAAGGGGCTGCCTCAGTAACAAGGGCATGCGGCAGGGAGGTGCTGAGGCCGGACTTGAATCCATGCCATCTGTGTTGGCAATTCTGAAAAGAGGGAAATGTTCCTCTTTCAGTCCCCTTTTCAGTACGTTATGAAGTTTGTTTCTGAGGACCTTAAAATGTACTGATCGCAGCAGGAGTGACACATTGGAAAGGATTAGTAGCTTTGCAGCCCACTCTCCACTGTGCAAGTCTTCCTGGAGAGGGGGAAACTGTAACCTTCCCTGGCCAGTCTCCCTGGCGGACACTATCACCACCAGCCTTCCAGGCTGCCCTAAGCCCCATGTATGCAGGTGGCCACTCCTGGTCAACTGCCCTCTGGTCAGACTTGCCTTCTGTCTTCTCCCAGCCCCTGCCCACCTGTGGATTTGCCCTTCTGCTGGGCTTCCTGGATTTGTTTTCTGGTCTCCTGCCAGGACCCAAGGCTGGCAGGTGCTCCAAATTCAGCCTAATCATTTTCTCAGGCTGGCGGCTGGATTGTTGCTGCTCTCCAGGGTCCTGCTCCATCTGCCTTGGACCACTTGAACCACAATGATGCCATCTCGCAGACACTTCTCCTGGGTGTCTGTCCATTGAACGAGCCCTGGGACTCCCTTAGGCCAGCATCACAAGAGACCAGACTTGGGCATATCAGCTGTTCTCTGTGGTGGGATAAGCAGACAGAGGAAGGAGAAAGAAGCGCTGAATCTGAGAATTCTTACCCACTTCCCAGCCTTGTGATGTGAAAGCACTTTATTAAAAAATCATCTTCTTCACAGTATTCAGGCTGATGACTCACTGGGTGACCCTCAAAAGGTCATATTCTTGCCTCAGACCTCAGTTTACCCATTTGTTAAATAGGAAGGCTGGACTGGATAATTTTGCAAGTCTGTGGCCTGGGGTCTCTGTGCCTGTTTCCTGGCCTGTCCTTGAACTTTAACCTACTTCCGTGCAAAGGAATGAAGCGGGTTAGGATTGTGAAGCTCAGAGGCAGAAAGGCTCAAGGCGGGGTTGGCTGCATGTAGGCTGTGTAACCTTAGGAAAATGAGTTCTGCTCTCTGAGACCTGATTTCTTCATTTGTAAAACAGGGTCAACATTCAAATCTTCCTCAAAGATTATGAGGATTGAACAGGATAATTCAGACAAATTATTTAGCTTATATCTAGCACACAATAAAATCTGTTAATACTAACTATTGCTTATTTTTTTTTCTTTCCTTCTTGCCCTAATTCCTCACCCTCTTGTCTTTTTGTCTTTCTTTTTTTCTCAGGATATGGAGCTCTTCACTTTTCTACCTTTTGTACTGAAATTAATCAGTACAATTAACCCATCAAAGGATGTTCCCAATGCCTCCCTGAGGGCTGAGGGAGGGCGTCGTTTGCTAGCCTCTCACACCCCTGCCAGATACAGTGTATTTGCAATCAGCACTTCAACTTGCAGGGGACCAGGTTCCTGGCATCTGGTGCACCTCGCTTTGGCAAAAGAAGGCTTCCTTTTCATTAAGACCAGAGTCCTGGAAGCCAGAGGCACAATGTGTTTATCTCATCCAGTGCTTACAGGTTGTCTGTATCCTTTCTGTGATTCAGATGGGCCACATGTGACCATGGGCTATTGCCCAGTACACCGGGCAATAGGATACTTGGCACTGAAAATTGATGATTCTACATATGGATGGTAACATGGTTGGAGTACAGGCAAAATAGGAGGAGAATAGCAAAGATGTGGCACAAAACCACAGTTGAGATGATCTGAGATGCCAGAAGCTCAAATTGGAAGGAGAGAGTGGCATAAACCATTAGCGCTTGGGATAGAGGAAATATTGGAAAGATGGCAGGTGGGAGGAGAGATGGTGGGTGGGAGGAGAGATGGTGGGTGGGAGGAGAGATGGCGGGTGGGAGGGTGGGTGGAAGAATGCCCTTCTCACTACCCAGGTCCAAGGCAACTTTCCTTGTGTGGCTGCTCTTGTGCTTGACCAAGAAGAGAGACAGATTGAGCTCTCTGTTCTGAGGCAGCTGAGAGTTATAAAACCTCTGCTTGTGAAAGATTCTAAGGTCACCAAGGGGGGACTCTTCCTGAGGCAGAGATCTGTGGGAACAGAGTTTTGCCGTTTTGCCCCTTTCTCTTTCCCTCCTGCAGCCGGGATCTGCTATCCCCAGGAGCCCATTTTTCATTTTCAAGCCAGAGCTGACTGTTGGCTCTGGGCAGGACAAGTTTGGCTTTGGGAGATGATAGTGTCTAAGTGTGCTGCCTGGTTAGTAAATTATCGCCTGGATCACTGGACGATGAGACATTTTAAATTGCAGCCTACAGGCTTTGCAGAGCCTCTGCATTCTGAATTTACAAAGGGAATTGGCCCTGAATAAACAATGTACCTACTATGTGCTGGAGCTATGACACCACTGGTCTTTAGGAATCTCTGTACCTAAGTAGGTGAAGGGAGGAAAATAGCCCGTAATGAGCACCTGCTGTGCACCAGGCCTTTAACATGTCTTGTTCCATCTAACCATCACCACAGTTCAGTGGAGCAGCTATTGTACAAATGGGGAAATTGAGGCTCAGGGAGGGTAAAGAACTTTCTGAACATCAGATTCTGGTACATGTCAGTCCTAGAACTTGAGTTCAGGCATGCAAAAATCTGTTCTCTTTCGATTTGAGTGACAACCATTTAGACCAAGGGTCAGTAAACATTATCTGTAAAGTGACAGGTTGTAAATATTTTAGGCCTTGTGGGACATATTTCTGCCTCATGTACTCAATTTTCCCAGTGTAGCATGAAAGCAGCCATTGATAATACATAAACAAATAAGCTTAGCTATGTTCCAATAAAACTTTATTTACAAAAAAAGCTAGTGGGCCATATTTGGCCTGTGGACTGCAGCTTGCCAACACTTGTTGGCATGACAACAAGAATATTTGGCATGACAGTAAACACCACATTTGCTCACCATAGGTTGGATAGGTTTACTTTCCAGCCGAAAATGATTCTTGGAAGAGGTAGCCCTTGTACGATGATCTAAGGGAAGTAGGTGGCACGTTATGGCCATCACCCAAGGCTGGCAAGGCTCTTATAGGTACTTTCCTACAACTCAATGTTGCTGGCTTTGGGGAGACAGGGCGGACTTGTCCCTGTTGTCCACACACAGGAGTCCTGTGATGTAGATGGAGTTAAATGAAAGGAGATAAGATTAGCATAATTTTCTGCTCTGTTGTCACCTTCATAAATTTTAAAAAGCCAATGCTAAAGCTAATTATAACAACATTTAAGAACATTATTTGTAGTTTTAAAAGAAAATTTGTATTCCCTGAATTTATACCACACAAGCAATACATTAAAAAGTACTATAGCACAGTGTGTATGACCATGGTTTGCCAAACAGAAAGATCTGAGTTCAGATCCCAGCCCTGGCACATTCTAGCTGCAGGTCTGAAGCAAGTCATTTAAGCTCTCCGAGTCTTAGTTTTCTTCACTGGTAAGTGATTGGAGACGGTCTCAAACTTTAGCTATATTAGAATCACATGCAGGGCTTGTTAAACCACAGATTGCTGGGCTCTATGCATGGAGTTTCTGATTTAGTAGGTCTGGGGTGGATCCAAGAATTTGATTTCTCACACGCTCCCAGGTGATGCAGATGCTGCTGGTCGGGGTGCCACAATTTGGGAAACACTGGGCAAAAGAATGCTAAATGTTCCAGGTTCGAATTATTTCCCAACAGACAGTCTTTGAATGAGGAATGGAGTGGAAGCAGGAAGCAGGGAATTCCCACTGTATCCTCAGGAATCATGAGTGGGCACAGGGAGACACAGCTTTTGAAGCAAAGGAAAATCAGCCATGGCTACCCAGACATGGCCTCAGGCAGGTCTAGCTCTCAACAATTTTATTCACAATGCTTCTTCTGGAAGGGTTGGCAAGGAAAGAAGAGACAAACCGGCGCTTCCTCTTTGGTCCTCTTCTGACAAGAGGAGGAAGTGTTAGCAGGTATTCCCATCTTTCAGGACCAAGGACAGCGAGGGAGCTCTGTCATTCTGGGGAAAGTAGAACAATGGGTTGTGAGGGGGTGCGGGTATGTGCAGGTAAAGTGCCTTATAACACGGAGTCTGGCATATGCCAAGCAGCTAGTAAGTATTGGCTGTTATAATTTCGTGTATTTTAAAAATATTTATTGTTTTATAAGTATATATAGTGAATAATTTTGTCCTTCCTCCCCAGTTCTGCTCTGTTGGCAACCATATTGGCTGTGTGAGTTATATATCTTTTAGGTATTTTATGATTGATAGTCATAATTCTAAATATTGACAAACAGCTATCTAAAAGAGTTGTAGTTTTTATCTTCCATTCCCAGCACTGGTTTTCATCAGTCTTTTTTATCTTCTTACTGCATAGATGAAAACATTTTTTGATTAGCATTCAGTTATTAGTGAGGTAAGAAAATATTTTCAAGTGTTATTTAGTGTTTGGCATTCATTTTCCTTCCTGTGCTTTAGTTGCTTATACTCTGCACATTTTTCTTTTAGGTGGTTTTCTTCTTCTCTTTCTTCCTTCTTTCTTCTTCTTTATTCCTTTTTTTTTGAGACCAGGTCTTGCTCTGTTGCCCAGGCTGGAGTGCAACGGTACTATCTCGGCTCATTGCAACCTCTGCCTCCCAGGCTCAAACAATTCTCCTGCCTCAGCCTCCTGAGTAGCTGGGTCTACAGGCGCATGCCACTGCAGCTGGCTAATTTTTGTGTTTTTTGTAGAGATAGGGTTTTGTCATACTGCCCAGGCTGGTCTAGAACTCTTGAGCTCAGGTGATCTGCCCACCTTAGCCTACTGAAGTGCTGGGATTACAGGTGTGAGCCAGTGCACCCGGCCTGGTTTTCTTCTTTTTTATTTGTAAATGGTCTTTGGACACCAGAACTATTAGTTCTTTCTTTATCATTTATGTTGCAGTAGTTTTTTTCTCAGGTGGTGGTTTTCTTTTTACTTGATTTTGGGTTTTTATTTTTGGTCACAATAAGTTTTTTATTTGTTTTTAAATTTTTATGTGATGAAATTTATCAGTATGTTACTGATTTTTCATCTTCATGGCATCATCAGAAAGGCCTTCCTCACTCTCATAAAATATACTTTCTTTTTTTTCTGGTGCTTTTATGGTTTTCTTTCCTTCCCTCCCTTCTTCCTTTCCTCTCTTCCTTTTATAAATTTAAATCTTTACCATATCAGGCCCTTATTTTGGTGTAAGGAGTGAGATAGAGATTTTGTGGTTTTTTTTTTATCATTTTATTTCAAGAAGATAGCTAGTTGTCCTAATACCTCTTACTGAATAATTCATGTGTTTTCTACTTACAGGACATGCAACCAGAATAATATGTATTTTGGGGTCTAATTAGCTTTCATTTATGTCTATCCATACAGTGATGCTATCTTGTTTACTACTGTAGCTATGATATGTTTTCATATTGGAGAGGATTATTTCCCCAGTACTCTAAAATCTCAAAAGTTTCCCAGGCATTTTTGCATTTTTATTCTCCCAGAAAAACTTTAGAGTAATTTTGTCAGGTGCTCCCCTCAAATCTTGTTTGAACTTTGGTTGGCTCTGCGTTGGATTTATAGATTAAGTTAGAGATCTCAGGCATTTTCACAGTGTTGATTTCTCTTATCTAAGTACAACATACCTCCTGGCATTTACTCAAATCGCTTGTGTTATGCCCTTCAGTGGAGTTTAAGAGTTTTCTTTTTTTAGGTCTTGCATATTTCTTGTTTATTTTTTATTTATCTGTATTTCTTTTGTATATGGGTTAAATGTTTCCGTTATATTTTCTAATTGGCTATTGCTCGTATAAATAGATGTGGTTTTAGGCACATATTTTATATCTGGCTCCTATACTAAAAATCTTTTATCATTTCCAACAGTTTTCAGTTATGCTCTTGGGTTTGAAGGTAGACAATAATGTCATCTACACATAATGATACTTCTGTTTTCTCTTTTTAAATGCTTATAGCTCTTTTATTTTTATTGCTTTGCTTGTGCTATAAATTCTAGAATGAAGTTAAATAATCATAGCAGATATCCTTTTTTCTGATTTAATTATAATGCTCCTGAAATTTTATTAAGTATGATGACTGTTTTTTCAGATAAATATTCTTAATCATTTTGAGGAACTCGCATGCTATTTCTAGGTTATTTTTATATCAGGAACGAATGTTGAGATTGTCATGTGGTTTTACTCAATTGACCTATTATTTTTACAAATTGTATGACTAAATTTCTAAATATTAAACCATTGTTGTAATTAACTTTAATTGTCTATGGTTTTTATTCCTTTAATATAGTGCTAGATTTGATCTACTAGTATTTTATACAGCTCCTTAATCCCTTGTCTGAAACCCTTTGGGCGAAATGTGTTTGTAATTCGTATTTTATTAGATTTTAGGGAGGTAATATGATACGTATATTGTGAATGTTATGTAACAACCCCAGTGGAGTCTGAGGAAGTGCTCCTTAATCAAACATGTTAATATTTATGCAGCCAAACATATGACTGCAAAGCTAAGTCAGATAAATAATGCTATAAATAGGCTCAGGTCAGGTGTAGCCACAGAAGCAGTTTAGGTCAGATTTTTTTACTGTCTTACGATGGGTTTCCCAGCAGCAGACCCCCAGACAAGGGTTCATGTGAGAATGGTTGATTCAGAAGTGTTCTCAGGAAAAACAGATGGAAGAGAAGGAGACCAACAAGGGTATGATATCACGCAGAGTCCCACAGAAGGTGACTCTAGCTCAGTTGCACAAGGGAGTTCTGGAAATAGTATAGGTGACTCTTTAGGGCTGTCTCTATTGGAACAAGGAAGCTGGAGATTTTACGTTCCTGTATGCCTCTGTCATAGGTGTACCCAATGAGGGTTATGTGGAAGAGAGGGGAGTGTGGACAGCACAGGCCATTGCCACCAGATGACTTATGAAAAACAAACAAAAAAAAACAGGTTTCAGAACTTTTTCACTTTCAGAATTCTGGATAAGACTGTAGACTTGTATTCAATTTTAGCTTTAACATCCCAAAGTGAAGCTGTTTTGTCCTTTGCTTTGTCCCACTTTAGCTTGGTAGTAGGGTTTTACTGGTGGCTTAAAGTGCACGAGATCCCTCTCTCTTGCTTTGGCTGTAGATCAGTTTATGAAGCACCAGAATCATCAGTTCCCTGAAGGCTTTTCAGAAGTAGCCTGCGAAGCCACCTGTCATTGCACAGTTTTTGAAGGCAAATTTGATAAATATTTAAGTTTTAGAATAACGGTTATTTATGTAGTCAAATCAGTTTTGATTTTATATTTTCCTGTAAAATAGTGCATTTCTAGGAGATGTAGTTTCCTAGCATAGTTTCACATAGTAGTCTTTCATAAAATTTGCATATGTTTCATAACACGCCATAAATGCAATTACTTATCTTTCTCCTTTACAGGGAGCTAAAGCAAAGATTTTGCTTAATTCATTGTTGTGTCACCAGTTTTTGCCACTTTACAGGTGATCAATGAATATTTGCAGAATGAAAGAAGAATTGAATTTGGCAATTCACCTAGTCAATTTCTAATGTTGTATGTTTATGTTTTTCCCTCTTGCCAAAGATTTATGTATTTTATGGTCTTTTGAAAAGAACCAGCTATTATATGAATCAATCCTATCACTTAGAAAATTTCAGATTTATTAAACATTCTTTTCAGTTTATTAATTCATTTTCCTGCATTTCTGTATTTTTTAAACTTATAAGTTGATTGACCATTTTTTTAAATTTTCATTCTAACTTAATAGGAAAAGTCAGGTATGTATTTTTGTTTGAATACAGCTTTAACTGCAACCTGAAAGTCTTAAATGGTATTTTTTCTCCATCTTCCTACCTAGTCTGTAATTATATTTTACTTCCTCCTTAATGAAATAGGTTAGCCTATTGTTTTAAGGTTTTTGAGTGGGATTGAGTTTTTAAATATCTAACCTTTCATAGCTAACTTCAGATTTTATTCCATTGTGAGCTGTAGAATTTAATCTTTGGAATTCATGGGGTTTTTTTTTGTAAATTCTTAAACACAAAATTAAATTTTCTCTTTCTTTCTTCTCTTCTGCCTCCACCCTACATCCTACAAAACCTTATGACAAATTTGAGGACAGTTATTCCTCCCATCAAAATTGAATAATATGGACCAGGTTGCATTTTTCTCCTTTTTTGGGAAGGCAATCTAAAAATAAAGCTGGGCATAGTGGTGCATATCTGCAGTCCCAGCTACTTTAGAGTCTGCAGCAAGAGGATCACTTCTGCCCAGGAGTTCAAAGTTGTAGTATGCCATGATCCCACTTGTGAATAAGCACTGCACTCCAGCTGGGGCAGTGATACACAGTGAGACACCAGGATACACAGTGAGGAAAATACATAGCAAAACAAAATTTTTTTTAAAGCAACAAGTGATTTACATGACCAGCTCATTCAGTTTCATAATACATAAAATATAATCTTGTTGCTTTTTCTTTGCTGACTCTGAAGGAAGCATTCAAGAAGGAGTTTTTTCTCCAGCTGCATTTGCCTTTGTCCTTAGATTTGGGCCCCTCACTGATGCTGGGACAGACTCCCTGGTGCCCAGGGGAATGAGTGTTACTGGTGTGTGATTGCTGGTCCAGGGATGGTATCCAGTGTATGTTTATGGTTCAGGGCAAACTCCTTTCCATCCTCAGCTTCCAGACAGGAGCATGAAATCAGTCTTGGACATTATGGTGATGCCATGTACATTTTGAATAATGGTGCTTTATCTGGAATTTTCCTCAACTAAGTGGCTTGCTGTAAGTGTGGAAAAAAATTGACACAGAAGAGTAATTAACCTTGCTCAGTGGACTCCAAATTCTGTTTTCTTAAACTGTTGGGAACTTCTTTGCACTTAATCTTTTAGCTTTGACATCCAAGCATACCTTAGGACATATCAGGTCTCAGTAGTTACCTTTGTTCATCTGGTTTTTGAAAACAAATTTCCTCTCTTCCTTCCGCAAAGGATTATGAAATACCCACAGTGTTGAAAGGCAAAAACAAGGATGAATCAGACAGAACTCTTGTCCTCTAGAACAGAGGCCAGAAAATGACAGCGTGGCAGGGACCAGACCCTGACCACGTCCAACTTACCACCTGTTTTTGTAAATAAAGTTTTATTGTCTTTTGTGCTGTAGTAGCAGAGTTGAGCAGTTGCCGCAGAGACCGTATGGCCCACAAATTCTGAAATATTTACTCTCTGGTCCTTTACAGAAGCCTTTTGCTGACCTCTGATACAGAGAGTTGAGAAAACACAGACCTCCAGACACTCTAAAGTATCCAAGTGCTCTTGGTAAGGCCTGGATCCACTTCCTGGGTGGTTTCGAGGCGGGAGTGTTCTTGCAGACCCTCAGGTGTGTTCATGGCTTGGTGTGCTGGGCCAGCCTCCTTTGGTCTGGACTGCTGAGGGGCTGGGGCACTACGAGGGGCCTGTTCTCACTTCCCTGAGGTTTCAGAGTTGCAGTTGGGTGCCCAAGCCCAGCCAACCGGGAAGTAGTGCTGTATTTTCCTTTGTCTCTGTTTATTCTGCTGTGACTCCTCTACACATTGCACTGGAGGTGGGTAGAATTAGTGGGTGAGTCCCCTAATCCCAGCATTGTTACTAATAAGTGTTGAAGCATAGGTAGAGATTGGACATGCTGAGGAAAAGGTGGGGGTGGGGTTGAGGTAGGGGTGAAGGCAGGCGTTGTGGGGACAGACAGGGACCCCCCTCTCCAGCAAGTAATCCTAGCTAAGCACAGACAAAACCCGGTTCCGGAGTGCTGAAGTGGGGAATTCCTTGGGTTTGGTCAACAGGAGAGGTGGAGCATTAGTGTTTTTTGGACTTTTTCATTCTACTGTGAATTTATTTGCCTCTAACATCTGTGTTCACGGTTTTGAAATATTAGGTTGGTGCAAAAGTAATTGCAGTTTTTGCTGTTTTTATGGCAAAAACTGCAATTACTTTTGCACCAGCCTAATATTAGGATTAGGGCTTTCTCTCCTTTCAGTTTCTGAATCCTGAGGCTGTTTAATTTTTTTTTTTTTAATTAGTGAAGACATCATCTCTCAGCTTTATTTAATTCCACCTCCTGGAAGGTTCGTTTGCCCTTGGAGGACTGTAGGAGTTTGGAGAGTCCTGACTTTTTCTGCAGTAGCCACACCAGGCATTCCCGTGTTCCCCAGCCTACAACACATACCAGGCAGGTAACAGCAGTAGCAATCGTGAATAGGGCTCAGCTCCTGGTTAGTTTCAGCCATCCCTGCCTCTACAAGATGCATCAAAGGGAGGGGGTTTCCCTCTTTCCTTCTAGGTGCGTTTTGGTCCTGAACTTTATGCCAAAGTCTGGGCTCTTGTACTGAGAAGCTATTGTGACCTGGCTGCCTGAGGAAATCACTTTTGTGTACCCCCATCTGGGACTTCCTTGGATGGTTCTTTCTGTGGGTCAGGAAAGACAGATTTCTTCTAGAATGGAACACACAGTCAGGAAAGAGCATGAGCTCCAGGGCAGAGGCCCCCGGACCCAGACTCTTAGAGCTTCTCTGGCTGTGTGGCTGGGGCAAATGAGTTATTCTTCTGAGCCTCAGTCTTCCCCTTTATAAAATGGGGCCAGTACCCACTACCCAATATTGGGATTATGAAGGTGAAGGCGTAGTGCGGTGAGAGGCAGCAGGGTGGTCAGGAGCGAGAGCTCTAGGGCCGGGGTTGGATGTTCCGGGGTTTCAATTCCAGCTCCACCACTTGCTGCATGACCTTGAGAGTTACTTAAGGTCACTGCGCTCAGTGTTTTTCTGTAGAGCAGGGATACCCTCCCTCCTTCCTGATGACCTTAGCATCTGCCTCCACCTTCCCATCTTCTCTGTGCTTCATCTGCTGAGCTCCTTGCAGATTTGGAGGTAAAATTACCTTATTAATCTTTCTTTTGTAAATACCTCTGTGAAAGAAGGAGATTGTGCATTTACTCATCTTTTCATTATTATGGTAATAGCTTTCAACTTGTAACTAATTAACATTGCTCCTTCCCAACCTGGACTTTATTATGAGAAACCAGGAAGGAGTCCAGAAGCAGATGCACAGTGGGTGGGAGTCCCTGTGCGGATGACAGGGCAGTTTGGTGTGGCAGCTTCTGAAGGTGTGAGCTCCCAAATGCCTTCACTTATGGGTCCTGGTGGTGGAGAGGGTTGTTTCCATTCCCCTACAGGCTGGGACTCAAGTGGGGCTGTCCATCTCTCAACAGGAGGTGGGCAGGTGCAACTGAACACACGAAGGGAGGAAGCTGCCAGGGAGAGAGGTATTAAAGCCACACCTTGAGACCATCAGGAGAGAGACCCAGAGAGGAAGGCTCAAGGGGTCCTAAGTCTTGTCTTCACATCTACTGACATGTGGCCCTGGACTTGTTCTTTAGGTCCCCAAAGAGGGATCCAAGAGAAATGGGCAGTGGCCACAAAAAGGCAAATTTGGATACAACGTAAAAGATGTATCCAAAAAAGTCCTCTATTGTGACATTTGTAGGTATCAAAATAGAGTTGTCTTCTTTGGGAGGTCTCAGGTACCGCACACACCACACAGACACACACACTGCTAGAGACATTCAAATTAATTCAAGTTTAAGGACACAATGGCTTGGCATAAATTTTATAGATGGAAATTTGGACCAGAGAACCGCCAAGACCTCTGCAATTCTGTATCGCACATCATGCGTTTATATCTGGGAGGTGTCTGGAAAGGGAGCTGGACATCTAGCTGCTGCTATTTTGCTTTTACTTATTAGTATTGTTGTGAAATAAAGGCTTCACTTTTTACGGGCAGGCTAATGTAGGCCATTCTTCTGAACCAAGAAGACTTGAAAATGTAGGAGGGAAGGGGAGGATATGCAGTAATGACATGCACAGATCTGCTTTGATCTCAGGCCTGACGCTCTGCGGGGGGCTAAGATAAGAGATTCCAATTCCCCTGTGGACTCTTCTGGAACTACAGAGGCATTAGCTTTCCTCTGTTTATCAAGTGAACATAAACAGGTACAAAAATGGTTTCCCTTCTCCCTTCTGGATTAATTATATATATTTCCCCCCTCAGATTAATTAGGTTTATTTGCCACTGTTTTTTTTTTTTTTTTTTAATGAAAAGATTTGGGACAGTGGGTGAGGGGCATAGAGAAAATTTAGATAATCACCGAGGCTCTTTTGCTCCCCCAGGACCTCAAAGCAGCCCTTATCAGCACTATTCAATAGAATTTTGTGCAATGGTGGAAATATTCTTAGACCTGACCTACTCAATATGTTACCCACTATAGCCACTGGCCACATGTGACCACTGAGCACTTGAAATGTAGACAGTGCACCTGAGGAACTGATGTTTAAATTTTGTTTCACTCTGTGTTGATGCAGGTCCAGGAAGAAAGAACAAAATTCTGGATCAGCTGCATACATGTTATGTGCCTCAGACAAGGGACTCAGGTTTCTGTGCTTTAGTTTTCTTAAGTGTAAAATGGGAGTGATAATGGGGTGGTATGGGTGATAGTGCCTGGTACTCATAGTCATGCGTGGTGCCTGTGATGATTTCTGGCCGTTCTGCCCCAAATCTCAGGTCACCTATTGCCCAGTCTTCACTGAGCTCCCTTCCAAGCCAAGTTCTGCCTTGACTGGGGCAGGGAAGAAGGTCATGGAGAGGCTTTGTGGTTGGGGAGTACAGTTACCTAATGCAGAAACCCCTGAGCAGCAGGATTTCAAAGTACTGATCAGACTCAGACCCCAGGTGTTTTTGAGAACCCATGAAAGGGCATTGGAGGTCTTCCTCTTCAGAGACAGTCCCTTATATTGTCCTTTTGGTTGGTCTTCCCTGTGGTGTGGCCCCTGTATAGAGATATTCATACCTTTTGAAGATAAATACCAAAATGTATGGGGAGAATGTAGGCTCTGAGTCAGACACTGCTAAAGTTAAATTTCAGTCTGATTCCATGGTCACTTGGGCAGATAATGTAACCTCACTGAACCTCCATGTTCTTGTCTGTAAAAATAGAACGTACTGGAAAGTGTTGTGCCAGTGTCTTAGTCCCTTCAGCATTCTATAACGAAATACCTTAGACTGGGTAATTTTTAAGCAATGCAATTGTATTGCTTACAGTTCTGGAGGCTGGGAAATCCAAGATCAAGGTTCCAGCAGATTCAGTATCTGGTGAGGGCTTGCTCTCTGCCTCAAAGATGTTGCCTTGTTGCTGTGTCTTCACTTGGTGGAAGGCAAGTTGTTGTTCCGTGTGAGGGTGTGTAGTGGATGCCAACAGCTGCCTCTAAGATTCTGATTCCCTGTTCAGCACCCAGGCACTCACTGCCCCAGCTGCTAAGAGTGTGTACTGCCACCGACAGCTTAGCAGAATCTTGTCCTGGTAACGTCCTTCTGTGGAAAGGAGGTCCCTTGCCCAAGATTACACCTCTTTCCTGGGGGTAACCCATATCCAAAGCCTGGTTGATGTGAGAGTATGAGGGTCTGATACTCTTGCCTCAGTTCAAGACAACTCTGATGGGCCATCCAAAGTTTAGAGCTCCCTAGGTGATCAGCCATGGACTATGTTGCAACTGCATCACAGCTGGACTTCTTCCTCTGCTCCATCCTGCATCCTTCACTCCTTTCCAGGTGATGGTCTCAGGAGCTCTCCTCAGTAAACCTCCTTCTTGCATCTCATCTCCTTTTCAGAGTCTGTTGCTTAGGGAAGCTGATCTAAGGTGGGTTTGTGCTTTTCCCTTTCTCCACTGGAGATTTGCTGTTCTAAATGTTGTAATCTCATGTTACCCAGAGTGAACTCCATTTTTTGTGATTCCCAAACCCAGCCACATCCCTTGCTCCACACCACCTCCTGTGGCAGGAAGACCACCTCATTCCCCTGCTTTAGATGTCTCCATTTGTTCCTCCATAACCCCCAAGGCTAAGTCAAACCTCCTTGGAATGGCCTTTCGGTATTCTCAACCTGATTCCAGTGGAATTATCTGAAATCATTTTATCTAACTCTTCATCTGTCCATCCTAAGTTCCATCCTCACTGAACAACAGAGGTATATTCACAACATGGCTTATGCCATTTTTTTTTTTTTTTGTTCTGAAATGCCCTTTCCCCCTTTTGGGCTACTGGAATGCCATTTTCTTTCTTCCTTGCCAACCAAACCCCTGATCTTTTTCTTAAAGTTAGCCCCAATATCAAAGTCATTCAATCAACCTTATTTATTTTTGGAGCATCATATATGACGGGTATTTCTATGAAGCCCTCCACAACTCCTGATAGAGAAGACAGAGCAATGGCTTCCTTCAAGCTGCTGATGCATCTTGTTGTAAAACTTGCCACAATGTATCAAAATGTATTTGTGCAACATCTGGGTCTTCCCATTAGGTATGTCTTTTATTTGCATTCCCTGCCCAATCCAGTACCTGTCACATAGTAGGTGCTCAATTTATAAAGCATTCTCAATTTTTAGTAGGTGCTTAATTAGTGGAAGAAAAAAAGAGAAAAAGGAAGAAGATATTTTAGTTAGGATAGGCTAGATTATGCTTCAATAATAAATAACCTCTGAAAATAAATGTTCCCCATTCAGTAAACTACAACCACAAAAGTTCATTTTTCATCTATGCTGCATATCAGGTTGGCTGTGGCCATACCTTACATGGCCTCTAATCTGGTACTTAGGCTGATACAACAGCCTCTATCTCGGAAATAGGTGGTCTGTGGAACAGAGCAAAAACTGACAGAAAACTATGAGCTGGATTTTAAACTGGAAATGACACATGACTGTCTGCATTTAATGGACCAAAGCAAATTACGTAGCCACTCTTAAGCTCAGCAAAGTGAGGGTATATGTTCTTCCATTAGGAAGGATGCCAGAAATCATAAGGCCAAGCCTTTGACCACAGGGTCTGGGATATATAATCTTCCTCCAAGGAGAAACACTCCAAATTACATGGCTAAGACTAATATCAATGGCAGGGGCAGATAGAAAACTTGGTCAGTAGTATTTTGAACAATAATACAAATTACCGTAGACTGTACGGCCATATACAAGTGATACCCCGATCTAACTGCCCTGGAGTCTTTTGGAGCCAGTTTGCAGGATGCATGGCCATTGAAGGTAGGAGAATGAAGTGCTACGTGATACATCTGATTTGTTTCTGGAAGCTGCCATTTGTGGCGTGATGCCATATTCTCTGCTGCCGAAGTTGGTGATGAAAGCCGAAGCACTTCCAATCACAATTGCTTGTTGGTGGGTGGCCTGTGTGCATGACTTAACTGTATCTCACAAGCAGCCAGTAGACTATGGCAATACTTGATGGACAGCTGTTCCGTGTAATTTGGGGGCTTGTGACTTGTTCAGAGCTGTCAGGGCCAGACAGTGTGACTACTGTACCATCATGGCTTTGAAAAATGCCCTTTTAAAGATTTGTTCCAATCATTCACAAGGTGGAATAAATTGTGGAAAGAACAGAAAATCCTAGTGACAAGATAGATCTCATGGTTAGGAGAGGAAATTCAAAGCTTGTACCTCTGGGCAGGCAGCTGAGAGGAGGTAGATGGATGACTGCCCACTCTCCTCTTTTCCTGCCCTGACTTGAAGATGCACAGCCTTCTTTCTGGGTGATGGACTCCAAGGGGTGATGCATAAAGAATTGACTCTGAGAAGCCTGACTCTGTTTCTTCCTGACCCGTGTCTGTAGACTGTCCCATTCCATCGCTGCCTCCCTGTTGTTCCATTTCACTTATTCCCTCTAGCCGTGGCCCTGATTTCAGTTCTCCTCTTGGTCTCAGATTTGGCATTTACTGGAGGTTTTCTCAACTTAGCTCTTGCTGCTCCTAGGCGTTTGGATCAGATTTGATTCACTCTGTCTTCAGCCCCTAGGGATCTGTACCTTGCCTTAGGCTATCGGATGCCCAGGACAAAGGAAGTAGCACTTAGCAGCTCTGTTGGTGGCCCAGAACCCCTGGATGGCATTTTACTTCTAGAGATGCTTTGTGACCTCTGCTTGTCTCCCTGAAATAGCAGAACCCTGGGGAGAAGACCAAAGTGCTTATGTCATTTTAAAAGGGGATCTACTTTGTAGTAGCATTCAGTTCCCTAAGATGAGGATAAACCAGGGGTAAGGATAGTGCAGGATATTGGAGGCTTCTAGAACTAGGTCGAGGAAGAGAGAGTATTTTACCTGTGACACTTCAGGGAAGTTGGGAGGTGGGAGGGGAACCAAGTTTGTTACTAGGAAAATATTGCTATGCATCAAGTTCAAAGGGCAAAGCAAGGACAAAAGGGACACTCCAAGTAGGTGTGCTTGTGTCTTGCAGTATCTGGAAGAGCCTCTCTCCATGTCTTGCAGTATCTGGAAGGGCCTCTCTCCATATGTTGGAGAGCAGCTCGTAACTGAGTCCATGCAGGAGACAATAGGGCATGCCCTCTGTTCTCCATTAGGCTAAATGGGTGGTATAAGAACAAGTATGATAATTTAAAGGACTTAGCAGTGACTCGTCTGCCTTATGATTTGATATTCTTCCTGTCCTTTTATGTTTCATTAAAAACAAAGACCTTACTTCGGAAAATTCTGGCCTGTATCAGGGAAGGGTCTTTCGCTTCAACAGAGAAATAAGTGTTTCTTAGGGTGACGGGCAGTGCTGGGATGGAAATGCTGATGGGGCTGCATGTCATTCTTTGGAAGCTCAGAAAGGGAGCAGAACTGGCTCTGAGATTTATTCCAGAAGGTATCTTGTCACTCATCTCTTGACCAGAAATTGGCAACTTCAATGCTGTCGGTGCTGTGTAGGTAATAGAAGTGAGTTACACATGTAGGTAGTGTATTCATTTATGAGGGGCTGCCATAACAAATTACCATACCCTGAGTGTCCTAAACAACAGAAATGTATTTTCTCACAGTTCTGGGGGCTAGAGAAGTTGAAGATTGAGGTGCTGGCAGGTTTGTTTTCTCCTGAGGCCTCTCTCCTTGGCTTGCAGATGGCCAACTTCTGTGTCCTCACGTGGTCTTTCTTCTGTGCCACACGTCCCTGCTGTCTCTCTCTCTGTCCAAATTTCTTCTTCTCATAAGGACACCAGTCAGATTGAATTAAAGCCCACCCTGTCTAATTTTTTTTTTTTTTGAGGTGGAGTCTTGCCCTGTTGCCTAGGCTGGAGTGTAGTGGCACGATCTTGGCTCACTGCAACCTCCACCTCCTGGGTTCAAACGATTCTCCTGCCTCAGCCTCCCAAGTAGCTGGGATTATGGGCACCCGCCACCATACCCAGCTAATTTTTGTATTTTTAATAGAGACAGGGTTTCACCATGTTGGCCAGGCTGGTCTCAAACTCCTGACCTCATGATCTGCCCACCTCTGCCTCCCAAAGTGCTGGGATTACAGGCGTGAATCACCGTGCCTGGCTGTAACTGTCTAATTTAATCAGCTCTTTAAAGACCTTCTCTGCAACAGCTTGGAGGTTCCTTAAAAACTAAAACTAGAGCTACCATATGATCTAGCGATCCCACTGCTAGGTATTTACCCAAAAGAAAGGAACTCAGTATATTGAAGAGATATCTGCACTCTCATGTTTATTGAAGCACTATTCACAATAGCCAAGATTTGGAAGCAACTGAGTGTCCATCAACAGATGAATGGAAAAAGAAATTGTGGTACATATACACAATGGAGTACTGTTCAGCCATAAAAAAGAATGAGATACCATCATTTGCAACAGTATGGATGGAACTGGAGGTCATTATGTTCAGTAAAATAGCCCAGAGACAGAAAGACCAACTTCACATGCTCTCACTTATTTTTGGGAGCTAAAAATTAAAACAATAGAGAACAGAAAGATGGTTACCAGAAGCTGGGAAGGGAAGTGAGGGTGTGGAAGGGGTTGGGGATGATTAATGGGCACAAAAAATAGAATGAATAAGACCTACTATGTGATAGTACAACAGGGTGACTACAGCCAATAATTTAATTTTATATTTAAAATAACTAAGAGAATATAATTGGATTCTTTGTAACACAAAGGCTAAATGCTTGAGGCAGTAGATACCCCACTTAAGATTATGATTATTATGGTTATTATCATTGTTATGCATTGCATGCCTGTATCAATATATCTCATGTACCCCAGAAATACATACACCTACTACGCACTCTCAAAAATTAAAAATTAGAAAAATTCTATCTCTAGGCTGGGCTTCGGTGGCTAACACTTGTAATCCCAGCACTTTGCGAGGCCGAGGCAGGCAGACAACGAGGTCAGGAGTTTGAGACCAGCCTGGCCAATATGGTAAAATCCTGTCTCTACTAAAAATGCAAAAATTAGCTGGGTGTGGTGGTGCGCATCTGTAATCCCAGCTACTTGGGAGGCTGAGGTAGGAGAATTGCTTGAATCTGGGAGGCGGAGGTTGCAGTGAGCTGAGGTCGCACCACTGCACTCCAGCCTGGGTGACAGAGTAAGACTCCGTCTCAGAGAAAAAACAAAACAAAACAATAATGTCTCTAAATATAGTGTCATCCTGAGGCACTAGGGGGATAAGGATTTAGCATATGAATTTTGGAGGGGGGGCCACAATTCATCCCAGAACAGTTAGGCAGGACATAACTGCACTAAAGACCTAAACATCCAAGTGAATGATGCCTCCTCTTCCAGTCAGACACCTGCTGTGTGCATTATTCCACCTGTTGGCATCCTTCCTAGAAGGATGGTGTAGCATCTTCCTAAGCAAGGGTGCCAGAGAGGTGACAAGTCTGAGATCCAAGTCAAAGGATGAAATACTGAAGCTCTGGGGATGGATCACCTCACAGAAGATTAGGGTGGACATGACAGTTACCAATAGAATTTGAATTCTGCCAGAAGAAAATTTTTTGTGTGTGTTCCTGAGAGATATTCCAGGACTAATAGGTGACAAGTCCTGGGAAGCAAAGTTTAACTCAACCTAAGACAGGAACCTTTGAATGATTAGAGATCTCTAAAAATACTGTGAATTATTCTGAAAGGTAGGAAACTCTGGGGCACAGGATGCATTGGCAAGAGGCTACAGAACCCTGAGTGATGATTTTTTCCAGGAGATTCCTGCTTTACCCAGGAAATTAGGCTAGATGTTGAGAACGTGTCCTCCAACTCCAACCCTCAGGGTCCTTCCATTTATAAGTGCTTTGTAAACTGTTAAGTACCACACAAGCCAAAGTGCTGCTAATGCTTTTACCATCAGTGTAAAAGGATGGACTGCGTTCTGGAAGTTGGTTTCCCTGACTTACTGAACTTTTGTGATACTGTTGTATTTTCCACATTGAAATTGCCTTCACATAGTCATTAGGAGACCTTGTGTGTATGTGTTTGTGCATACACAGCTGTGCACAAGCCAAGTAAAACTTATCTCTAATACTTCTTTTAATCATTAAACATTTGTAAGGTATCTAGTTAGTATCAGGCATGGTGAGCTAAAGATATATTCCACAGGAGGCTCATTGTCTATTGGGAGAACAGGTTATCCTGTAAGTGGATACAGACACCAACAAAGCTTCTGGGACCACAGAAAGGCCATGGCTGTGTTTCTGTCAGTCAAGGAAGGTGTTGGAAAGATGGTAGTGTATGAATGATCTTTTGAGATGTTTAAAATTTTCAGGATGGCAAAGAAGAGCCAGGGAACAGCATGGTCAAGAGACCAGGAAGTCTATGGTACATTTTGGGTACCCAAAGCAGCCCAGTGAGGCTACAGAGTTGGTTCTCCCAGGGGTGGGCTGGGCATGGAAGCTGGAGCCATTGGCAGCTGTGAGGTTGTGATGAGCCTAGCATGTGTTGGCCTGAGAAATGGCATTGGGGATGATCTTGGAAGAGTCTCATTGCCAGCTCTTGGGATCTAACACTGGACATTGGGCAGGCCCAATGGAATAGTGGCCAAGCCAGCATTTCTACTCAAGTCAATACTTTTATTAATACCATTTCATGTAAGCATTTTAAGTTGCATATTCAATTCACATGGGAATGTTTGTGAGGCTTTTTTTTTTTTTTTTGAGATGGAGTCTTGCTGTGTTGCCCAGGCTGGAGTAAAGTGGTGTGATCTTGGCCCACTGCAACCTCCACCTCCCAGGTTCAAGCAATTCTCCTGCCTCAGTTTCCAGAGTAGTTGGGATTATAGGAGCGTGCCACCATGCCTGGCTAATTTTTTGTATTTTTAGTAGAGACAGGGTTTCACCATGCTGGCCAGGCTGGTCTCTAACTCCTGACCTCATGATCTACCAGCCTTGGAGCCATTTTTTTTTACCCCCTCTTGCATTAGTAGTAACACTGATACTAATATTAAATTCTAATTCTGCCTTGGTTTTGTGTCAACTACTGTGATGAACAATATCCATGCACTCATTTACTCCTCACAACAACCCTATAAGGTGGGCACTAGTATTGCTCCATTATGCAGAGGAAGCCACCCTCAGAGAGGTTGAGTAGCTTGCCCATATTCTCAGAGCCAGTCTGTGGTGGAGCAGGGGTTTGTTTTGCACCCAGGCACTGTGCCTTGGATACGGTGCTCATACTCACTGTGCTCATTCCCCAGCTCCCCGTGTTGGGCTGCTGCAAAGACTGTGGGGAGCCTGCTGTCCTCAGAGACACATCCACTGACAGGCAGCAGAGCCAAGATGCCAGGCAATTCAGGGGCATTAGGCATCCCTGGGAATAAATAATGAAAGCACACAAAGCTATATTTACCAGGATGTTTGTCTCGGGGGAACCTCAGTGTGGGGGCCAGAGGCACTTTGATGAGACATCTGGGGTAAAGGGTGAGGCCAAGGGGTGATCTCCAATAACAAGACATAGCCTCTAAAGCTACCTTTTATGGGGAGAGGTTAGGGCAGCTACAGGGCTTCGTTGAGGGAGAGATGCAGAATTGGGCCAGAGCTGAACTGTGCTGGAGATGAGAGGAGAAGCAGCCGTGGCTTCTAGGCCCTTGCTCAGGCAGCTCTCTGCCTCTTCTCTAAACATTGAACAGATATTTAAGGAACATTAGTGTGAGGAGATGCCAAGTAACCAGCCGGCCTCAGGTCCCACCTGTCTCAGTTCCACTCAGGAAGGGAAGCAACATGATTGGAAATTAACATGGACTTTCTGCAGGCTTGTGTGAGCAGGAAATCTTGGCAGCATGGGCCACCTATTTGGCCTCAGAGGGGAGCATCTTTTGTTGTGCCTGTCAGAGGGGATGAGCACTTGGTTTACCCTCATATGAAGCTGACACTTATGACCTGCACACAGCCAGTGCCAGAACAGCATGAGCATGCAGTTGACAAATGTTGAGGAGGATGCTTCAGGTCACACACAGTCATTATGCAAAATAGGTCAAAGTTTTTCAAGTCACAGAGGCTGAGCAATCTACCTTGTTTGGGGAGTGGGCTCACTTCAGAGGTGTAGGGCCATTTTCTGTTATGGCTGGGTCTGGTCCTGCAGACTCGATGTTACACACATCTCTATAATCATCAAGCACAGATTCATACTTCTGGTCCTTCATATTTCTTAGGATAAAGAAGCTCTTAACATCAAGATCAATGTATATATCTTTTCTCCTTCTTTCAGAAGAGATAGGCTGGTAGGCTGGAGGGACCTGCCCTTGCTATGAGGGCCTTTGCCCCTGGAACCATTTTGCCTTGGCTGGGCACTCTTAGTGTCCTCAGGCATCTGGGAGTTACAATTACATCCCTTTAAATATCCCTTTAAATCCCTGCAGGTCTGGAGTAACCATGTTGCCAACTCTTCAATATCAGGCTCTAGCAAGGTGGAAGACAAAGTCTGCAGCTGCTGAAGGCTGCCTGGCATCTCACCCTCCCACACAGCCTTGTGTGTTCTTATGCTTTTTTACCCAGCTGTTACATCCTCCTCATTTGGCCACATATTCTATTTTTGCTTCTAGCTTTCACTCCGCCTCCTGATGGGATCAGATAACTCCTCCCCTGCCATAATGCAGGTCCTCTCTGCCTGTTCTGGGAGAGACTCTCCTCTTCCCAGCATGCTCAGCTCTTGGAATCAGCCCCCTCTCCAGACATAGGATAAGCAATTTGACCTACTCTTTTACTTCTTAGGTTACTGGTGTACCATCACCTTAGATGATCTTTGGACCTCAGTTAAAAAGGAAATAGAATCATGTAAGGCCTATTAATACTTAATGTTATTAGTTTCTACTCAGTATCTAGCTCTCTGGAGGGCAAAGATGAGACTGGAAAAGCCACAGGTGTCTATGGTGCAAGGATAATTTGCCTTCCTTGTGTTGGTGGACTTTTGAGAGTCTCCTCTAGTGCAACAATTGGGCCCATTGCCAGCAATCCAGGGCGTTCTAATCTTATGTGCCACCCATTCCACCATCAGTGCACTGAAGAATTCACCAAGTTTATCCCCATTGATTATCTGGTCAGACAGACTCTGCTAGTTGCTTACCCAATATGCATTCTTCGCATACCCTCACTAGAAAATTCTGACTATTTTGGAAAATGTGTCTAGCTTCAAAGCTGCATTTCCCAGCCTTCTTTGCAGAATGAGTGACCACACGATGGAGTTCTGGCCAGTGAGGTGGAAGAGAAAGCTGTGGGTGGGGCTTCCAAGAAAGATCCTTAAAAGGGAAGCCAACTCAGTAGCTCATACCTCTTTTGTCCTTTTCCCTGCTCTTCTGTCCTGGCTGGAACAGGGATACCATGCTAAAGGTGGAGAGTCATCTGTGACAACAGGGACACTATGTGGATAGAGAATTGCAGAGTTCTCAGCCTGACAACCATACACCCTTGACTCAATGCCTGTAGCCTTTTTTTTTTTTTTCCTGTATCTCCCATTATGTGAGAAAAATAAAACCCTAATTCATTCAGGTCAGGTTAATTTAATTTGGTTTCTGTTACAGTTGAGTGCAGGTGTTAATATTTACACCTAGTAACAATGCTTCAGTGATCTGAATACCTTAACTGTCTGTATCTCTTCTGTTAGGGCTAGGTTGGAAAGGACTCTGGCCAAGATTAACTAGGGCCCCTGAGACACCCCAGCCCAGCCCCCATTCAGCCATCTCACATCTGGGGCCCAGGCAGAACAGACCAGGGAACTTGCCCACCTGTCCCTGGTCCTCTGCTTGTCTGGAAGTATGACCTACCCCATCCAACTGAGTTCACGTCCACTGTTGGTTTCCAAGGTGGGTGGGCTCCAGTGTGGACTCTGGGCAAAAATTATCAGGTTCTTGCCTTTGAGAGGTGGTCCTAACCTGAGGGAAAAGACCAGAACTTTTTATAGCGACAGGCTCAGCTATTACAGTTGCAGTTCCTCAACAAATTGAGGTAACATGTGTTTAGGAAATGCCTTCTGTAGGGCCTCTCTCTGTAGTCTCTCAAATCAGGACTTTGCAAAGATGGGGTTTGTATGAGAGGAGCATTTTCTCTGTCAGCTTACCTTATCAGGTCTCACCATCATCTCCTTTGAGTAGGTATTAACTCTGTATTCTTAATTTCTTTATTTAATTGTTGATTTTTTAGGGAGGATACACATGATAATTTAATATATCCATCTTGGATATTCTTGATTTTAATAGTACCCTGGGTAAGCAGTTTCTGTGTAGTATCTTTGAATCTGGTTTGGTCAGTTGGCATGGAGTGTCTCCAGTCATCTTCAGGGCTTGGGTTGAAATGGACGTGAGCTTTATTGTACAACAGACCTGGGTTCCAATCCTGGCTCTAAGCAGGTGCCTAAAGTTCTTCAGTAAAATAGGCAGCAGCAGCAGCATCATCCTTAATAGGATCTTTCTGACAATGGGAAAGATAGAGCTTATAAAACACAAAATATGAAGCATTGATTACATAAAAGGCAGTGCCTCCTCTAGCTTTGCTTCAGAATATGTCATGGGGCCTTGAAAACCTCAAAACATAAATAAGTTTAATTACAAATAAATGCATGTCACGTGTGCATGGGAGCGGTATCTCAGATTCCCAGCATGCTTAGGGCAGGCCGCTCTCACTGATCAGATAGGGTGGTGGGGCATGGCAGGGTTGGGGTGGAAAGGGTGCTTTCCATTTGCAAAACTGTTCTATTTTAAATCACGTCTGCCAACTTTTTAATTATGGGAATATTCTTAAGATTTCAGAAGTAACAGGCACTCATTGTACAAATGTAAACAGTAGGGTGATGTTTGAAGAGTGAGTATTCCATTGTCCCTCCCTTTCCCTGATGCATGCACTGTTGCCGTCTGTGCCTCTAGGTCTGTTTCCCTACGTATAAATACACAGGCACACATAAACATGTATTCTTAAAAGGGATCATAATATCTATGTATTTTGTTCTACATTTTTTTCTTTTGAATATTGTTTTAGTCTGGGCTATCCAAAAAGAACCAAATATATATATAACATAAATATATATATATATATTACATAATTAAATATCATATATAATTACATATTACTTATATATGTAATTATATAGAGACAAACACACATGCACATATGTACACACACATGCATATGTATATATATATATATATACACACACACACACACACATACACACTCACATATATATAGAAAGAGAGGGAGAGGAGAGGGGATTTGTTAGGGGAATTCACTCACTCAATTATGGAGGCTGAGAGCAAGCTGGAGACCCAGGGATTGGTCCACGTCTGAAGGCCTCAGAACCAAAGAAGCCGAGGGTGTTACTATCAATCTGTCAATCTGAGACCAAAGTTTTGAGAGCCCAGAGGGTTGCTGGAGTGATCCTAGAGTCCAAAGGCTAGAGAACCTGAAATTCTCATGTTCAAGGGCAGGAGAAGAAACGCTCCTGGCTCTGGGAGACCCAGAGACGTCACTCTTCCTCCAGCTTTTTATTCCATCTGGGCCCTCAGCTGATTGGATGGTGCTGCCTGCATTGAGGGTGGATCTTTGCCACTCAGTCCATGGACTCACACATCAGTCTCTCCTGGAAATATTCTCACAGACACAGCTGGGGCAGTCCAATTATTCTTTTTTTTTTTTTTTTTTTGAGACGGTGTCTCGCTCTGTTGCCAGGCTGGAGTGCAGTGGTGTGATCTCAGCTCACTGCAATCTCCGCCTCCCAGGTTCAAGTGAATCTCCTGCCTCAGCCTCCCAAGTAGCTGGGATTACAGACATGCACCACCACACCCAGCTAATTTTTGTATTTTTAATAGAGATGGGGTTTCACCATGTTGGCCAGGATGGTGTCAATCTCCTGACCTCGTGATCTGCCCGCCTTGACCTCCCAAAGTGCTGGGATTACTGGTGTGAGCCACTGTGCCCGGCCACAGCCCAATTATTCTAATCAAATGCCAAACCACCTTGGCTTCCCTTTTAGCAGAAATGGGATGGGTTTTGTGCCTACTGAAACACTGAGAATAATTAATGTTTTACCAGCGATCTGAGTATCCCTTAATCCAGTCAAGTTGACATCCCAAATCAACCATCACAATGATCTTTCTACAATAGCTCATATAGGTTTACTTCACTCCTTTTATTGAGTGTATTGTATTCTATTACCTAGATATAGTATAATTTACTCAGTACTATTGTAGGGCATTTAGGATATTTCAAATATTTTGCTTTTTTTCAAACAATGTTGTGATAAACGTGCATGTGATATATGTATTTCAGTAAGATAAATTTTGAAGAGTGAAATGAATGGATCAGCAGGAATGTGCATTTGAAGTTTTAATAAATATTGTCACATTTCCCAATAGAGGGCTGTAACAATATCCATTCTCCCTAATCCTGTAAAAGTTTTCCACTCCTTAAACTCTTGATGATAGTGAATATTTAAGCTTTGCTAACTTCAAATGTGAAAAAAAGGTGTATCAGTTTAACTTGAAGTTTTGAATCCATGAGTTTTGTTTGCGTTGTTTTTCTTGTTTATTTGCTTTGGTTGAGTGCTTTCCATAAATTACCTGTTCAAATCTTTTGTTCATATTTTCTGTTGAGTTATTTGACTTTTTGGTTGGTTGATAAGCACACTTCACATTTTAAGGATATTAACCTTTTATCATATAGACTGAAGATTCCCACCCCCCGCCATTTTACATTTGCCTTTCAATCTTGTTTACGATGTCTTTTGCAATTCGAAAACTCTCAATTTTAAAAAATGCAATCAGTCAACCTTTTCTTGTATGATTTTATGTCACCCTCAAAATAGTCTTTTCATCCTTCAGATCATGGGATACAGTCCTGTATTTCTTCTTAGATGTTTTATGTTTTTCTTTTTGCATTTAATTACTTAATCCATTTGTAATTTATTCTGAGTTTGGTGTAATCTGGAGAATGTAATATTTTTTTCAAATCATTTAGCCAACTCTGAACGTTGTTTTCCAAAAAATGAACACAGAGTTATTGGGTTGCTTGGCCTTTATTTCTTATTCCTCTGGGTTTGTGAGAAGTTTGTTCTTAAATAGATAACATGGTAAAGGAAAGGGCCCTGGGCTGGTTCTTCAGACCTTTTGGACCCTTAGATGTTCTAAGTTTGAATCAAGCTGTGAGCCCGTGGGCAAATCCCTCAACCTCTCTGAACTGCAGTTCCTTCAGTTGCAGAATAGGAAAAATCATACCTAGGGTTAAGTTAAACAGAGAGTATGATATCCCCGACACATCCAGGCACGTTAGGCAGATACCACCTGTGACACTTCTCTAGTTGCTGTCCTGAGATGGCCACATGGAGGGTGAATTGCCCTTTCTAGGGGAATCTGAGCCCTCCCAACTGCAGCACCTCCAGCTCCTGCCAGCAGGCTTGCTCTGCGCACTGCCTCAGTGCCCACTGTCTTCTATCCATGGCGTGTGACTTCAGCATCTGCCAGCTGCCTCCTCCTCTACCTCTGGGACACAGGGCATCTATTGCTCAAGATAGGCTTCACAGGAGCTCTGGCAGATGGTGCAGATTTGGAGGTCTGAGACAGGATGGAATTTGGAGCTTTTCCCTCCCAGTCCAGCTTTCCTGCCAGGAGGAAGCTCGTCTGTCCTTCCTTGTGCTCTTGGCAGTGCTCAGGCTTGACGGGATGGCCACAGGTGCAGGCAAGTGAGGAGAGGTGGGGAGGGTGACAAGGGAGAGAGAGAAAGTCAGTCCCAGGGAGAAGTGGGGACAAACAGATGCAGAGGGGGAAGACAGACAGACATAACAGGGACAAGGTGTGCAAACACACACGGGGCTGGGCAGAGATGGAGAGCAAGACCGAGGTGGGCCGGAGGAGGGAGGGAGATGCGATTGGGCGGAAGCAGAGAAGGAGGGTGAGGGTAAACAGAGAGGAATGAGAGAAGAGACAGGGAAGGAAACGCACAGAAAGGTCACAGGGCCCAAACACAGGCAGCATGCCCCTTTACACAGAATGTAATCATCGAGATCAGTAATATTTTAATGCAATATTTAAAAAAATTAAATGGATGAACTACAGTCTATGGGCCAGCCACCTGTTCTTGTCAATAATGTTTCAGACTAGGAATGGATTAGGTTGGGGCAAGGAGTAGAGTGGTGGACAGATCCTGTCTTTCCTTGTATTTTTGATTCTTTGTTCAACAGGGATTTTTTTTGCATTAATTTTGATTTTTAAAAATATTACATTAAAGTAATATTTGTTTGGATTACTGAGTGTTTTGGCACCTCCTTAAATTTTGTGCCTGGGTCAAGTACCACCCCAACCTCACCCTAGTCCCTGCCCTGAAAGGGAGAAACAGAGATGGGGGAATACCCAGTGAAATCAGGAGAAAGAGAATGAGAGACTGACAGAGAGGGAAGGAGAGAAACATAAAAGGAGATAGGCAGTGAGAGGGCTGGACACGGTGGCTCATGCCTGCAGTCCCAGCACTTTGGGAGGCCGAGGTGGGCGGATCACTTGAAGTCAGAGTTGGAGACCACCCTGGCCAACATAGTGAAATCCTGTCTCTACTAAAAATACAAAAACTAACTGGGTGTGGTGATGCACCTATAGTCCCAGCTACTCGGAAGGCTGAGGCAGGAGGATTACTTGAAGCCAAGAGGGGGAGGTTGCAGTGAGCCGAGATAGAGACAGAATGAGACTCTGCCTCAAAAAAAAAAAAAAAAAAAAAAAAAAAGTGGCCTTAGAGCAGTTAGAGAAATGAGCAGACAGAGAGTCAGAGACAGCAACCGAGACAGAGGCATGGAGAGCTGTGGTAGGGAAAGGAGGGGACGCTGATGCAGGCAGGGAAAGGAAAGGGGAGACCACAGTCCAGGGAGGAAGGATGAGGCGAGACAGCAGAGGGAAGTAACAGAGGGAGAGGGCCAGAGGCAAGGGGAGAGGCTGGTTGGAACAGTGAGAATCTGTTATAAGCCAGAGCCTGATGGCAGAGCAAGGAAGGGTCCTGCTTGGCAGCATGGCCAGCCCACTCTTGGCTCCACAGTGCCCAGGGTCTGGAGGAAACATGGGGAAAAGAGGGGGAGGCTGTGGGTGCAGCTGTCCCAGTGGGGACCTTGCTCCATACCCCCTGTCCCCAAACTCTGAACTCTTGTGTGATCTGTAGACCCCCTTGGACAGGACCTATGAGTGAAGGGGGCAGGGGGCTCTCAGGTCAGATAATCCTCAGGAGAGAACAGGATGCTTTCAGCTTGGGGATGGTCTGGAACCATCTGGGATCCCTAAGGTCAAATTCTGAGAGAGGGGACATGTCGCAATGTGGACGTGGGCTTTTTTTTTTTTTTCTTTTTGAAATACTTAGTGTGTTTTCTTATTCTATGAACCTTTCTGATTGGGGCATAATCCTGCAGGCCTGTTTTCTTATCTTATGTTTATATCTGCAAAGGAATCTGCTGACAGGTGTAACTTATATGAATTGCAAAGCTAGGGAGGTTGCATTGGCTGTCCCCATTTACAGTGAGGACACCAGTCTCTGGAAGGGTGCTGTGACTGGTGTGATTTGCCCAGAGTCATTTGTAAGGGGCAGAGCATGGAGTCTAGCCCAGGATATCTGATTCCACAGTCCCACATCTAACTCTTATTTAGTGCGGGAGGCCTGCCAGGCTTGTATCATGCACCTTATGCTAAGCAAAGCAAGCCAGAGGGCACATGTGTGTGTATGTTCATGCCCATCCCAATATCCATCCCCGTTCCCAAGTGTCCCCTTTGGGATCTTTTTGATTTTTCTCTTAACTTTCCTGCATACATGGACCATAGGAAATTGGGTGTTGGCTATTCACTGAATTATGATACCCGTAAAATACTTTTGGTCACTCCGTGATTTATTATTGCTCCAAAGAAAAGCACAAAGAATGGAGTTAGCACTTTTGCACACCTACTATGTTCTGTTTTGTAAGTTTGGCCGAAAAGATAGGAATTATCACTTCATTTTGCAGATGTGGAAGGTGAAGCAAGGAGGAGAGAGTACATAACTTGTAGTTGGTGAGAGGCAGGGCTGAGATTTGAACTCTGGTCTATCTGATTCTGAATTCGGAGGCTGGCCTCCCTCTACCTCTCTGTTTTCTAAGATACAAGTGCCTTAGCGTACAAGTTAAAAGAACATGTCTCTTATGACACCCAGCACTCATGTTATAGCATTGTAAATAATGATTAGCCAAAGGAAAGTTTATACAGGGCATAAAAGAGAAGGATTCTATGGTCACAGTGGAGAACGGTTATTGGTCCCTCACTGAACAGGACACAGGAGACTGAAGAGAGATTTGTGTCATTAAAGTCTTAGGTAGACCATGGAAAGTGGTTCTTTTCCTTTAACAGATCTTATGCCCCATACTTTGTGTGGAAATGCTTTAAAATGCTTATCTAGGCCCCCACTTTCACATCCCCTATACTATTTGACATGCAAAGTGTCATATTCAAAAACAAATTAGTCTGAAATGAATCCTCTTTTACCCTTTTTATTTCCAAAATCCAGATTTAGAATTTAGGCTCATTAATATGCACAAACACTGCTCGATTAAGCCTGTTTTAATTTCTCTGTATGCTTTGTAAACAGGGATTACAAAGATGTTTGAATTTTCATGGCAGATTTTGGAGTAGTGTATACCTTTGGGCCATTATCACATAATAAATAAATAACCCCCTGAAACTCAGTGTTGGTGATGCCATCCCCGGAATGCCGATTTTAATTCTCCTCGTCTGGTCATGTGGATATATGGCTGTGGTCTCTGAAGTCACTGGGTGTCTCACTGTGGCTGGAAAATAATGCCCTGTCCCTTGGTACCCATTTTGATGTGCGTGTGGCAGCATTAATGCTGGGGGAATGAAACATCAGCTTGGCTTGTGAAATTGGACTTGAAAAAATACCCCGTTTATTAAATCTTTCACTAAATGGTGACAGTTGCAGGCATTAGTTCCTCATAGTATCTGCCAAATGAGCTGGAAGTGTAGGCTTATCTTGTTATATGCAGATAACAGAGCGACAGACTTGGAGAGGAGGGTTCCAGCCATCAGAGTGAATGGCCAGGAGTCATGTCAGGGAAGTGCCATGTGGTTACCAGGTCCTCAGGGGGAACTCTTTTTCCAAAAATGAGAGAATAGATGTGTTTTTCCCATGATTCAATATGGCACTATGTTTTAATCATTATCTCTCCACCAAGTACTTGACGGAAGGGAATGTATCCAGTTGGTAATGAAAGAATCAGCAATACCTAGTATGTGTTGAGTATTTTCTGTGTGTTAAGACAATAAGTGACCTCGCCTTATTATGTTCAGTATCACATTTAATCCTCACAACAATCCCTTGAGATATTTGCTATTATTCTCCTCATGTCATAGATCAGGAACATAAGTGCTTAAGGAACTTGCCCAAGATCACAAAGCCATTGAAGACTCAAACCCAGTTCTGTCTGCCTGGAGCCCTTTCTTCTAGCTCCCTATGTCTTGCTGCGTTTGTATTGTATCCCCAGGGATAGCACAGTGTAGGGTATCAAAGTAGGTGCTCAGAAATGTCTGCTGAGTGAATTAATGAGTGAACAAGTCAGTAACAGCAGTAGTTCTCCCTTTTCTTCTTCAAGGAGTGCTTATCCTGTGACAGCAAAGTGAATTGCTGTTGTCTCTGTGTATCCCTAGAGGGTCCACAGACTCCAAAAAGGTAGGGTCTCTGGGTAGGGTAGACCACTTCCAGATATGTACCCCCCACTTTCTGTCTTAGCTATTGTACCACCTGTTTGTTCTTTTATTTCCCATGCAAGCAGACTCAAGAATCTGGCTTGTTCATTGTTTTCTGTCTCTTCAGGGTTTAGCACACCCTCTGGGCACAAAAGAGGTGGCAGATTTTATATTTTCTTGGATTGGCTGGTTTGCTGGTTGCTTGTTGTGAATAAAATGCATTGATGGCAGCAGAAATCATTTTGAAGCTCTCGATGCTTTGAGGGACAATTCCATACCCCACACATGGGTCATTTAGGCGAATCCACACTTCGTTAGCTCAGGTTCTGTAGACCAGGCATGTTCAGAGGAGATGAACTCACTTCCAAAAGAATAAAAATGAGTTATTAGAGAGTGAAAAAAATTACAATATTTTAAGTAAAAAACACAGAGATATATATACAGTACATAAGCAGATATACAGTGTACCTGTTAGTGGGTGATTAGGAAAAAAAAATTCATAAAAAGACTCCTTAGGAGGGCAGTAATGAAAACAAGGTTGAGGAACACTGTCCTTCCAACAGAGCCTGAGGCAGGGATTCCTGTGAATGATTTATGGAGGGCTTGCTCTCAGAAGAGCAAGGGAGGCAGGTCAAGCAGGTGAGGGCAAGAAAGTTAACCAAGCCTGTGGGTGAGCCCTGGGGCATGAGATGCACCACAGACTCAGTTCCACCTGGAGGCAAGAGATATTTTGCACCTTCATGGAGGTCCACTGGCCATCCCCATGGTGATGGTGATTAGTCTGTGGGGGAATAACCTCCCGGTGGCTCCTGTGGGCTGCCAAGGAGCCAACTCCCCAGGGCGAGGGTAGAGTGCACCAGCTCACTAAAGGGGAACTGAGCAGACACCAGCAGCATCCTTAATAGCACTGCCCATTCTTCTCATGGCTTTGGAGAAGTCTCCTGATTGCACCCACTAATTATTTTTCCTTGTGGCTAAAATATACATAACAAAACACACCATTTTTAAGTGTGCATTTAAGTGGCATTAAGTACATTCACATTGTTAGGCAACCACCCCCGATATCTATCTCTCAAACTTTTTCATCTTTTGAAGCTGAATCTCTGTGCCCTTTAAACACTAACTCTCCATTCCCCACTCCCCTCAGCCTCTAGTAACCACCATTTTACTTTATGTCTCTGTAAATTTGACTACTCTAGGTACCTCATCTTAAGTGTAATCATACAATATTTGTCCTTTTCTGTCTGGCTTATTTCACTTAGCTCCATGTCTTCAAGGTACATTCATGTTACAGCATGTGTGAGAATTTTGTTGCTTTTTAGGAGTGAAAAATATTCCATCCTGTGTTGTATTAGTCAGGGTTCGCTAGAGGGACAGAATTAATAGGATGGATGTATATATAATGGGGAGTTTATTAAGGAGTATTGACTCACATGGTCACAAGGTGAAGTCCCACAATAGGCCATCTGCAAGCTGAGGAGCAAGGAAGCCAGTCCGAGTCCTAAAACCTCAAAAGTAGGGAAGCCAACAGTGCAGCCTTCAGTCTGTGGCTGAAGGCCTGAGAGCCCCTAGCAAGTCACTGGTGTAAGACCAAAAGTCCAAAAGCTGAAGAACTTGGGGTCTGATGTTCGAGGGCAGGAAGCATCCAGCTCAGGAGAAAGATGAAGGCCGGAAGACTCAGCAAGTCAAGTCCTTCCATCTTCTGCCTGCTTTCTTCCAGTCACATGGCAGCTGATTAGATGGTGCCCACCCGGATTGAGGGTAGGTTTGCCTCTCCCAGTCCACTGACTTATGTTGATCTCCTTTGGCAACACCCTCACAGACACAAGTTGACACTCGGTATTAACCATCACATATGTATAAACCACATTTTTGTTTATCTGTTCATCCATGGGTGGAAATTTGGGTTGATTCCAATTTTGGGCCATCATGAGAAATGCTGCTATGACTGTAAATACCTGCCAGCTTCCTCTCATTTTATGCTCAGATTCATTTCAGTCCAGGTAGGAGCAACAATAAAAGGCTCTGATTCCTTGGAGCATCTTCACTTGAGGCATCGATCTCCACTTCATGTGTATCTTTGATTCTGGAGCATGATGGCTGCAGAAGGGCTGGTGGGTCTTACTTCTGGCCAGGAAAGACTCCTGTTTGGGGGATCATCTTCTTTTGGAGTATTTATTGAAGTTGAGTTGAATTTTTAAATTCCACTGTTAAAAATTACAGGAGGAGACATGTAAGACTGGTGAAGTTTTAGAAGCATTCCCCATTCATATTCAGGAGACAGGACAGACTCTGGCCATTTGTGGCGTGGGCATTTTCTTAGGTGGCCACACTTGACTCTGGCTCCTCTTATTCTCTGTAGCCTGCCTAATGCTTAGTAGAGTTTGTGGGAACATAGGCTCATTCAATGATTTTGAATGAATGAATGAGTGAAGAAGTGAATGAATAAGAACCAACACCCTGCAGCGTACTAATTTGCTTTCAGAGTAGGCAAAGAATACCTAACGAATAAGCAGGAGGATGGCCCACGTTTTCTTAACTCTCAAGGCCTGGGGAGACAGCAGCCTCCAGCTCTAGAGATGGCCACCTTGATTCTTGTCTCTGCTTTGACACACCTGAGGACAATGGAAAAGTGATGCTCACCTGTTGCCTCTCTCTCAGGGGACTTGTGAACCTGAGTGGAATGAAATTTCCCCAGCTCTTTAATCTCTTAGGAAGAAAGGAATTTTATGAGGGTAATAATACACTGTCCTTGATACGTGAAGAACCTGCTTAGTACTCATGGTTAGTGGGGGCATTAATCTTGAAGGGTGCCTTTTATTCTTTTTTTTTTTTTCTTGCAAGTGGTGGATTCATGCAACTCTGTGTTCGTAGCTGATGCAAGGTATTTTAAAACAAAGTTCAATGATAATGCGATGATGATGTTGATTGTTGTGGTTGACGATGATGCTGTCAACCAGTATACGTTTTGCTACTAAGTATGAGACTGCATGCTAAATGCTTTACCTCAATATCTCATCCAACCCTACTTCCAAATAAGGTCACTTTCCAAAGTTCTAGGTTGATATAAGTTCTTGGGGAACACTATTTGATCCAGTAGACACTATGAGCAGAAGCCAGAGTAGGATGTGATAGGTGGATTGGGTGATTTGCTCAATGGGGAGGATCAGCAAGGTGAGTGTGAGGATCAGCAAGGTGAGTGTGAGGAAGGAGATACTGCTGGAAAGCCTCTTTGAGACCCAACTACTTGGGTCTTGGAAGCCTTACCAATGATCATCGGTTCTACACTGCAGGGAGTTTGCAGTCTACCAGTTTTGGCAGGAAGTGACTTGATAATGGAAGACAGGCTGATGATTGGGGGGATGGGGACAGAGGACACAGGTGGGTCAGTGTGGGAAGAGTTCACGACATGGAGACAGGGTGAAACAATGGCACTGCAAGGAAAGGGAGGAGGTGGGGACATTTCTGAAGGAAGACACAGCAGGCCTTGGTGAGGGATGGGATGTAGCAGGTAGTAAGAAGGAGCTTTTGAACTTGGGTGACTGGAAGACTAAGAAGGAAGAGCTGGTTTGGTGGGAAAGATGATGAGTTTGGCCTTGGATGTGTTGAGTTCACACTGGCTCTGGGAGGGCAGATTGGTGAAATCTATCAGGCAGCTGGAAATGCAGCTCTGCAGCCAGCTGGGAGATGCTTTTCCTCTCTGCTCCGCTCGACTAAACCTGAAATAAAGAGTACTGAAGTATGAGGAACCCTGGGTCTCTGAGGGGGTCAGATGATCAGAATTTATGTAAATGTAGCCATCGTCGCAGATGCCCAGTCAATGGAAGAAGTCAAGTGTGGACTGGGGTAAAGATGGTGCAACGATCTTCCTAACATGCAAATCCAGCATGTCACTTTCCTGCCTACGCGTCACGGGATGGCCCTCCACTGCCCTCAGCTGCAGTCAGTGCTTCAGCCTGCCTCCAAGTTCCCTTGAGGCCTGAAGTTCATCTTACACCATTCTCCTGGCCCTTCTTCTCTTTGAAGAATGCATAGTGCCCCTCTCACTTCTGCAGTTTTGCACCTGCCAATTCCCTTTCCTGGAACCTCCTTTTTGCCTGTGTCTCTACCGTCTTTCAACATCCCAGCTCAGCATTTCATGGCCCATAACACTCTGGGCTGTGTTTATTGATAGGCCTTTACCCCAGTAGCCTGTAGGTTCCCCAAGGATGAGGGCTGCCTCCTGGGCATCTTTATGGGATTTCAGATTCTCTCACAGGGCTGGGCACAGGGGATGCAACGATATGTCAGCGAGTGGGTAAATGATTGAATAGATGGATTGAGAGATGAAATATTGTCTATGTTTAGTCTTTTTTTTCAGTGATAGTTCTCATGTTCTGACTTATTTGGGGAAGAAACGTGGCAGCTGCTGGGGAAAAATTCATTGACCTTGAAGTAGACTCACAGCTCCCATTGCTCCTTGCCCTGTCTTGCCATTGCTGCCCATAGCTCTTTCTTGCTCACCAAGGTATCAGGATCATTAGCTGAACAAGAACTCATGGGCCACCTTGTTCTCATGAAGCCTTCCGAATGTTTCCAGAAGGAAGCCCTTGACATGTGAAGTCAGGCGGAGAGACCCAAACCCACCTGAGAGGTGCTTGAGTGACCAAGGTAGCTTAATGTTCACTCTGACTATCACAGAACACAGGAGACGGGCAATGGAAGGCAGCATGAGTGGTCAAGAGAGTCATTAGACTTTCTTTCTTTGTGGCTCTCTGGGCTCACTAGGAGCCTGTATCTTAATTCGAGTTTGGGTTGCTGTAACAAAAATACCATAGATTGGCTTATAAACAACAGAAATTTATTTCTCGTAGTTCTTTTTTTGTTTTGTTTTTTGAGATGGAGTCTCATTCTGTTGCCTAGGCTGGAGTGCAGTGGTGTGATGTCGGCTCACTGCAACCTCCATCTCCCGGATGCAAGTGATGCCTCCACCTCAGACCCTCAAGTAGCTGGTATTACAGGCATGCACCACCATGCCCAGCTAACTTTTGTATTTTTAGTAGAGATGGGGTTTTACCATGATGGCCAGCCTCGTCTCAAACTCCTGATCACAAGTCAGGCAAGGCCCTCCTTGGCCTCCCAAAGTGCTGGGATTACAGTTGTGAGCCATCTTGCCTGGTCTGTTTCTCATAGTTCTGGAGCCTGGGAAATCCAAGATCAAGGCACCAGCAGATCTGGTGTTTGGAGAGTGTCTGCTTACTAAGTGGTCATCTTTTTGCTGGAGCTTCACATGGTGGAAGGGGCAAGGGATCTTTCTGGAGCCCCTTTTTAAGGACACTAATCCTATTCATGAATCCTATTCATGAGAACTTCACTTTCATTATCTCATTATCTCTCAAAGGCCTCCACCTCCTAATACTCTTACCTCGTGGGGTTAGAATTTCAACCTATGAATTTTGAGGGGACCTAAACATTTAGTCCATTGAAGACTGTATGGCCATTTCTCAGTCTTTAAAGAGTGAATCCTTAAATCTGTGGCAAAGCCACTCCTGCAGCATTCTGCCTCAGGAAGAATAATTTACTAACACTTAGTGCTTATCATGTGCCAGGGACTGAGCTAAGTCAGCACTTTTACTTGGCTTTTCTTATTTCACACTCATAGAGGGTTCTATTGCTTCACCCATTTTACAGTTAAGGAAACTCAGGCAAAGAGAGGTTATAACTTGGCCAAGGTCACAGAGCTGGTAAGTGCAGATAATGCCTGAAGTATCAACAACTATGCTAACTATTTTTCTGAGCCTGAAGTCTCAGAACTTTTCAAACTGGGCCAGGGAATGATTCTGCCTGCATTTGAAAAAGAAAGCTGAGTCATGATTTTGAAGTCGCCGGACAATGTGCCACATCAACAAACTGAGAAGCCCTTACGGTAGAAAAGCTTTGGGTGGTGGGTTTGGATTTTAAATGGTCTCAAAAGTCTGCTGAGCTCTGTCCAGACATTCCCCTACATGGTTCAAATTGGATAATTCCGTTGGATTCAGCTGGATAAGCAAAATCCGTAATGAGAAATATTAGTGTTTCTAGATCTTTATCTAAATCATAACATTTGGTACAGTAGCTTTAATTTACATATCAAAGTTATTGAAAGTGAAATGATAAATAACGCATGAAGGCAAAAATGGCTAAAGATAGCAGAATAATAAGATCTGATGCTGCCTGTATTTAAATTCAGAAGCCACTATTTCCATTCTGAGAACCATTAAAATCAAATATGTGTTTCTGTTTCCACATCAAAAATCAGAACCAAAAAATACCTTTCTGTTCCTGAGGTTCAGCTGTTTCCTTGGAACCCTTTAAATTGTCAAAGGAGAGAGCTGCATAGTTAGGAGACAGCTTTCACTTTTGCTCTGCTGGGTACTTTATTTTCTACATAAGTGATGAGGTTTCAAATCCTGTTTAGCCTTTTGATTGACTTCAGGATCTCATGAGCTCTGATCGTCTCTCTCTAGACTTCTCTTTATATTGATTTTAGATTGTTCTAATTTCTGTGATTGTTCTGGCAAGATTCACCTGGGTTCAGTTCATGCTGATGTATGAAGGTGGGTCCCCTCGAATTAGAACAAGATACTGTTTTTGTGACCTCTTAGAAGTTTTACACTTACTGTGTGTGGTCTCAGGGACTTCTGTGCAGACTCTACATTGCCACACTATACCCTGCCTCGCAGTTCTAATCAGCTTATCATCAGTGTCTGCTTATGTGCCCAAGTGCTAGACTTCTCAGCAAGGACATGTCTTTCTGGGGGCCTCTGGTGAGGGGCACTGCTGAGCAGCGGAGGGTCGGTGACCTGTAGGACCAATAGTAATTTAATGCAGTTCTTTTTGAGAGAAATGTAAACAGATGATTTCACTTATCTGGTTTTATTTTAATGGGAGAAAAACAAAGACAGTTCAATAAATGCTTCTCATCTATTTTCATATCATGGCCAACTGAGGAGAAAAGACAGCCCCCGGGGAGAATAGGGGTGGCAAGGATGTCGAGTTCAAAGGGAAGCTGATCGTGAAACACACAAGCAAAGAGAGACACTGATGGAGAGACCAGAGCAGACACTACAGAGGCAGGCAGATACAGGAGAACTGGAGGATGTAGAGGGTTTCTGTAGATTTTGGGGTGAAAGCCCATATGAATGATTCTTTCCTTGGGTTTTGAGAACCAGAATGAATTAACATATGCTTCACATGTTGATAGAATCTCACACAATTTTAAGTATCTCACACAATTTAAAATATATTAGAAAATAAAAGTTTTCTTTCTCATGAGATGTAAAGGTTATACTCATGGGGAGGAGTGACCTCTTTTATTAATTTTTAAAAATGATGTTTATTTTGCATTTCTGTTTTAAAAATGTATCCTCTTGCTCAATGTCAAAACTTTAAAAATATGTCGAGGTGGAAAACGTAGGAAATATATGAAAGAAGACAAACCATGACTCATTTTGTAATATATGCTTCCTCTATTTTGCGTATAGAATTGTATGCTGATTTTGTAAGTTCAGGGTCCAACTACACATTGTTTCTTACTCCCCTTTAAAAATTTACCACATTATGATATATTTTATAATTGACTATTCCATCCTATATATCAACTAAAATATTTTCCTCTTGTTGGGCTTGTAGGTTGTGTCTGGTTTTTGCTGTTAGAAGAATGTTGTAACGAGCATCTTTGGATATTAATCTTTGTGTACTTCTTGTGATTATTTTCTGAGGATTGAGGAAAAGATGATCACAAATATTTCTTTTAAAATTGTATAAGGTTTTTGATCTGCTGTCCAAATTGTGTTCACATTCAATTATTCATTTACCAGAATTTGAATGCCGTCAGCATTGCAGGCTCTGAGCTAGACTGCTGGGGATTCGGTGAAGAGCAAAATAGACACAGGGTCAGCTTTCTGAAACATACATTGCAGTGAAGGAGACACACAGTGAATAAGTAAAAAAATAATTAATGCACAAAGTATGGCCAATTCTCTCCTCTGTTTCCCCCAGATTGTGGGAAGTGCATTGAAGGAGACAAGCAGGGTGTTGTAGTGGCCAGGGAGTAGAGCCAGGCTGCAGAGAGCATCTTTAGGCTGAAACTTGAAGGACAGAAAAGCCTGTTCTGAAGAGAACAGGGAAAAGAACACCCAGTTTGAGAATACGTGCAAAGTCCCTGAGGTGACACAGAGCTTGGAATACTCTGGGAATTGTTAGAAGGCTCATGTGGCCAGAGCACCGGGAGTCACAGGAAAGAAGCAACAAGATGCGGTTGGAGAGTGGGCAGGAGCTGGTGACTGTCACTCAGGACTTCGTGGGCCATTAGAATCGGGACCTTACCTTTTTGTGGTTACAGCAGTAAGAAACCAATGGAGGAAGAGCTGGGATTTAACTTGTGTGTTTTTTTAAAAAGCACCCTGGTTCCTGGGTGCTGGTGAGATGCAAAGGAGGGGATGTGAACTATAGGAGGAACATGATGATGAAGGCATCTGAACACCACACTGTGTTTGAGTGTGGTTCTGAGACGGTCAGCCTCAGCTATCAGAGACACATAGGCAGCCTTGGATCTGTCTTTCAGGAAGCTTTGAGTGATGCTTACATCCCTAAACATATGTATCTTATATACAAAGCCAAATTCCCACACAAGTTATTTCATCATCGTCATGTAAAATGTATTAGGGTTTCTATTGCCTCTAACATATCTTAGCCTTGGATCTGAAATAATGTGAAATAAATATTTCAAGAGTATTTTATTCTGCTATTGATATGATAACAAATAATACATACCTAATATATGAACAAATAGCAATAGATGAAAAATGTTGGTGATGCTATTGTGCCATTCTTCTGTTGATGGACACGAAGGTTCTTTTCACTATTGTGCATAATGCTGTGAGGAAGATCTTCATACCTATTTGTCTATTTTCTATGGATATATTCTGTTAGAAGCTATGCCTTATTTTATTAAACTGCAGCACAATTGGTGGCAGTTGAAAGTCCCATCATGAATGTATGAAGGTGTTTATTTCCTGACGTATTTGTTGACTCAGGATATTAATTTATCTTTTGAATTTTTGCCAGTCTGTCAGGTACCAGTCTATTAGTTGACATTTTTGTTTAATTATTAGTTAGATAATCTTGTGGGAAGTTACCTTGTTTTATTTGCTGCTGAGTCCTCAGAATCTAGATGAGTGCCATTTAATGCTTGCTGGTGAATGAGGGAAGACACGAACATAGTTATTGATCATTTGCTTTTCTTTTGTGAAGTGATTAATATCCTTCATCCATTGTCTTTTTATTTGTAAGTTTTAGTAGCTCTTTGTACATTGTAGATAATAATCCCCTCTTTGAAGCTTCATATATATTTGTAGTCTTTTTTTTTTTTTTTTACATCTTGGTTGTGATTTAAAACGTTTTTTGCAATACAGATTTTTAAAAGTTTTTATGAAGTATTTCAACCACTGAATTTATATTTTTGGCTTGGGGTTGTACTCAAAAAAGCCTTCCCCAGCCTAAAATAATTTTAAAGTAAATTCACTTATATTCTTCTTTTCTCTTAATAAATTTAGCAATAAACTATTGTCACATTCCTGAAATGAAATCCACTTCTTTGTTGAATGGTATCTATTTAATGAAGTGTTGGATTCTTTTTGCTAGAAATTTCAACTTGGACTTTTGAGTCTGTATAAATAAAATAATCTGTAGATCTCTTACATACTATTCTTAAAGAATGGAAGCTTTCCTCTTTAGATCTAAAACCATGCTTCTCAAATGTGCCTATGAATCATCTGGGAGCTTGTTAAAATACAGATGGTGATTCAGTAGGTCCAGAGTGGGGCTTGAGAGTCTGCCTTTCTAACTAGCAGTAACCTGAACCATCAGGAAACCATAAAAACAATGCGAGATACTTCTTAAAAGTTTTTAAAAATCTGTATTGCAAAAGGGATTTTAAATCACAAAGTATAAGTAAAAATGACTAATCAGGTGATGCCCATGTTGCTGGCTCAGGGCCGACATTTTGTGTAGCAAGGTTCTAAGGGACTTAAAATAGCACAAGAGGCTGGGCGTGGTTTCTCAAGCCTATAATCCGAGCACTTTGGGAGGTTGAGGTTGGAGGAGAGCTTGAGCTCAGGAGTTAGAGACCAGCCTGGGGAACACACGGAGACCCTCCCACCGGCCCCTAGTCTCTACAAAAAATAAAAGAAAATAGCTAAGTGTGGTGGCATGCATCTGTATTCTCAGCTACTTGAGAGCCTGATGCAGGAGGATTGCTTGAGCCCAGTTGGTAGACCTGCAGTGAGCTATGATTGCACCACTGCACTCTAGCCTAGGTGACAGAGTGAGACCCTGTCTCAAAAAATAAATCAATAAAATTAAGCAAATAAAGACACAAGAATTACCCTAGACAATGATTGGATCCAGTGCTCTTTTGAAAGATATATATATTATAATTTTATTCAAGTTCTCAAATTTGTTGACAGATGAAGTATTTTCTACTGAATGAAACTTTGAAATTCTTTCTGTAACTGTTTCCTTCTCATTTCTACTTTGGTTTATGCTTTTATTTTATTTTCTCTTTGATGAGATTAATTCATGTTTTATCTATTAATAGTTTATTTTCTTTTTCTCAAAGAACCAGATTTTAGATTTATTTATTCTGATGTTTTTCTGTTTTTTTAATGAATTGTTTTCTGCCTTTATCTTTATTAAGCCTCTCTTTCTGCTTCATTCAACTCTTTATTTTCTAGGGTCTTGAGCTGATTTCTTAAATAATTAACATTTTATTTCTTGCTCAGTTATTAAAGTATTTAAGTCTATGAAAGTTACATTTGGTATACTTTGGCTACTTTCCATGTATTTTGATATGTATTGGGTTCATTATTGCTATTCTCTAAAAATCTGTAATTGCTATTTTGGTTTTATTTTTGACCCAAAAATTATTTCCAAGCTGTTGAAATAATTATTTTGTTCTACTTTTGAAATTAATTTTTGGCTTTTGTAGTGTAAATGGAGACTGTAATCTGTATTATTAATTTCTTTTTTGAAAACTTAATGGTGTTTTCTTGGTTGTTTAATTTTGGTTGATTTTATAATGATTTAGTGAGTGTTAGAAAAGGAACTAAATATTTACAGTACACAAAGTATGCGTAAAGCTTTTATATCGATTTTAATAATATTAATCAGATCCCCTACGTTAATACTTATTATCTTTCTGATTAGTCACTGCTGTTATTTTCTTTCACTGCCCTTGTATTAGTTCGTTTTCACACTGCTATAAAAAATACTACCTATGAGTGGGTAATAATAAAGGAAAGAGGTTTAATTGACTTCACTGTTCCACAGGCTTAACAGAAAGCATGGCTAGGGAGGCCTCGGGAAACTTACAATCATGGCAGAAGAGAAAGCAGGCACCTTCTTCACAAGGCAGCAGGAAGGAGAAAGTGCATGCACAGGAGAAATGGCCACTTTTAAAACCATCAGATCTCGTGAGACTCACTATCACGAGAACCGCGTGGGGGAAGCCGCCCCCATAATCCAATAACTTCCTACCAGGTCTCTCCCTCAACACCTGGGGATTGCAATTCAAGATGACATTGGGTGGGGACACAAAGCCCAACCATATCAGCCCCACAACATCCACCTAGTATTTTCAATGGTGGTTTTTTTTGTTTGTTTTTTTGTTTGTTTGTTTGTTTGTTTGTTTTACAATGTTTGATACTGTGTAATCCAGACCATGGGCATTTTGACACTTATATCTTTATTGTGGATTGTGCCATTTGTCAATTTGAAAGTGATCTTTCTTGGTAAAACTTAATACTATTTCTCTTGTTGAATCCAGCTTAATCATGTATAAAAGAATAATCTCTGCTTTCATTTTCTTAGAATTTTTTTTTCCTGGTATATTTTTGTCTTTATTTTCTGTTTTTGAGTTACAGCTTTAGTCTTCTTCCTGATAAATGTTGTATACTTGTTTTTATTGGTTTTGGATTCATTTTAAGAATGTCTTACTGTTGAGTTAACCCCATTCTGCTTTTAGTTTTAACTGATATCTTTACCTTTAAATCTGTTTTTTTTTTGTTGTTGTTATGAGTATCCACCTTTGCTATAGGGAATACCCACAATCTACTTTTATTTCTAGCTGTAGGTTAAAAAATTTTTTAAATAATAAAGTTTAACAATTAAAAAGTTGTATAACTATGCCATAATTATTTAGACTCAATTCTATTTTTGAGTTTCACCAAAAATTTAAGATGCCTTCATATTACTGCTTACTCATTTTTTGAGATCTATATTTTGATTGAACTTTTGGTTAGAATGTGACTCCTAGCTTTCAGTTCAGCAATAGTGCATTCATGATTCCTTGTATTTTGAGAATATGTTCTTCATCTTTGTCTCTTCTTTTCCTTCATCTTTTTTCTTCCCTTCTAATGTCTTCACGATCATCTTCTCTTTTCTCCTCCTCCTTTTTCACCCTTTATATGAATAACTGGTTGGCTGGGTGAAGAATAATACCTTCTTCCTCAGATCTTCATGGATGATTTCCTGAAATCTAGAGATGCTAAAAGATATTTTCCTTTGCAGGTGACCAAGTGTTTGAATGACATGCTTGTGCAGTTCTATTTTAATCCTTGGTATTCAGAGATTTCACTAGGATGTTTCTCCATATTGGTTGCTTTTCAGTAATTTTTTTCTGTTGCCTGTGAGTCCTGCTAATAGTCACAATTAGACTTTCTTTAAGATTATGAATATTTTCTTCTGTCGTATCACTGACTACTTTCTATTTTGCTTTCTCAGTTCTTTCTTGGGCCCGCTCATTCTAGATCCTTGTTGTTTATTTTTTGCATCCAATATTGTCTCCTGGGTTGCTTTTTCTGAGTCTGTCATGTACTTCTGCATTCTATTTGATAATCTCAAGTTTTGATTTTTTTATAATTACATTGTTGACTTGCTCCATTATGTTATTTTGCATTCTGCAGTGAACTTATGATTTAACTTTTTTCCTAGCTCTATCATGTCACTTTATTGTCTTATAATTTCATATTTTAGATTTTGATATATTGTTTCTGTGGTTTTTTTCAATTTCTTTGAGAGTTCAAGTCATTGCTGTCACACAGCAAACTTATAATTCACTTAAAAATCTATTTACTTCTCTTTTTTTTTCACCCCAGATGTGCTGCATGATTCTCCCTTCTGCCTTTTTTTTTCTTTAACTCGTTTTGGAATGGAAGTGTATATTTTCAGGTCTCTTACTTATTCTGAAATAGTCTAGTTGATTTTTCTTTGATACATAACTTGTTTTCCTTGGCACCATCGAATCTCCTATAGAGCCAGAAATAAGGGCTATCTCTGAAGTTTATATTCTGTTTTGAGTTATTTAGCCCTTTAGGGAATTGGGAAAAGAAGAAAGGGTTGGGTATTTCCAGGAAAACTAGGGAGTTTTCCTTTGGCAGGTTTTTATTCCCTCCCTCCCTCCCTCCCTCCCTCCCTCCCTCCCTCCTTCCCTTCTTCCCTTCCTCCATTCTTCCCTTCCTCCCTTCCTTCCTTTTTCTTTTTTGTAATTATTTCATCTTGTTTCAGAGCCACTGACTTGAGGGCATATCCCATCTCATTGTGGGATGAAGTTCTAAATTATTTCGCATCCCACACAGCCTCAAAATTTAGCCATATTGATAAGAAATCCTCTTTAAAACAAAATACTGAAACATATATGACTTCTATGAGATGTGGGCTCAGAGTCATTTTTATTTATTTAGAGTCAGGGTTTCACTTTGTTGCCCAGATTGGAGTGCCGTGGCTCAATTAAAGCTCACTGCAGCTACAAATTCCTGGGCTCAAGTGATCCTCTGGCCTCAGCCTCCTAAGTAGCTAGGACTACAGGCATGCGCCATCATGCCCAGCTGATTAAAACAACAACAACAACCACCACAACAACAACAACAACAAAAAAAAAACCACAAGTTTTTTTTTTAGAGACTGGGTCTCACCATGTTTCCCAGGCTGGTCTCGAACCCCTGGCCTCCAGTGGCCCACGTGCCTTGGCCTCCCAATGTGTTAGGATTACACTCATGAGCCTGACCACCATTCCCACCCCTCAGAAGCATTTTATTCCCCACCCCCACCACTATAATTTGCTTTAGTTTTACAAATAACAATTTAAATTACAAAAGTTAATACATTCTTATTGTATAAATTTCTAAAAGTATTTACAAATACCCAAAGAGAGAAATAAAAACCCCTTATAATCCCGCCATGTGGAAATAATGACTGTTTGCTTTTTGACGTGTGCTTTCAGTCTTTTTGTCTCTTTGTGTATGTGTGTGTCTATTACTATATGTGCAGTTTGAAAGCCTTTGTTTTTGCTTAGCAATATATTGCGGAAATTTTCCTATGTGGCTAAATATTCTTCACCATTAATTTTAATGGCTGCACAGTACTTTTCTTTTCCTCATGCCTACCTCCATTTCTTAGTTGCCTATAAAGAGATGCTATGTACAGTAACTAAACAAAAGGCAAAAATGGGTGGAGGCACAAAATGTATTCAGGTATAAACTTGAAATTAATCTGGAATTGATTTATTACGGGAAATGGTTGGAGAAGTAGTGGGTGGCTGTAGCATCTCTCCCTGCATACACACTTATGTAGACAGAAATATCCCCATCAGTGGGGTGCAGAGGAGGGTAATAGAGGCCAGGACTCCCAAATTGAGTCTAAGTTCCTCTCATTCCAACCATATGACAGTGGGCAAGTCACTCGGTCTTAGCTTTATTTTCCTCAACTGTAAGATGGGAGATATCAGTAAGTATCTGCCCTTGTCTCCCTTTCAGAGTTACTTTATTCTTAAATAAGACTGAAATGAGAAAATGTTGATGCAATCGCTTATTGAATGAATAATTCCATATACTGCAGAGAGATGATCTTGGTGATAAAAGTTCTTTTGATTCCACTAATATTTATTGAGCACCTATTCTTTTCAAAGGCTAGTGCAGGTAATCAATATAGGAGGCAACATCCTATGCTGAAATGGCCTTGTTATGAATGTTTCATTTTTCTCAATGATCTTCTGGGTGACAGTGCCGGCTTCTTCTCATCACTCCAATATGATTAATTCATTCATCAAGTTAGACTGATTTAATTATTTATTATGTCGTTTTGTTTATTTAATTTGCATATCAATTGCCAGGGTGCTGCATATCTCAGCTTACCGCAGAATCATATTAAGAAAGGTTTTGATGCTGATGCAGGTTCCAGTGGTCTCCCCAGGGGCAAAAAACTTTATGGTAATTGAATACGTAGGTGCTGGAATGCAATAGCTAGAATTGTTTTTCTCTGACCTGAAGTTCAACCAACTCCTTCCTGCTTTGGTCCAGAGAGACAGCTAGTTGTGAATTATGCATTCCCATCTATCCTCTGGTTAATGTTTGCATATTTTACTTTTCCATAGAGGGGGTAGCTTTTCCCTTGAGAATCAACGATCTCACACTCTTGGTACTTAGCTTAAAGGAAAAGAAAGAATGTTAGCCAATGTTCCCTCATCCATAGTCTCTGGGGTCTCTGCTTGCAATCCAAACCTGAGTGTAGGAGCCACAAAGAGGCATTGCCCATGTTCCCATCATCTTGATACTCCAGCCTTCCAGCTCAGTGGAAGAAGAGGTGCTTGGTTCCTTGAACATTGGATTTGCCTACCTTCCTGATCCTCAGCATAATATGAAGTGAGACTGGAGGCCTCGGATTGAATCCTGGTCATGACCTTTATTAGCTGTGTGACTTTGGAAAGTTACTGAACGATACCAACAATGATCATCGCTAATGAGCACTTCTTCACACATTCTAGGCACTAAGCTAAGTCCTTATTTTATTGTCATTTAGAAATTTCCCCAGCGTTTCTGTCCTAGTTACTATTGATACATAACAAACCACCTAGAAACTTAGTGGCTCAGAACAATAACAATCATTTATTTTGCTCATGCATATTCATTTTCGGCAGGGCTTAGTGGAAGAGCTTGTGTCTGTTTCATGCAGTATCTGCTGGGACAGTTTGAGGGCTGGAAAATGGCTCACTTCCCTGACTATCAAGGGAGTGCTGGGAGCTCAGCTTAGCTATGAGCTGGAGGGCTCAGTTTCTCTCAAGTGTGCCTCTTCTTGAACTGCTTGGGCTTCCTCACAGTATGGAGGCTGTGTTTTAAAAGTGAGCATCTCAATGGAACCAGGAAGAGGCTACCTGGCTTTTTCTAATGTACCCTCAGAAGTTATACAGCATTACTTCTGCTATGTCCATCCTATTTGTGGAAAGGTTAACAGTCACAACCAGGTTCAAGGGGGAGGAGAATGAGCCTGCCCGTGTTAATGGGGCAGTGGCAAAGTCACAGTGTAGAAGCAAATGGGGGTGGGAGATACTGTTGTAGTCATCTTTGGAAAATACCATCTGCTAAAACTCTTCTGAGATAGATTTTTTTCCCGCTCCTTTCACAGATGAGAAAATGGAAGCTTAGAAAGGCTATGTCAATTCTCCATGGTCATGAGCTTGGAATGGTTGAGTGGAATTTGAATCCTGGCAGTCTGGCTTTGGAGTACACATTCTTCACCACTAATTATTATAGCAAGCATTTATTGAGTATTACAGAAGAGTATGCCAGCTACTCTTTTGAGCACTTTAAATCTATTGACTTGTTTAATCTTTCTAACAAGTTTTCTCAGTAGATACTATTGTTCCCATTTTACAAATAGTGACGCTGAGACATATAGCTATTATGAGACTTGCTCAAGGTCATATTGATATGTGTCAAAGCTTAGATTCAAACTCAGCCTCTGGAGTCTCCACACTTGACGATATGCTGTGCTGGTTCTCAAGTAATGATTCAAGTTGGTTATAATGACCACTTTGGGCCCCCCTTTCCTTCCACATCAAAGGTAGATAAGAATTTTTTTCTAATAATCTCCGTCACCACTCCATACACCCTAAGGATTCATTGAGGTTGTTAAATCTCTTTCATAGCAGAAGGAGCTTGTGTGTGCAAAGTGGATCCAACCTTGCATACCATCAACATGTCCCATCAAGGAGAGCTAGCTTTTCATTTTTGTGCCAGTCTGGAAGGAAGCAATCACGGATACATCTTCCCTCTTTCTCTTCCTCCTTCCTTCTTTTCTTCTTTACCCCATGTTTGGGTTCACATATGCTATTCAAATCTCACTTCTCATATGCAGTCGCTGCAGGGTATTGGCCAATGTAACTGCTTGGAGTGAGCCTCACTGCTTTTTGCCTGTAACATGTGGGTACTTCAGCTGATTGCTGTAAGGATCTTAAAATTGTGCATGCAAGGAGCCAGACATATAGAAGTTGCTCACATGTGTGCTGGCATTCCTCCTCCTTTCCTGCCTCACTCCCTGCCTAATATGCCTGGAAGCACACTTGGTGCTGGGAACTCTCTTCTTTCACCTGGCAATCAGGTTGTCACCTTTCCTGTGTTCTACCATGACATGCAGAGAGGGAACTGTGTTAAGTAGATGGCAATACCAGCCTGGGCAACATAGTGAGGCTCTGTCTCTAAACAAACAAAAAAAATAATAAAAATTTAGCTGGGTATAGTGATGTGCGACATATGCCTGTAGTCCTAGCTACTTAGGAAACTGAGGCAGGAGGATCGCTTGAGCCCAGGAGTCGAGGCTGCAGTGAGCTATGACCACTGCAGTTCAGCCTGGGCAACAGAGTGATACGCTGACTATTAAAAAAAATTATAAAGGAGGTAGCAATGGAATGGGTTGGATTGGTGTCACAATAGAAACAGACTTTTCAAAAAAGGATGAAGAAAGAGAAAGAAAACAAGAGGCTCTTGCTTTTAGACATGGGATTTCTTCTCTGGGGGAAAATGTAGTGAGTTGGATGGTAAGATCCTGTGTTCTGAGAGTGTGGGAAGAAGAAGACAGTCCTTCCTGGGAAGACTCGGAAAGGCCTGACATTTTTGTGCTCAGTACAGGGGTGCTTGCCTGTCCTCACTTCTCATGCTCACAATGTCAGGATGGCACATTGGGCCCAAGGAGCCCAGTGTTTCAGAGGTAGGAGGGGTTTAAGGATGACCTGAGCCCTGAAGTGGATGCCTAAATTGGGTGTGTCACTTGGTTCACACAAGTTTGCAAGACAAATACGGGATTAGAACTCGGTTCTCCCAGTTCCCCCAGCTCTGATGCTCTTCCCCTTGCTAGAATGCTTTCAATATGCCCTCTGACTTAAAACAGAATCAGTGGGGTTATTTCTACTTTTAACTATTTATTCATTAATGTTGTCTACAACCTCATGAGGGACCCTACACTAGAAGCACGCAGATAAGCTGCTCCTGAACTTCTGAATAGTAGAAACTATGTAAAACTAAACAAAGTGTTGTCAACTTAAGCTGGGAAGATTTGGGGTAATTTGTTACACAGTAGTAGATAACCAATACGACAAGGAATTCTCATCAGCCAATGTCCTTTCATCTTAGTCATGTCCTGGTAGGCCTCACCTTTTATAAGCAGATTAGGATGTTTCCCTAAACAAAGAGCTGTTGCTTTTCTATGACAAATTCTGCTGTTCTTCTTGGCCAACTGGCACCAGTGGTAACCACATTATACAATAACAGTTTATTCCCCCATCACATAATCTGAGGCTCAGTGGTTCAAGAGTTAGGAAGTAGCAGAACTGGGTTTCATCTGGTTTCAGAGGCTGTCTCTGCCAAATGCTGTAGGATGTTTCTCAGACATCACCATTGAAGTTTTCCTAATAGCAGATGAGAAAGTGCATGTGCTCCCAGGAGTCTGGGGCATAGCCAGATGAACCTGCCTCAAGGAGGACATTTCTTTAAAGTTTTATGTTTTAACTTAAAAATTTATGTGAATTTTTAATTCTGCTCATTAATATATTCATATTGGTTATAACATTATATTAGTCAGACTAGTCTTGGTTATACTGCAATACCAATAAGCTCTAACATTTCAGTGGCTTTTTGGTTGGGATGTGTGCCTGGCATCTGGCTCTCTAAGGTATGAGACAGCCTGTATAACAAAAAATTGTATTGTTCTAGGTTCCAGTAGCACCTGAGTTTTGTATTTTTTCATTTGGTACTCACCTTTGGAGCAGGAAAAAAAAAAAGTCCTAATGGGTTAATACATACATACAAAGGTGATTTCTAATTCAAGTCACATTTCAAAATAGGTTTTGTGGCACCTCACAAGTGGTGACTCTGGGGTCCTTCTAACTTGTCATATTGACATTTGGTCTCTGAGTTCAGCCTGGAAGGAAGAAGAGAAAAAGTGTGGAGCATTAGAGTGGAGTTTATGGTAAGGCTTGGAAGTGGCCTACAAGTCATGCAGTTGATTGGAATCCAGTCACATGGTCTCGATAGAACTGCAAGAGAAGCTCAGAAATGAGGTGGTCTTATGTGCCTAGGGAGAGATCAATGAAATGGGAGTGGATAAATACATAGCAGATGAATACATACCGGTGCCACACATATTTTAAATTATAATCCAAAGAATAACATCCCAAAAGTTTTCTACTATTCCCGTTACTTAATGGATGAAATTGCACTGACTCAAGTCTGTCACTGAGAAGACTATACTGAGTGGAGAGCTGACAATGTGTTTTGGGCTTGTGTCCAGACAGTTTCTCTTCTATTTGAGTCAGGATATCTCAACAGGGCTTACTCGCATAAATTGGTTATTTCGCTGTGTGACAAGCGATGTCAGGGCAATCACCAAGCAGAGAGGTACTGAATCCTACCAGAAAGGTGGCATGATGCAATATTTTAGGCTAATGTTGGTGAGTTTTGGTGATAAGTCAGGTTGTTCATGTCATATGTCTTGGTTTACCAGTCTGGGAAATGCTGGTCCAAGGAGTGTGTGAGCAAAGAAAGAGGACCGAGAATATTTTCTTTATCATGAGTATTTTAATTGTATTCATATGTAAATAAACTGAAAGGCCCAAATGAGTTTTAGTTCTTATGGCAGATTGTATATATATACACACACATATATGTGTATATATATACACACACATATATGTGTATATATATACACACACATATATGTGTATATATATACACACACATATATGTGTATATATATACACACACATACATATATATATATACACACATACTTTTTTTTTTTTTTGAGACAGAGTCTCGCTGTGTCACCCAGGGTGGAGTGCAGTGGCATGATCTCAGCTCACTGCAAGCTCTGCCTCCCAGGTTCACGCCAGTCTCCTGCCTCAGCCTCCCAAGTAGCTAGGACTACATGCACCCGCCACCACGCCCGGCTAATTTTTTGTATTTTTAGTAGAGACAGGGTTTCACCATGTTAGCCAGGCTGGTCTCAGTCTCTTGACCGTGTGATCCACCCACCTCGGCCTCCCAAAGTGCTGGGATTACAGGCAGGTTGTATATTTTTAAAAGGCCAAATACATATTTTCTGTTCCGTGTGCTTTTCCGGAAGCTCGTCATGCCTCAGTTTGTGTCCCTTCCCCTTGAAACTCATGACTGACTTGATAAATAGAATGTAGTGGAACTGATGCTGTGTGGCTTCCAAGGCTAGGTTAGAGAAAAGGCTATGCAACTGTTGTTCTCTTTCTTCAGACACTCATCTTTGGAGTTCTGTGTCACCATGTAACATATTAAAGGTGGCCATACTTGGAGGAAGCCCTAACTAGTCCACATGAAAGACCACATGGAGAGGCCTGAGACTACATGAAGAGAGTGAGAGAGGTGCTCACCAGCCCTTAGCTGCATCAGTCTCTATGTGATTGCAGTTGTGCCAGTGACATCAAGCCAGAACTGCCCAGCTGAGCTAGTGATTCCTGATCCATGGAGACCATAAATGATTGAGATCATTTTAAACAACTAATTTGGGAGTGACCTGTTATGCAGCAATAGGTAACTGAAACAGTCTCCCTAGTCAAGTCTAATCTTCCAATCCTCCGATTTCTTTTTTGGCTCAGCTATCTTGACACATGCCATTAAAACACTAAGAGTTTTTTGGTCTTGGTTGCTGGATAAAGATGCTAACTCCTTTTTCTGCTCCTCACCCTCCTGGCTGTCAGGAAGAAAGGCTAGGCAGGGCAGCTAGGTTCCTTGCTTCCTGGGCCAGCTTACTGGCCCAATAGACTGAGCACCAATAGACTGAGTTTCCTCCTTTTCTCCATTTTCCAGGGATGGGCACTGATGAGTTAAATAGGTGAGGCAACATGGATGTGCATTGACACTATATATGAACTACAACAACTTGTCTAGAATCAGCAGAGGGGTTTTTTCAATGTCCGGGTTCAATTTAATCCTTTTATCCAGACCTCAAGTTCTTTCTCTCATGACATCATTCTTGATGTAGCACACAAAACCTCTTGGATGTGTCCTCCAAATTCTACAGTAGGGGATAGCGAACTATGACTTGGGGACCAAATTGGGCAGTCTTTTATTTTTTTAATTGCTGATTTTTGTTTATTATTTAAATAGTAATGTTAAATATTTCAATATAATTTCTAGAGAAATTATGTCACACATAGTACTTTGAGTAAACTGAAAACCAAGAATTTTGTTTCTATTCTCATCTCAACAGGCAAAAAATATTTAATAGAATGAAAAGTTTATTGGCTGTATTTGGAAGACTGTTTAACCTGCTAGCAGTCTTAAGAAATTTTTATGGGCTGGGATTGTTTGAACCTGGTTTTAAATTTATCCCGTGGGACTTTCCACCCAGTTATCACTTGGACCCCAAGGGTGAGACAAATATTTGCAACAAGGAATCAGATATGCTTATATTATGTGTTTATCTTAAAATATATATTTAATTTGTTTATTGTGGTAAAATAGACATAACATAAAACTTACCATTTTGACCATTTTTAAGTGTACAATTGAGTGGCATTAAGTAGATTCAGGTGTTGTGCAACCATCATTCCTATCCATTTCTAGAACTTTTTCATCATCCCCCAAAAAGCTGTGTTCATTAAACAGTAACTTCCCATTTCCATCTGCCCCCCACCAGTCCCTGGAAACCACCACTCTACTTTCTGTCTCTGTGGATTTGCCTGTTTTGGGTAACTCATGGAAGTGGAATCATACAGTATTTCAGATAGCTTATTTATATAAATACGTTTCTTTTTTTTTTTCTTTTGGAGCACAGCTATGTTCATTCATTTATGTATTATGTGTGTCTGCTTTTGCCCCACAACAGCAGAGGTGAGCAGTTGTGATAGATAATGTATGTATTGTGGACCCAAAAATACTTACTATCCTAGTGCCTTGCAGAAAAACTTTTCAGACTTCAGAACAAGACTGGAGGTGGCTGGCCTCTATGATTATTTCATTAGCATGGGAAAGGAGCCTCAGGTCCAGTCCCTTGAGGGTGCATTTTTACACGATAAATGTAACTACAACCCTTAACTCAGCCTGGTCAAATTCTTACTGTTTTCAGCTTCCCTCATTTTTGTAGTTAAAAGAATGCAAACCATTTCAGAGTTCCGCCCGCTTTCTCTCCTGGGTTTGCTTCTCTCCACAAGGTCGAAATGACCTGTAAAGCTTTCCTTTCACCCCCTAAATTTTCTAATATAATACCCTTTATTCCTACCAGGTCATCTTTACCTCTTTCCTTTTTGTATAACAAAAACTCTTTCTGATCAATACTGTCCACTTCACATAAGAATGTTTTCAGTTATGAAACAATATCTGCTAAATTATCTAACTCTGCAAACTCCCCTTTTCATTAAGGTGAGTAATGAATTAGTTCTTATTTAGATTTTGACCTTTCTTTGTGTCACCATTTTATTCCCTTCATAAAGAAAAATAAGATTTTGACTTAGAGTTCTGAAACCATGACAGTACCTACATTTTCAAAGTCACTTCTCATTTTACAGTGAGTTTGTTTAAAAATATAATTGAGGTGACCATTTTGCTTTATTTTTTCCAAGACATATCATCTTCACTATTGTGTTGAACACACTTTTTTGGTGAGAGTGTCAGTGAGAGATACAGAGGTAAACCTAGGTCGTAGGGTGTATGGTGGCCTTGATATACACTATGGCTCTCTGAAGTTTTACCCATTCTTGATGTGGGCCCATTAGTGTGTAAGTTTATACATTAAAAACATTTTTTTCTCCCTTCGAAACAAAACAACCCTAAATCCCATGCACCAGATGATTTTATTATCAGTCACTTATTAACTTAACATCTTCATAAATACCAACATTAAAAAAAAGCTGAACAAATCCTCAATGCAGTATCTAAATCAGAGGTTGGCAACCGTTTCTCTAGAAAGCCAGCTAGGAAATATTTTTCCAATAGATTTTTTCCCAATAAAACTTTATTTAGAATAAGCAGCCAACCATAGTTTTCTGACCCCTGTTCTAAGTTGTTCACCATCATGCCTTCTTTTCCCATAGACTTTAAAATGTCTTTTAAAAGTGCATATGTTTTTTAATATCTCTTTGAAACGGTGACGGCTTCGTAAGATGATAGATGTTTTGTGCGTGTCATGATACTTAGGCACATTTTTTTGTTTGTTTCTACAATAATCAATAATGACAAGCCTATAAGAAACAAAGCACCTATGTGCATCCTACTCATTGGTGAATGCTGCTCAGTCTTCATTCAACATCTCCACAAGGGCTGTGGTGTTATTGGGAGAAGCCCAAGGGGATGTGACTGTGGTGTGACCTTCTGTGACTGGAGGTTTTTCTGTGCTCATTGCCTTTCACATTCTCAGTGATTTCAAGTTTACATCTCAAAATTCCAGCTTATAATCATCAATTTTCCCAGTTGAAATCATACTTAAGTAAGGTAAATGAAGCATGAAAGCAAATCAGAAAATACAGCAGTCTGTAGACTCTTCTGCTGTCAAGGGAGGGAGGAGGGAGTGGCTGGGGAAATGGAATCAAGTGTTTGGGAATGAAAACATTGATGGAACATCCTTGTGGTACCTGAGTTGATTTGTGGGAGCCAGTGGAGTTTTGTATAATAATAAACCAATACTCGTTTCTAGGGTGACACATTTCCTGTTCCCCTGGTTCTACCTGGGCAGTCCTTGTCAGCCTCACTGGGAAAGCCCAGTGCTCACTTGCTGTGACCCAGGAAGGGCACCAGCCACATGGGCCAAGGTATGCCTTGTACACTGGCTAACTGCTAAAGTGATACTCCCGGGTTCTCCCAAACCACGGCAGTGCTACATTTTGTCATCTCTCACTGCTCACACAAATATTTCCTGATCTCTGTGTTTTCATGAAGAACTGTGCTATCCCATGGAAATTGGTAGAATTTTACTAATTGTGCTTGCACCCATGTGCAAAATATTTAAGGATTTGGTGTAATGTGAAAAGGGTCTCAGACTTGGAATCAGGGAGTTGAGAGTTCAAACCCAGCCCTTTACTCAGTACCACCCACATAACTTGGAGCAAAGAGATAAACCTAAGTTTTCTATTCCATAAAATGGGCATAATAATGCCAATCTGATGGCATTTGCCCATTCATTTACTAATTCATTCACACAATGGTTATTGAGTGCTTACTCTCTGTCATATGCTGTGTGATGTTATCCTGAGACCTTATGATAAAGGATAAACATGGGCTTAGTGTCTAGAAGATGATGCAAGCATTAGGGATAAAGCATGTGAAGTGTCTTAGATGTAGCAGGTGCTTCTTGCAAGGTAGCTATTACTATTCCATCATTGTGATGCTCATGGGTGTTGGCAGTTGCAGGTCACAAGGCACACTGTCACCTCGTCGAATGGTTGCCCTCATTCCTAGCATGTCCCTCCGGTTGACTCTTTACCCCTGAGGCCAAGACTCAATGTTCATCTCTGCTGCAAATGACTGACCCAGTCACAGGTTCTGACCAGGGGTTCCTATTTCCCTGCAGCCACTGTCTCTCCTGGTTTATTGCCTGGGAGAAGCATCTAATAAAAAGTCAGTGGCTCTGCTGGTCCTGTGTGAGTGTGTTTCCCTGCTGTATGGTGCATATAATTTCATTGGCCGTCATGAACCTGTCAGTTGCCATGTGTTGTATGACCGAGCTGCTTGCAGCACATGGGGGATGGGAAGCCTGGACTAGACCCAAGTCAGAGGGAGGGAAGCCTGGTACATCTCCCCCATCCCATGACCCTGTCCCTGAGAGAGCAGACCCGTGGAGCACAGATCCACAGCTGTTCACTTAAATGTCACCACTTCAACTAAGGGCAAGACAAGCACGGACTGCATAGTCAACATGGACCAGAGGACTTTTCGAATGGGGAAGAACATTAAATATTTTCACGCCTGACTCCTAGGTTTTGTAGACAAGGAAAGTGAGGCCCCTCTGATGAGAAGGCTGCCATTCTTTGTTTTGGTAACATTGACAGAGCACTTATTCTATTTTCAACACTCTGGGGACACAGTGATAAACAGGACACACAGCCTTCAGTGGCCCGTCTCCAAGATGGGGCACAAAATCCTTGCCTCCTTGTAGAATCCCTCCCATGTTGTTCCAGGGCTGATGTGTGTGATCAGTGGACTTTGGCAGAAGCTTTGATTTGTCACTTCCAAGATTCGATTGTAATAAGAGCTACTACAGCTTCCATCTCGGCCTGTCTGTGGGATCCCTTGCTCAGAGGGAAGCAATGGCAAGCTGTCCTGTGAAGAGGCCCACGTGACCTCCAGCCAGCAGCCACATGTGTGAGCATGGAGGAGGATCCCCAGCTCCCGTCAAGCTTTCGGGTGACTGTGGCCTTAAGATGTTACACGTTTCATAAGTGCCATGAAAGGAGAGACAGGCAGTGAGAGGTTATGATAATTACTGCAACTATTGTTTATCTGTATGGGTGAATTTTGGTGTGGGGGTGTCAGGGATGATGGCTTGGAGGAAGCAAAGTTTGCAGTGACTCCTGATAGAATGGGGGCTTTAGCCGAGGAAACTGTGGGGGAGGGGTGGGCGGAGTGTGGGCGGGGTGAGTGTCTGAGGTGGCTGACATTTGGTATGTTTGAGGAACTGAAGACAGGGTGGGTGGCTGGAGTGTGACAGCATGACCAAGTGTCCACCAGAAGAGGCTGGGAAGCAAGCAAGGTGAGACCATGCAGGTCTGGCAGGCCCCATGAGGGGTTGGGATTTTGTCAGCTAAGCCAGAGCTGCAGACAGGACTTTCTGCCTTGAGGGCAGTATTCTGTATCTGCACTGCCGACCACCATAGCCACCAACCATTGGTGGCTATTGTGCACTTGAAATGTGGCTCGTGCGACTGAGGAACTGAATTTGACATTTTATTTAATGTCAGTCAATTTAAATTCAAGTAGCCTCATGTGGCCAGTAGGCACCCTCTAGGGCAGTGTAGAAAGTGCAAGGGCAGCTGGGGGAGAAGCTCCTGGCAGGGCAGTGGTATCACCTCAGAGGAGTTTGTAGGGAGGCAGTGCTGGTTGCAGGGGCGAGGATGGGTGGAAACAACAGAGGGAGGCAGGGAGGGGTGGATGTGGGGGTCTAGGTGGAGATGATGGCTGCCCACCAACTGTCCTGAGTTCTGTGGCCTCTTGTGCCTTCCTACAGCCCCAGTACCATATGAGGATTGGAACCGCTGAAGCGGGAGTCAGTGTGTGTTTGTTTCTACCTGGTCTAGCCTGATGCAGGGATGTGGCCTCTAAGACAGCAACTGCAAAGGATGGATGGGTTAGTCCTCTCCCAGAGGAGAGTCTGTCCCCAGCCTCTGGTGTTCACAGAAGCCCCCACTGTACAGCTCTCTTTCTAGGGCTGGGTGTGGTTCGGTGTCTTCACAGTCGGGTGTGGAGGCTGCTTACTGTTTATGCTTTAGTTTCTTCATCTGCAGATAGGATATAAATACTATCTACCTTGTAGGAGTTTCATGAGCCTCAAATGAGATAAATCCATGTAAACTCCTTCCCACAGTGAGTGACGCATGGAAGAATGGATGACTATCTACTGTCGCTTTCTTTGTCACAGTCACCATCATCGTCCATGAGCTAGGAATCTCTAGTTCTGTTTGCTGGCCTCATCTGACCTCATATGACCCTTAGGGCTAGACAAAGCTCCATTCAGAAACTGTCTCTCGAGCTGTACTAAGGGGAATGCTGGAGTTGGATTCCACAGGATGCTGCAGAGGGGAGTGGGTGACTCAGGATGAGTCCAGGTGGAGGAAGATGCCAGAATGCTTAGGTCTATTTTCATCAAACGCTGGTCGTCCTAAAATGGACAGGTGGAGGCTGCAGGAAGCTGGTTTGCTTTGGAGACACTGGGAACACCTCAGTGAGTCACAGAGGGGCTGGGAACACCTCAGGGTCTGTGCCCTCCCACCTAATCGCTCTTGAAAATGATTCTGGTACAGAAGAAAATCTGGCTTGAGGCCGCTCCCATTTCCTGTGGCCTTAGGAAGGTAGTGTGTGTACAATGACATATTCGTTGGCATAGTGTCAGAGCTTCATATTAATGTCAAGGATTAGTTGAATATCATATTAAGATCCTTTTTTTCCTGCTGCTCTGTTCATGGAATGAATGATCGATAGAGATGAATGAAATGATCCGCGGTAACTTGGACTCACTACACCATTGTACTAATTTTATGTCCCTGTTGTCTTGCCTTTTGAGGCTCCTGTGGTTCACGGTCATAAATGTAGACCTTGTGTTCTGCTTCTCTTACCCTCATTCATCTGGCTCCAGCCTTGCTGGCCACACTGCTGGGCTGCTCCTTGAACAGGGAGGCGTACCTTCACCTTGGCTGCTGTTGATACCTGCATCAACCTTCCCCTGGCTCTGGGGGGCGCACTCCTCATCCCCCCGCTAGACTTTGAACATCTTCTCAGTGAGGCTGAGTCTGACCATTCTATTTACAATTATGGCCCCTCCCCTTTACCTCTGATCTACTTTTAGGTTTTCTTCTCTGTAGTATTTACCACCTTCATTCTATATAATTTTAAAAAGTCTGTATTTTTAAAAAAGTGCATTGTTTTTGATCTGTTTCCCACCCCTACCCCCACAAGAGAGTAAGCTCTACAAGAGCAGGGGTCTTGGTTCTGTTGGGTTCTGTTCTGTTCTGTTGGCCACTGTATCCCCACTTTATTTATTTATTTATTTAGCAACGGAGTCTCACTCTGTTGCCCAGGCTGGAGTGCAATGGTGTGATCTTGGCTCCTGCAACCTCTGCCTCCTGGGTTCAAGTGATTCTCCTGTCTCAGCCTCCCGAGTAGCTGGGATTACAGGCACGAGCCACCAGACCCAGCTAATTTTTGTATTTTTAGTAGAGACGGGGTTTCACCATGTTGGTCAGGCTGGTCTCGAACTCCTGACCTCATGATCCACCCACCTCGGCCTCCCAAAGCGCTGGGATTACAGGTGTGAGCCACCACACCCGGCGGTATTCCCACTTTCTAGTACAGGGCCTGGCATGGAGTTGCTGAGTCGTAAAAATGTTGAAGTAATGGCATCCAGGCTCTTGAACCTGCTCTTCAAAGTCCTGACCCCCATTGCAACTTCCATTCCGTTCTTTCAAGATCCCTCCTGCTGTAGCTCCCAGTTGGGTCATATTCACTCAATCTTCATGTCTGGTTATTCCTCATTCCTTCTTCCTGAATTGCCTGCTGTCTTACCCCACTGTCTTCTACCAGTACATTCACCCTTTAGGCCACCTAAAACTTCCTAAGCCACCTGGTCAGCCTCTGTCGTTAGCACTTACTGGCTCTGCTTACCACATGCTATGCATTCATTCCTTTAACTGTTGCTGATTCCTAGGTCTTGAGTCTTTCTTGAACTCTTTGTTCTTATGACTGGCATCATACAAGGAGAATGGACTTTGGTGTCAGACAAGCCTAGGCTCTTCTTCTACTACCTATATGACTTGGTTAAGTTAAAGAACTTCTCTGAGCCTATTTACTTTTCTGTAAAAATAAAAGCAATGATTCCTACCTTGGAAGTTATTGTGAGAACTAAATAATAAAACTTGCATGACAGCCCATAGTAGGTGCTCAAGAAAATTTGCTGCATGATGGTGGAGTGAGCTGAGCATCATGGGGTAGGGAGCTGCAGAGTTAACTAAGGAGACTTTACTTCTGTGTGCTGATTTGGAAAGGGGAGATTGTTTTTGTTCCACATTAGAATAATGAGAAAGCTCTTATCTTTATTGGAATCCTTCTACAGAAAGTGGAGAGCTGTATTTGTGTCAGAAATAATGTGGTCTTTTTACAAGCTTCTGTGTGATAGACAATAGCAGAGCCTTTTTAACTGGCATGTTCAGGACTTTTTCTGTCTGTCTCTTTATATGGTCTGTCAATTCCAGTCTTCTCGTGGCTTGTGAATGACTTGTGGCATTTGATTAGTTACTTCTTTGTGAATTGAGGAAGGGTGCATGTATGTATGTGTCTGTGAGCCTGCATATACACTCATGTTTGTACATACATGTGCATTCATATATGAACATACCTGCTTATATATGGGGAGCTGTGTGCTTGTGCACATGTGGATAAATGCATGCCTATTAACTTGTATGTTTTGGTGCAGCTGAGTGTACCTGTCCATATTTGCATGCATGTGATTGTGAGCGAACATGGTGGTATCCTGCAGATAAAACTCAAATGGGCATGGTAGACCTGACCAGTCAGCTCCAGGCTGGGGAGCTGAGACCAAAGTGGAGTTGTCTGATTGGAAGAATGTGTGTTGGTGGTGGAGAAGGGCAAATTGGGACCCATGGGAGATGGAGATGGGGCCAGCGTGCCCAGGGAAATACAACCTATGTTAAACAGGGAAAATGGAATAAGGCCTATACACAAAACATTAGGTTGCCAGAAGTAAGGCAGGAAACTGGAAAGAAACACGACAGTGGGGTGGAAGTGGAAGGGGAAGCTCTGGGCAGTACCTCCAAGGTGTGTGAAACCATCTCTCATTTCTAGTGGGTTGTGGGCAGGGCCTCTGGCCACACCTCCCTGTGGACTACACTTGTCTCAGGAGTGTGAAGTGGGCATCCCCAGATCCCAGGAGGAGCCCAGGACCTGCAAGACACCTTCTGTGCTGGTGTCATGTGCCCAGCTTGGAGATGTCCCTCTGATAGTGGATATGGCATCCAGGGGGACTTCACTTGGGAGGCAGAACACCCTGGTGGTGCCTGGACTCCCACTGTGGCTCTGCCTTGGTGTCTCTGTGACCTTGGGAAGTTGCTCAGCTTCCTGGGGTTGATTAAGGGATTAAACAGCAGGAGGATGTAGAGTGCTTAGCTCTGTGACTGGCAGAGAAAAATCACTCAGCCAACACTGGGTCTCCCTTCTCAACTCATTTTCATTGTTATTTCCAACCTTGGAGTTGTAGGGCATTTTAGCACTCAGCATGGCTGTGACAGGCTACAAAGTGGCCTAAATTTAACCTAGTGAAATGTAAGAGGAGATGTTTAAGGGTCTCTTTTGGGGCTCCCTGAAGAGACACACAAAGGATGTGCACACAAAGGATGGGAGAGCTTGAAATAACAAGAGCAGAAGAGACAAAGCACCCAGTGGGGAAGTGACTATAACACCAAAGGAGCCACCGGAGCCAGCCTGGAGTCTGAGCCTGTGTAGACAGGTTGCTGCCCAAATCCCAGCACTGGCAGCTGCTTGCTGACCCCGGCTGGCCGTGTGACCTTGGGAAGATCGTCTAATGCCCGTAAGGTATGTGGGAGGTAGTGATTATATCTACCTGGATAGATTATAAGAAGTTGGGCAGAAAGTTCACGCAGTGCCTGGCACAGAGGAATTGTGCCTGCAGTCATCAGATCCTCAACCTCTGCTCTCCGTGTCATAAGAGCAGCAATGGCACCCTGGAGCTGAACCTCAGGAGGGCGGGTGTGGGAGAGGAGCAGAGGGATGGAGGCTGCTCATCAAGGACCTGGGAGGCAACCAGGTCCTTGGCTGGGGAAGCCGAGTGGACGGAGCTGGCCCTGCTCACCTCCATGGCCTCATCTCCCATCGCTCCTCCCCTTTCGATCCATCTACACTGGTCACCTTCTGACTTCTAGAAGCTCCTTGCTGCCTCAGGGCCTTCACATAGTTCTCTTTGGCAGATTTTTCTTTTTCCTAATGGTTGGCTTTTTTTATACGCTTAGATCTTATTTCACATCTCACCTCCTCAGAGAGGCCTTCCCTTCCCTCCTTGCTGAGTGGGTGTTCATGGTCCCGTGCTCAGTCACGCTCTGCCAAGCTCTGTGTGTATTTCTTGCATAATCTTTATCACATGATATAATTATGTTACTTGTTTGTTTACTCTATTAAGGTCTACCTCCCACATGCACAGTGAGCTCTGTGAGGACAGATGGATGGCTTCTTAGTCATGGCTCTCTCTCTCTCCACCACCCAGCCCCGTGCCGGCAGCATAATGATGCTGAGTACGTTTGAAAATTTGGTGGTAAGTGTAGGCAGAAACTCATGGATGACACCTCTTCGTCAACCTAACGAAGGTCTTTCAGTACTTCCAGGAATGCGTGAAACTTTCCCAAGGGTGCCTGAGCCAAAATCAGGAAACCCACATATTGGTGATGCTATATGAGTTTGTTAGGAAACCCACATATCTTTTCAGATGAGTTTAGGGACTTATTGGGATCTTCCCACCTATGTCTTCTTCCCTCGGTCTAGTTGTGGCCTCTGGAGCTGGAAGGAGCTGAAAAGAGCGCCCCATAAAGAGACCATTGCCATTTCTGATTGGGTTGGTGACTGTTTTGCTAGTGCTCAGCCTTCCTAGCCAACACCCAAAGCCATCCATTAGAAAAGGGAAAAAGGAAATGAACATAAATGCAGTGCCTGATAGTGTCAGTTTTTGCTGTGTAACAAATGATCTCACAACTTAGTGGCTTATACAATAGCCGTTTTATTTTGTGTACAATCATGCGTGTCCAGTAGGTGGTTATTCTTCTCTGGCCAGCTTGTTTAGTTTCTGCTGGGTTCTCTCATGTGTCTCAAGTGCCCTGCTCACATCTCTGGAGTTCAGCAGGCTGCCCTCTGGAGCACCTTGGTTCTCCTCCATGTGGGTTCCCATCCAGCAGGCTAGGTCAGGTTCATCCCTGTGATGCTCTCAGGCTTCCAAGTGCAACAAGAGGGCAAGCCCAATGCGCAAGTACTTCTTCAAGCCTCTGCTTGCAGCATGTTTGTTGATGCCTTATTGGCCAAAGCAACTCACGTGGCCAGGGCCACAGTCAGTGTGGGAAGGGATAACCCAAGGGTGTGGTTACA